>NC_000011.10:131984740-132293928 GCF_000001405.40 Homo sapiens
TTTTCAGGCAGATCCATTTGCCACATGAAAAAAAATAAAAAATATAAATAGATATAACTCATAGACCTACATTATTGCTTTCTTTTTGTGTTACTGTGCCCTTTTTCTTCTCTTAATGTGGATACATTGGGATACTCTGAAAGAAAGGGCGTGGAAAGGAAGGTAAAAACCTTGATTTGATAATTGCCACGAAGGTGAGGCCTTTCGTCAAATCGTTAAGTAATATTGAGCCTTTGCTGCTTAGAACCATTTTTTTTAATCTTCTTCCTGACATTTGAGATCCAGACTGAGTTGGTGTTCTCAAACATTTCTGAAATCAGTCTCTCATTCCCTCCCCCTTCATTTGCTTGAAAATAGGAGCATCTCTTCTGAGCTCATCTCTTGTGATCATCGGTGTAAACAAAGAGGAGTAATCAATCCCAGAAACGCTTTGGCTCTTTCTATCCATTTCTTCTAGAGCCGCAGGTTCAGTAGGCACTTGGTTTGTCATAGAAGTTATCACAAGGGACAGTTTTACCAAACATTTTGCTATTTCACAACAAGGGTCTACAGACTTCTATCTCATTCTGTTTTCTTGACACCCATTGCCCAAGTGCAATCTGTGAACACATTTTTGATTTAATCATGCCAGAATCCTACTCTTGGTACCACTTTCAAAATTAACTAGGGGCACATTAGTTGTTATAACAAATAAACCTGCAAGTCTCTGTGGAGTAACAACAGCTCTCCATCCTTTGCCCATGCAACAGTGCAACACCGTGCTACTGGCAACCACGGGTGTCAGGCTTGGCCTCAGGCGGCATCCGGGAATGGTGCATCAGGAGGGGTTGCCTACCCTCAGTTTGTGACTTCCAAGATCACCACGAGTCTTGACATCTTCCTGGGGTAAGGGGAGAGCACGCGGCGTCATAGGAAAAAGTTACGAAGGGCCCGGGATTAGGCAGTTGTGCATGTTACTCCTACGCTCATTCCACTGGGTAGAATTCAGTCACAGTGTCACGTAATTGTAAGAGGTGGGAAAATGGCATCGAGTAGGGTGCCCAAGAAGAAGAGAAAACAAGTTTTGGTGAGCAGCAACCAATCTCTCTTACAATATCCACCACATATAACTGTTGTGAGGACTGAATTAGGCCTGTAAAGAGTCTGTCATCAGGACACAGCACATAGTGAGTGTTCCACGAGTGTTTGCTCTGTTCACCTCCCTCCGCCCTCTAGGCAGCCCCGAAGTACCCAATAAGCACTTAATAAACACAGAATAAATGAATCAGTATTCATAGTTATTTCCCCTCTGAATTGGAGAGCTTTGAAATCTGACCCTGTTTTGGATTGAACTATGCTGGATCTCTTTGGATCTGATTTTTCTTTGAATTAGAAACATCTCTTAGGAAACCTAGACTATCTTTCAAAGAACCCCATCTGGCCTATTGGAAACAGTTTCAAAGTTGAAACATCAACCATGACAGGTCCTTTGGCCGCTAAAGATGCAGCCCCTAGGGATATGTCTCTGCTGGCTGTTCACATGAAATAGCATAGCAGAGATTGGATGAGAGTCATCTGCTGTTCTGGATTTTGCATCCTCTTTAAACACATCTGCCTTTAAACATCCTTTGCACAAAAGCTTAATTTTCCCTTCCCTAGGTTTTAAATCACTTTGCAGACTACAGAAAAAGATTACAGAAGGCCTGTTTTTGTTCCATTCCTTTTCTATACTTGACTATCACGTTTGCTTCTTCTACCTGACATTCATTTTATTGTTTCAGTTAATTAAACATGTATCATGTCATGAAATATGTGGGTCACATTTATACACAACTCACCAGAGTTAAACTTGCTGTAACCATCCTATCTAAAATTGCAGCCCCTTCTGTCCAGAACTTTCTATCTTATACTCCTATTTTAACATTTTCCTTAACACTTTAGCTGCTGGCATGTGACTTATTTATTTGGTTTGTATTTGCCTTCCTTATTAGGAATATAACCTCCATGAGGGCCAGAGATTTTTACAGTTTTCATTTAGGGCTCTATTGCCACTGCCTAGAAGAGTGCCTGACTATAAAGGGGGTTCAATAAGTATTCATTGAATGAAAAAAATGATCCTTATTCCTTAGTCTTAAATAACTTAATTCTTATGGGGGAAATCTGACACATTCCAACATAATTATAATTCCAACACAACTCCAACATAATTATTAGGCAAAGAAGATTATATTGGTTAATTTATGATGTGTCAGTGTTAACCAAGAGATGAAAGGGGAAAGAAGGGAGAAATGGTTGTTGTTGAGGATCTTTTATTCCAAGCAAATTTTGCTTACATTATTTCATTTATTTTAACCAGTGTGGTAGTTCTAAAAACAGGTGGTAAATGTCCCATATTACTAATGAGGAAACTGATGCACTAAAAGGCAGTTATTTGTCTAAAGTTGTATAACTAGCAAGTGGTGGAAACAGTATTCATCAGGTCTGTCTGGCTTTAGTACCTGTGCCAATTATTTGCAAAGTTGTTCATACTAATCCTTAGAAATAAGCATATTTTAACTGGAACACACTCCAGACAAGTACACACATGCACACTCCCACACAGACTGGAATTATTTAAGATTTAGCTATTTGCAAAACATGTTATTCTGTCCTATTCCTCCTATTCTATTCTATTCTATTCTATTCTATTCTATTCTATTCTATTCTATTCTATTTTCATTCCAGCCCATCCCATCACTTTTATCTTTCAAAATTTGACCCATTAAGCTGTTTCTGCAGTAAACAAATGTATTGCAATACAGACTTCGAAGATCTTTGCTTTTAGGCACATTACCTGGTGAGGAAAAGAACTGAAGATTTAGACCACAAAGTGAGGACTAGAGAATACTTTATTGTGGAGACAGTATTTGAGGTAGGCCTTGCAAAATGGATTGAGTATAAAGAAAATCTTAATAAAACTTTCATCATTTCAAGCAATATTACTTCACTTAGGCTTCTATCAAATAATCCAAATGCTCTGTATTTTATGATGAGGCTGAAAAAAAGTCCAAACACTCAAATGTGTGGCTTTCTTCATTTGAACAGTCAGCCACTCAGTCAAAGATTAGCAATCATTTGCTTAGGAAGTAAATATTGAGCATGTGCTATATGCCAGCCAGTGGGCTAAATGCTGGAAACGCAGAGATGACTCATGCACACTGTCTACCTGTAAGGAACATATGTTTGTTGCCTTAGTCCAATCTGGTTGCTGTAACAAAATACCAGGCTGGGTGGCTGATAAACAACAAACATTTATTCCTCACAGTCTGGAGGCTGGGAAGTCCAATATCAAGGCACCATCCGATTTGGTGTCTGTTGAGAGTCCATTTCCTCAGATGGTGCCTTCTTGCTGTGTCCTCACATAGTGGAAGGGGCAAGCAAGCTTGCTAGGAGCTCTTTTATAAGGACACTAATTCCACTTATGGGGGTTCCACACTCATTACTTAATAATTCCCCAAAAGCCCTGCTTCCAGATACCAGTACCTTGGTCATTAAGTTTCAACATAGAACTTTTGGGAGACAAAAACCATTCAGACTGTAGCATTGAAGGTTATTGTCTGATTAAATATTAACCTTTCCCTGAGTTGATTTGTTAAGGAACATTTGCACAACGGATATCCAACTCCATTCCACTGTCAGAGGAATTGGTGGTCTGATCTGGCATCCTGGGGACACTGCATTGCTCTCTCTCCTTTCTTCCATCATGATATAGGATTTGTAAGTTACAATGGAGCTATCCTTTGTGGCCTGGTGACATAGTGACTGGCAGTGGTGGATATTCCATGTGAATGATGGCTGTAGACGTGGTGAGGTAGGTTGATGGGTTTTGTCATCACTTCTTTTACCTGAGATCAGGTTTTTTCTCCAAGCTGGGAAAATGAACATTGCCACATCCATTTAAATCAGAGATTCGCTAGAGAAATTGATATGTGTGGTTCCATAGGCAGTGCCTTCATTTTGACAGTTTTCTGGGTCTGATGAATTGATGGCCAGCAGAGGCAGTTAGGTAGGCAGCTGAGCTTACACAAAAAGACCTCTGTCTAGAAGGCTTCTAACAAGAGCCTCCATTAAATAGGCTTTATGTGATGAAAACGTAGTACCAAAAACACTGTTATATTTCTTTATTTTAAGCCTATAGTAGTGAGCTCATATTATTTTGGAATGGAAAAACAGAGAAAGTAAAATATATAAAAACTGAATAAAATAGATATATCATCTTCCTGATTCTTTGAATCCAGCTATAGTGGGTCCATAACCTTCTGCACCAGTTTTTGTTTGTTTTATTTTGATTTGTTTTAATTGATACAATAGAATTTATTGGTACTATGTTTGATCACTGAGATACATCGTTAAATATGCTACTGCTGATTCCTTTTTAAAATACACTGGACTGAAAGTCCTTTGAGGATAGTTCTTTGTTATTATGTCTCATGTTATCCCCTGCATGATGTCTTCCAAAAAGTAGCTGCTCAAAAACATACTAATTAACAAATTAGTATCAACTGATATTTCAAAACAGCAATTTTTAATTTATAAAACACTTTCATATACATTTCATCATTTAAAAAATCAACAGTAATTTATTTAGTGGTTTGTTCTTATTGGTGTGTTTAATCATGTTTGACTTACTCATTGCAGAATTAAATTACGATGTGATATTGCGGTAATAGTTATACATGGCATAAAAGAAACGAACTCATAGGAATTATTCACTTAACTCGCGGGATCAGAAAAATGCCAATGTACTAAATGTTAGCCTAATAACTATGGGCTTTTGGTATGTTGTTTAGAGGAAATGACATCAGTTAATCTGGCAGGATATCGAAGTGAAAAGTAGTTAAGGGGTTCTAATGTGTATCAGTCAGATTGGCTAAATTATACTGCAATAACAAATGCTCCCAATATTTCAGTAGCTTACAACAAAGGTGAGTTATATACACATGCATATTTAGATACATGCACACACACACACACACACACACACATGAACACATACACATACACTTACTTACTGGACCAAAGCATATAGGAATAGGTTCTATTTAGGTCATGCAGTCTTGCTTCAGAGGGAAAAGAATGGTACAACCATGTGAATGCTCTTAAAGCTTTTGTTTTGTAGTAATACGTGAGATTTCTATTCCTTTTTCATTGGCTCAAGCAAATCAAATGGCCAAAACTGATGTCAGTGGGGATAGTAATGTAATTCTTTCATGCAAGAAGTTGTAAATATTTGGAACAATAAAGACATCCATCTATTACTGTTATTATATGTAGCTGGAATTTTGAGACTGGGGTAGAGGAATCAGTCTTATTGATTTTGATCCCCAAAAGCAACCTGTACATTTGGCAGAATAAATTTTATTCACTACATTTTATGGAGAAGAAAACCTAAGGCTGGAATTATTTTTAAACGTTTTCAACTCTCATAGCTGATAAATGGAAAATTCTAGATTTGAACTGAAATCTAAATCTGACTTTCTTCCTAACCTCAATCGAAATCCAGTACTCTTCATAATGTGGCCATGCTGCATATGTAAGTGTGTGGATGATGCCAGTAACTAAAATGAAAAATGAAAATGTTCAGTAGAGGATGCTAGAGAATTTGTTTTTAAATTTTCGCTTAAATATTTCATATTCTTTTAGGTGACCAATATTGAACGTTCAAGGTAGTTCTCACTGTACATGGGTATAATCATGATTTTCAGCATTAAGATTCTCATTTTAGCATTTGTGTGGGTCTGTGTGTGTTTGCATGTGTGTGTGTGTGTCTATAATGTGTGTGTGTCTATAAATCCAGGTTCCTTCAGTCTTACACAAAACCTTAACAAAATGTTCCTATAGATCCTGCTAGAACTGCTGACTTTCAAATCAGGAATTAGTTCTGATTCTGTTGATGTAAACCTGAAGAGAGAAGAAAAACATAATTCACCTTCCTGCATTATTAAGATTTCAGATACACAGTTTTTATAAAAGCTTGCAAGTGCAAAATTTGCTATCAAGCCTAATGTAGCATGGAGGATTTTGTCTGAGCTAGCAAAGGATCACATTTTCATCTCCTGTGAGTCAGGGACTGAGCTCTATAAACTATTTTCCACATATATGTTCTATTAAAAATAGTATCTCATTTTGACTCTTAGTCTGTTTTTATAGTGAGCGGGCTCTGAACCGAGTTACCTGATAAATTACTTTCTGTATGTGTGATATACATACTGTCTAACCTGAACAAGAACACTGACTTCAGGTACAAGGAAAACCAGTACTGCACAATAAATGGGCTCAACGACTCATTCAGTTCGATTAATGTTTACTATACATTAAGCACTGTAGTATGTACCATGGAGCAGATGCAATGCCATTCTAACTACTGAGGAGCTTTTATTGAAGAGATGAGTTATCTAATCTTTGATAGATAGCCTTGAAATAGGACTTAAAAGAGGTGTTTTTTTGTTGTTTTTTGTTTGTTTTGTTTTGTTTGTTTTTTACCTTCTTTCTTGTCCCTGCCATAACCATGCATCTCTTGCATTGCATAGTTGAGAACAGCAGTTCCACAATAAGAGAGTCTTGTTTGGGAGTCAGAGATTGAGTTACTGTAGTCCACTTTTCTATCCTTTTCTCCCTTTGACATCTTCTTCTGATTAATTAGTAATTAATAGGTGATTGATTAAATGATTACTTTAGTCTTTCATTTAATAAACATTATTGAGGACATTCTATGTGTCCAACACTGTGCCAAATAATAGAGAGCCAAGGACATAAGCATAGCCCATATCCTTCATTTTAAGTCAAATGAGAGAAACAGACAAGACAAGTGTCAGTGTTGATGCCACATGACCAAAGCCATGTCAAGTATAAACATTTTATGTAAAATGTAGCTATTTTAGGACACAGGGAAAGAGTGACTTTTCCGCACTTAAAGGGCCTGGTAAGGATTTCTAAATGAAGTGGTTCTTGAAATAAGTCTTCATGGATGATAAGGCTAATTACCCAGATAAAGAAAGGGGGAATGCATTCTGGACATGTACCTGCCATTGCATTCACAAAGGCAGGCAAGAAACAGCAGGTCCAGGCATGCAGGACAAGTAGTTAAGCTTGGTGGAAATATGGGAAATTTGGGAGGAGGAGAAAGGTTGATGATAGTGGACAGGTAAAGACAGAAGTCATATTTTCATGAAGTGCTTATAGTCCGTGTTTATTAATCTGCATCATTCTGGATGTATATATGGAAACCTACTCAATCTAACTTGGGAAAGAAAGGAAAACCTGATGAAAAATACACAGTTGATTCTTGAACAGTATGGGTTTTAACTGCATGGATCCACTTATACACAGATTTTCTTCCACCTCTGTCACCCTGAGACAGCAAGACCAGTTCCTCCTCTTCCTCCACCCCCTCAAACTACTCGATGTGACGACTATGAAGATGAAGAGTTTTATGATGATTAACTTTCACTTACTGAATTGATAGTAAATCTACTTTTTTCTATGATTTTCTTAACATTTTCTCGTTTATTACTTTATTATACAAATATGATCAATAATGCAATACATATAACATGCAAAATATGTACTGATTGACTATGTTACTGGTAAGGCTTCTGGTCAACAATTGGCTGTAATAATTTAGTTTTGGGGGAGTCAGAGTCCTACCTGGATTTTCAACTGCATGGGGGTCCACACTCCTCACCCCCACATTGTTCGAAGTTCAGCTGTAGAATGAGCTCTCGGTGTATGAACATAAGACTACAACTTTGCTTCAAAAACAGGCACCAAGGACAGGAATCGCATCAGGGACCTCAATTCTGCTGTTTTCTCATGGCTTTTTTATTCTCCTCTTTATGCAGAACTGCTTACTCTACTTCTCTAATCTACATGATGGAACACAGAAGTAAGAGCATCTAAGATTAAATCTTACACACACAATTGCCTGAAAAGATTGAATACTTTTCTATGTTCCTCTTACAAATTCACTTTGAAAGGAAGTCTGTTTGGTTAGCTTGGGTCTGGTGCCTACACTTGCACTGGTGTAACTATGGCCAGGGTGTGAGTTGTGTCATAAGAGCATTTTTCCTGTGACCATGAGACTGGAGAGGAATGGTTGCATTGGAAATACCCAGAGAAAGACACTGGAAATTTTACAAAAGATACCCATTATATAAATGGTCCCAAATGCCAATCCACAGAGAGGGTGCCTCATACTAACTTCTGGGAGTTTGGGAAACATACTCAGTACTTCTGGGGGTTTACCCACTAAGTATTCTGATTTGCTAGATCTAGGGCAGGGTCTGAGAACCTGATTATAAAAGTTCAGTAAGTTATTCTAATGCCTAGATAGATTGGGAAACATTGTAAGAAATTTAGAAGAGAGGAAACCTTAACAAGAAAACAAAATCCTCATGGGATCAATTTGCGTCATAGTACACCCACTGGCAAATAGTTTGGGAGAGAGAGGCTGCAGGTGAAGCAACTTCTTGGGAGTGCATTGCAGTCATCCAGGAGGGGAGAAAGGTCTTACCTAAAGGAGGAGCCATGCAAACAGAGAGGAGGGCTATCGGGAAGGTGGAGTAGGCAGTTCGTTGTCATCAGTTGTATCTGAAGGACAAGGAATGCATCTAGAACAAGTCCCATGTTTTTGGCTTGGGTAATGAGGTAATTAAGTGATGGAGGGGGAGAAATGGGACTTGTAGTAGAGGATGACAAGCTGGGTTTTGACATCTTGTGTTTGAAATGCCTACAGGGCCTCCAATTGTGCAAGTCCAGGAAGCAGTTGTATATATAGGGATTCTGAGCTAAAGATAATGCTTTTGTAATCATTGTTTGCAAATGATAGATGAAGACAGTGTGTGCAGATTTCCTAGGGTGGATATAATTAAGAACAAAGAAAATAAGTCTATGAATTTCAGAGACATACAAAAATTAAAGGGGATTGAGAAGAATGGAATAGAGCAACCATAAAGGAGAGACAGGCTGAGCGGTGGCTCATGCCTGTAATCTCAGCACTTTGGGAGGCTGTGGAGGGTGGATCACCTGAGGTTAGGAGTTTGAGACCAGCCTGGCCAAGATGGTAGAAACCCCATCTCTACTAAAAATACAAAAAATTAGCTGGGTGCGGTGGTGTGTGCCTGTAATCCCAGCTACTCAGGAGGCTGAGGCAGGAGAATTGCTTGAACCTGGAAGGCAGAGGTTGCAGTGAGCTGAGATCATGCCATTGTACTCCAATCTGGGCCACAAGATTGAAACTCCATCTCCAAAAAAAAAAAAAAAGAAGAAGAAGAAGAAGAACAAAGACATAAACAGCAGCATAATAGAAATCAAGGGAGCTCGTGTCTCTAAAGGTGGAGAAAGACATTAAAGAAGACAGTATTAGCCAATGGTATGAAACACTTGTTGCAAACATGCTCATTGGATTTGGCTAGTGACAAGTCAGTGATTACCTTGAGAAGAACAGTTGTATTCTTTATTGTTATTTACATACATATCTGTCTTCCCTACCTAATGGTAAACTTCTTTTGCAGTCAATGAGTAAACATTCTGAGGGGTGGGAAGGGAGTTCTGAAATATGTAATTTCTGACTCAAAGAGCTCACAATTTAATGGAAAGACAAGTAAAAAGATGATAGGAGAAAGTGAGAGTTGCTGATGGAAGTCTAAACAATATTAGGGGAGCCCTCAGGAGGGATATCTAACCTCTCAACCAAGTAAGCACTCAATAAAAGTTTATTAGCACAAAATACATGCTGGGACAAAAACAAGTGGTATCATTAGAAGGTGCACAGAAACAGGAGCATCTAATGTGAGCGGGTGTGTTGGTGAGATTTTGTTGAGGGAAGCAACTTCTTGTCTGTTTTTTTATATGCTCGTATTTTTCAGGGTTTCATCATAAGCACACTAGCCTCCTGTGGCTCTACACAGACACCTAGGACTATTTCATCCCACTTCAGTAATTTTAGCTTTTGGGCCACTAACTCCCCAGTTTATGTTTCTGGCCTTCCCTGGACACCAGATCTATTTCTCCAGCTGCTGTTTGGATATTTCCCCCATATATCTCACACATACCTCATATTAACAAGGCCCAAACTGGACTCTGTATCCAACTTCATATTCTGAATTTCTACTCCTAAACTCATTATGCACCTATTCACTAGATACCTAAAAGCTGTCCTAGATTCCTCCCCCTCTCTTATTCCTCATTGTTTGCAGTTTATTTGTAATGTCTTTTATCTGCCATGTGCATTTATGCTGCCACTGTGGTAGTTCAGACTGTTGTTCCCTCTTATTTGCATTATTGAAATGAGCCAGACTGCCTGCCTTAGATCCCCCTGTCCTCTAGTGCACCCTGCACAGCATGCCCAATCTCACCTTTCTATCTCCTTTAAGCCCAAGTCCTGCTTCAGTCATGGATGATCCATGGTAAGGATGGGTTATGATCTAAGCACTTAGCAGGTCATGAAACATCTTCTTTACCTGTTTTCAATCTAGGCCTATTCAGCAATATTTAACAGAATCTAAATTTTTCATTCTTTGTGCCACACAGTGGTCCAGGTGCTAGGATGCAAGCACCCTTGCTCTGATGGGACTGCCATTCTACTGCAGACTACAACAACGGAATGGAAGGTTGAGGATCTAGTGAGTGTCTGAAAGAAGGACCTGGAGGGATGGAACTGTGTAACTGTGCATCTGGTTTGGTCTGGGTGCTGTGGTGGTATCATTGAGGCTTCTCAAAGGAAGCTGTGCTGAGGCTGAGGCATCAAGAATGAGGAGTCAGCCAGGCAAAGTTGTAGGGGAGCAGGGCATGTGCCAAGATCCCAAGTGGAAGAGAGTGTGAGATGGGGAAGCGGGGCCAAGGCTGAGAGAGGAGACTGGTGCTCAGCAGGGGCCAGATCATGTTGGCTTGGGCATGTTACTGAAATGCCAGGGGTTTGGTCTAGGTCCTGTTGCTTGCTACACAGAAAGCCAACCACCAAGACAACGAATGAAGCCAACAAAGACGGCTTTATTCAGGTGTCATCAGCCCAGGAGACAGATCAGTCTTAAATTCATCTTTCCCCAATCAACTAAAATTGGGGGTTTCTACAGTGGAAAATGAATGTAGCTACATGCAGGAAAATAGGAATTAAGGCAGGTAAGGGAGCAGTCCTGCTGAATGAGGGGTCTGGCATCTCATTGTCTGCATGTGGTGACCTGGTGAGTTTCAGTTCCTCGACATTATCTGGGAGGCCTGAGGGTCAGTTTCCTGAGAAAGGAACTCAGATAAAACAAATGTCAGTTTCAAGCTTTAAGACTGGGAGCATTAATTTCCATGTTAATTAAAAAATACATAAACATAAATTCTATAGGGAAATTGGGCCAGTTTCAGGGGGACTGCCCTAAAGAATTTGGACTTTCTCTTATGGGTTGCATCACACATCTGAAGAGTTTTCAGTAGGGACATGATCAATCTGTGTTTTAAGTACAGGATGCTAAGGGTTGTGAGAGGAATGGATTGGATGAGTCCAAAAGTTAAGGAAAGAAAAGCAGTCACCCTGCTGTTCCCCTGACCCCCTCCCCTGCACCTGCCATACCCAGCACAGCGCCTGACACACATGTAGAGTAAATTAATATGTACATATCCACTACAAGAGATGGACGCGCTAGGCATAACAGATGTCTGTATCTGAAATGTGGGTTGTTCTTTTATATCGCCTGCCACTGTGCAGTTCCCTCTACCTGAAATTTCAGCTCTTCTCTGTAGGTGCTGGAAAACTCCCGTCCATTCATTAAGATGCTACTCAAATCCCACCTACACACCTTATCTTCTCTAATCCTTAGAGCAGCCATATGAGGCAAATGTTTTATCTCCACTTTACAGTTGAGGAAGTGGCTCAGAAAGATTAAGGACTTGCCCAGTGACACATAGTGGTGTCTTGGGATTTACAGCTGGGTCTTGTCGTCTTCATACTTGCTTTACCCGCCACTCTTCAAGGTTCCTGGAAGCATGAGTGATTAAGGAGGAATCATTGCCAGTTCGGTGTCATTGCTGCCAGCCCCCTCTGAGGCACACCTGGCTCCCTGGGAGTGTGTTTATGCTCTGCCAGGACTCTCCCCAGCCTGCATTCTGAAGCATCTCCTTCCTTGCTCTGCCACATCCCCGCCCCTCTAGATGGAGGGAAACACTCCTGTAAATGGGAATTCACCCAATAGTTCATCCAAACATATCACTGGCTTCCTACCTTTCTCTCCTTCCCAGCCTGGACAACCCATAGCCTCCATGATCAATCACTTTATGAACATGGTCAGCTTCACCATGGCCTCTCCTGGGCTGGCTGCTAGGCTGGCCTAACAGCTGCAGCTGGACTCTACCCTGGGCATTTTAAAACACTGTTACCTCTGTTTCTTTGATATTCTCTGAGGTCTAAAGTCAGCATACATCACTTCTCCTGCTTGTTTGGGTTCTGTATGTAGGGGCTTGACAGCCAGAGTGGCTTTGCAGAAACTCATGCCCCTGGCCCACCCAGCCTCTCGCCCTGCCTGGAGGGCAGATTACCCCTCAGTGTGCTTCTGCTAGGAATGGCCATACTGCATCATTCCTGTTCCTCTGTCTATGACTTCTGCAGGATGACTCTGGCTTTTTCTGGGTACGTGCGGAACACTGGGCCAGGCTAATAAGTTTAGAAGAAGATTTAAGACTCCAGATCAAGGCACAGGATCACATTGTCTCAGTAATCGTGACTTGAAAGGACCCTCGATGGGCCTCAGCTAAGAGCTGGCATGGTGGTGGTGAGCATGCGGGCAGTGGGTTTGCAGGCATAGCACAGGCTGTGGCTGGATAAAAAGGTGTTCACACCATCATTGACAAATTTTCTGAACCATGTGGAACACTTGTAATGATCTGAACTGTGTTTCTCTCCATTTTCTTTTCCTTTTTATCTTTTCGCTCTCTTTCTTTTTTCTTCCTGGAATGCAGCTGTCACAATAATTGGAAGATGCCCTTGAAAAAGTGCTCTCGAGCCTGTGATTCCCTGGCAGCTTCATTTTTCATCTTTCCAATGAAGGTGGCATTTGCCCAGACCCTGTTAGCTATGAGGCTGCCTGTAGAACCTTCAACTACCATTGTGTGTGGTGAATAGTACTGGGGTTTTGGCATTTCAGTGCTTTGAACTGCTGAAGAACCCTAAAGCCAGGCTCATATGCACCTCTCCTCCCTCTCTCCCACCTCCCCTTGCTTCCTTTCCGCCCCTCCCCTCACTCCCTGGTTCTTCCACCCCAGGACCCACCTTTGCTCAAGGCAACCCCTCCCACCCCATGGTGTTCCCCTCCTCTTTCCTGGAGGCCTTGTAAATGTACAGACCATTTAGACTTTAAGACAGTGGGGCCACTTTTCATCTCAGGCCAGGCTGCTGCCTGGTTTTACGGGGTCATAAAAGTCCTGACAGGAGTCATAAAAGCCTCCAATTGCACTGCAGAAACCCTTGGAGTATATTTTAAGGGCCCCTGAGTTTTCATTTTGCTGCTTTTATGGGGACTCGTAAAAGCTGCGTGGAGTGAGCCCACTGATTGGCTGCTCAGCACGGAGGTAGTTAAAATTACAGCTTTAGACAAATTGTTCCAGTCCCAATAAATCAGTATCCGGCATGTGGCAGGGGGAAGGCTTCTAGCTCTGCTGCATCCTGGGCCCCCCTTGTCCTACCACACAGGCAAGGCTCTGCTTGGGGCCACCCTGGCCAGCCCTCCACCATTTCCTGAAGCCATTCTTTGCAAAGGGGATAGTACTTAACCAGCTGTTTTTATGCATTTTACCACGTAGCTGGTTGACTTTTTTTTAAATTTCCAAAAACCTGATCTTTAAAACCAGATTGACTTATTTTTCAATTCAATTGTTAGAGAGACACAATCTCATACTCCGTCGGTCACCCTGGCCACAGGTACTACAGACTACAGCCTGCTTTCTCCCCATTGGTCCCCACATCCCATCTCCCTATACATGGCCTTCTTGCCTTACCTTCTTTCTACTGTTGCCTTGGTATATCTGTTATACCCCTACAGTGGGCCAGTGCAGGGCAAGAATGATCGGTGGGGATGCCATTCTCAGGACCCATCCTAATTTCCCACTGGTTATGCCTGGCAGAGAACCATACCAGCGTGGGTATTATGGGAGACTGCTGTGTTTTGTGCCATTTCAACTTTTTAGGAGCTTGTGGCTCAAATATATCACCAGTCTGGCGGATTTCCAAGACACTGATTGGAGAAGCAGACATTGTTTTCTCTTCCCTTCTTTCCAGATCCAGAATCACTCAGCCCCAGCTGAACTGCCATGCTGACAACCTGAGGATCAAGCATACTCTTCATTTGTGATGTGGAAGTTTAACCATTACCATCGTGTGTGCTCTTCCTTCGCAGGTGGAGAAAGCTTTCAGGAGAGGCTCTGAGGGTGCAGAAGCAAGGAGGGGTCCCTGCAATGTGCTACTCCTGTTTGTGTGTCCGCCTCTGTTCCCATGGCAACCACCTCTTTCCCTTGCTATTTCTAAAAAGCACGTGTGCTTGTGGGAGTACCATTCTGAAAAAAATGATGCTTACTCCTCCCTTTCTGGATCTTAGCCAAGTCAATAATTCAAGCAGCACGAGGTATCTTAGTACTTGAGCAATGCCCGACTGATGTCAACTGTTAGGAGAGCCAACTGAAGTAGGGAGAACAGTTTGGGGTAAGAAAGGAAGAAAAGAAGGTACTGTCAAGCTGTGGGTTAGGAGAAGGCATTAGCCTGAGAAATAAGACCAAGATACATGTGAGGAAGACTCCACCACCATTAGTTCACTTTCAGAGTCATGGCTGGTAGATGCTCCCTTCCTTCCAGAGCAGGGAGGAAAAGGGACGCAGTCTTTGCTGCAAATTTCCTGCATAAGTTAGTGGAGAAAACAGGTTCTCTTCTGACATATGCCTCTGTTTTGAAGAGCCTTGTTCTTTTCTTAAATAAATGAACCAATCACAAAGGTTACAGGCTATGTGAGAGAAAAACACATCTTATTTCTGTCTTGCTCTAGTTTTATATAATTATTATATCAACTGTGGCTGATCAAAGCATTCATTAAAGAGAAACTATCTCTCCCATGCTTTTGTTACAGTTTGGAGAGATTTGACAGGCTTTATACATCTCTGGCTATATTTCCCTTTCTCTTTTTCACGGTTGATTTCGCTCTTCTTCCTCTCCTCCTCCCCTTCCTGCGTACTAGTGATTTCTAACATGACTTTTTTTCTTTTCTTTTTCTTTTTTCCCCTTCCACCTAGCCTAATCAAATCTCTCATAAGACATCAAGGGAACCCTGAACCAAAGCAACTCTTGGAGTTATATCGGTACATTCAGGTGAGCACAGGCTGACTTCCTGCCTCAGAGCAGCCCTCAGCCCACCTGGAAGCCAGGCAAGGCTTCTACTGCACACACTCCCAGACAGTCCCTGCCTTTCCCATTGTCTTTCTCAAGGGCTCTGATTTCTAGGCTGAGCTTACTGCCCTGTTCCAATAGCCTCCTCCCAAAGATAGGCACATATCTGACACTCCTTTGTCAATCCTTGGGGGAGTTCTGTGGCCAGCAAAAGATTTCCATATCATCAACTCCTTGTCTCTTTGCAAACGCTCATCTTTCAATGTGGTTTTTGCTACTCCTTCTTTCATTATCCTCATGCTATTCTTCCTGAGGAGGTTGTTTCAGTTTATTTACCATAAGCATGTTCCCAAGGGGATTTCAGCCATGCAAATGAATTACGGAGGATATGACTTCAATGTGCAAAGCATTTGGGGTGAATGTGTACAAGTACATTTTTCATATTATGTGCCCCTCTATCCCATTGTGTGGCATGATTTTATCTCACTCTGTTCTGGACTAATGACAGACTCCTTCAGACATTTATAAAAGTCTGCTTTGATCGTTCCTCTATATTTCATCTTGCATTTATTTGTTCACTCCCTCAACACACAAAGCATAGACTATGTGCTGAGTACCATGCTGGTACCAGGGGACATGGAGATAAATAAGAAATAGTCTCTGTCATCTTGGAATTCATAAACAAATAGAACAGGAAAAAATGTAATCAATTACTTACTAAACACTGTGGAATATGCAATGATATATCAGGAGGAAGTAAGGGTAAGAAATGACTTTTTACTGGCGTTTATCTTACCTGGATTTTTCTCAGGAGGAAAGAATAAGGAAAGGGCATTCCAGGTAGATAAAGCGAAGTAGGAAATTCCCAGAAACATAGAACAGCGTGGTATGTGTGTAGCATTCATAGTCATCTGCCAAAGAAGAATAGGTGGGAAAGGTCTTGAGCAGAAAAGAGTCTGAAGAGGAATCCAGGAAGCATATTGTGAGGAGCGTTTGTTTTGCAGGTTGCAAAACATGAGTTTGAGGTTGCTAAAGAAAAAAAGCGGCATTGTATGATTCCATATCAAAGTAGGGCATTGTGGTCCCTTTAAGTTTAGCAAATACTGAATGCCTGCTGTGTACAAGAGTATACTGGGTGTAGAAGAAATACAAAGATGATGCAAAGATGGTATCTTAGTACCACTTTTTAAGGATAAGAAATTTTCTTGTATACATAGGGCATAAACATATATAAAGGCTGATTTATAGTAAGCTGTTGTGTGAGGCCATTCTGGCATTACTATAAAGATATACCTGAAATTGGATAATGTATAAAGAAAAGAGGTTTAATTGGCTCCTGTTTCTTCAGGCTGTACAGGAAGCAAAGCATGGCACCGGCATCTGCTTGGCTTCTGGGGAGGCCTCAGGAAGCTTTCAACCATGGCAAAAGGTAAAGGGGAAGCAAGTATCTCCACATGGTGAGAGAGGAAGCAGGAGAGAGAGGGTGGGGAGGAGGTACCATACCCCAACAACAGATCTCATGAGGACAGCCCGAAGCTCTGAGGGATCTCCCCCCATTACCCAAACATCTCCCACCAGGCCCTATGCCAAACACTGGGGATTGTAATTCAGCATAAGATTTGGCAGGGACATGTATTCAAACTATATCATGCATATACACACAGACAGGCACACACACACACACACACACACATACACACAATCGGTCAACAGTGTAAAATGAGATGACAAAACCATACTTGAGCAATTGCCAAATGATATTAAGGACAAACAATGATGGATGTAGAGGAGAGTGTAATTAGACAGGTATGGATGGCCAAGGAAAGCTGCAGAGAGGAGGCGAATGAGTGGATAAGGAGAATGGGTAAGATATGGAGAGGTGAAGCCTCATGTGTAGAAAAACTTGAATAAAAGCAATGGCAGGGACAGCCAAAGAGGAATCAGAATCAGTTAATGAATTAGGCTCACAGGGGTGGAGAGTTGATGCTGTCCATGGCAACCGGGGCTGGAAATTATGCTGCCTGAAGAGGGTGGAGGCTCTTCAAATGTCCGATTAAAGGTATTGGACTTTTCTCCATTGGCAACAGAGAGTCACTGAAGGTTTTGAATAGGGAAGTGACTTGGTATTTGGCTGGACTTGTCTTGTGAGCTATTTGTGGCAGCTTTACTGTACAAAAGCGATGAAATTTAATAATTATTTAGTTATTTGGAACATTAATATGCTGGTGTATCATATATTTTAATAAGAATTCAGAAATGGGAGTTTTCTAATAAGCAACTGAGTTGGGAAGGTAACAGAAGGGGAAATTTTGGTTGAATAGGATAAGAATGAGAATTTTGAGTGTCAGTGATCAACAATTAACCCTACGTCTCAATTCATCATAAGCAAATACAATTACTACTCTGCAAATACTATGTAGAAGAATGAAATGATGTGTTGGTGTCTGTCCCCCAAATTGGAGGCTTCTGGCCATTGCTTGAATAACTTTCTGCCTCTAGTATCCCCAAACTTATGTTTTGTTTTTTCTTTTT
Organism: Homo sapiens; assembly: GCF_000001405.40. NCBI lineage: Eukaryota > Metazoa > Chordata > Mammalia > Primates > Hominidae > Homo > Homo sapiens. The sequence goes on from NC_000011.10 coordinate 132,002,640, forward strand.
CTCTTAGTATCCATGCTTCTCCTGAATCATTCCTCTCGTTAGGAATGTCAGTCTACTAAATTTTGTGGCAATACAATGCCTGGGTTTGAATTCAAGTTCTGCCACTTCCTTACTCTGTCTCTTTATCAATAAACTCATTGGGAAAAGTGGAGGAAATCATAGTAACGATTTATTAAAGTTGAAGATTGAGTTTTATACATTTAAAGTCCTAGAACAAAGCCTGCACATAGCAAGCTCTTAGCCAATGTTAGCAGCCATTATTACTGTTTACTGTTAATAACAGAAATTACTATTAAAAAAGAGGAAACAGGAAAAACCTTTGTCTTCAAGAAGCTTTTACTGTCCGCCTGTCAAAGTTCCTGAGCAGCAGCTGATTTCTGGCTTAGAAGTTAGGGTTAGGAAAGTAACTAGTGAGCGCACTAAACAGTAAGATGCGCTGCCACAGTTGTGTGTGTAATTGACTTTTATAGTCAATTCTGCTTATATTTCCTCCTTCACCCTAATGCTAGCCCGGTTCTGAGCCAGAGTTATTTCGCTCTGCCAGTGGTGCACTTCAGAAACACCTGGAGGCTTGTTGAATCCGGATTCCTCCACCCACACCCTTAGAGTTTTTTTTTCTTTTTTTTTTTTGACAGGTTATTTGTTGCCCAGGTTGGAGTGCAGTGACGCAATCACAGCTTACTGCAGCCTCAACCTCCTGGGCTCAAATGATCCTCACACCTCAGCCTCCCTAGTAGCTGGGACCACAGGTGTGCACCACTATGTCTGGCTAATTTTTAAATTTTATGTAGAGACAGACTGTCCTTATATTTCCCAGGCTGCTCTTGAGTTCCTGGGCTCAAGCGATCCTTCTGGCTCAGACCTCCAATGTGCTGGGATTATAAGCATTAGCCACTGCGCCTGGCCCATGATTTGCATTTTTAACAAGTTCCTGGGTAAAACTGATCCTTGTGGTCTGGGGACCACACTTTGAGAATGTGCTTTCAGCTCAGCTCTGTTGTTCACTCAAGAAGAAAAGGCTTTTCCTGGTAGGTCTGTCTGTAGCTCAATCACATGTCCCACATGGAGCCCACTCTTTCCCATGGTACAAAACCCTCCTTAATTGCCTCCTTGGAATCTACACAGAGAAATCCCTGAGCTTTACTTTTTCTGGACCTGCCACTTACAGAACCAGCTTCATTGAGATGTTGTTTAAAATTGATTTCTCACCTAGCCACACAGATTATCTAAAAGGTCAAGATTCTCATGTAGACTTCTTTTTGAACATTCTTTAGCCACTCGATGGCCCAGAGCCCCATCCTCATTGTTCAGGTTTCATCGTCTCCTTAATCAACCATTAGCATAATGTATTAGCATATCTATAGCACAATTATATTTTGATTGCTGTGGTCCCAGTCAGACTAAAGGCTGCCTTCAACCTAGATATAAATAATTTAGAATGTTTATACCAAAGGGAATTATAGGGGAGGGAAGGGAAGAAAGGAAAGAGAATATTTGTGTGTGTCAGGGGAATGAGGGGGGCATTGGGAGAGTAAAGATGGTGGCAAAAGGTAACTTAGGTTGCCACTTTTTACCACAACACTTTTCTAGGCTATTCTCAATAAGAAAATGTGAATTATATATATTCAAAATACAGATACCATTTTGAATTGCTTTAAATCCACTCCTGCCTTTAATCTCATTACATCTGTCAAAATATGTCTCATTTACTAAGTAAAAAGTAGAAGCTGGTTTCCAGCACCTCTTTCTTTATTATAGCCTGATCCCTGTGCAAATGCATTTTCCTGTGGTTCATCTTTGAAAGATCTCTCTTCTCTTGTCTGGTTAACTTCCTCAATGACCATTGATATCTTTGTGCTACTTTATTGTCCACTTGGAAACCTGATTTCCCTTTATTAGTGTCCTCTGTAATAGGTTAGCAGAAATCTTATATGGTTCCAAAGAAGTTTCTCTCTCTTTCTCTCTTTCTCTCTCTCTCTCTCTCTCTCTCTCTCTCACACACACACACACACACAACACACACACACACACATAGACACATACACAGGTGCATTGTATCAGCTGGAACATCAGCATATGTGTGGTAGGATCACAATCATTCAGAGCTTCTGATGTTCATGGTACCTAGGGGATTGATTCAGCTTTCAAGGAGCTGTGGACAGTAAGATTAAAAGAACTGCTCTCCTTGGGGACTTTTAAGTAATGACATTATTGGTAGTCCTTTGAGCAGCATGGAGAGATGTTTGAAATATGAAATTGCTGACAGTTTTAATAGTTGCATTTAGAATGGATGATATTTGCAAAAATTGCTACTTCTTTACCTTACCACGCAGAATGACAACGGGATGCTAGGACTAAGCCAACTTCAGTATTCTTCTGCAAGTGATGTGAAAACGTTATAGTTGATGGCTCAGGATCAGTGCAGGGATGGTAAAGGGGCAGAGGATGGCACTATGAAATCATAGTATTGACACAGCTGGTCATTAGATTAAGCCTAGTAAGGGAGTCTAAAAAAATATCACTCTCCAGGTCCCATGCATGGAGATTGTCATTCTGCACCTCTGGGGATGGAATCCCATCAGCTGAGTGTGATAGCTGGCCAGAATTGAGTAGTTTGGGTTTAGATGGTGTCAGAAAGACTGGAGAATAAATCTTCTCTTGGGTGATGAATATCTACAAAACCTTAGGTAAGACACATTTTCTGAGTCTCAGTTTCCTTATTCTGTGGACATTGTCTTTACTGGATGGTAGACGACTTGAAGGCAGGAGCTCTGTTTTCTCTTTGTCATCAGCTACTTGCATTGTGGCAGACAGATAGATAGTAGGACCCTAGTTAAATGGTTTGGAATAAATGATTGAATGAGTGAAAGATGAATGAATGAATGTTGGAAGGAAGGGATATATGAATGATATCTCATCAATTTGTTGTGTGTATTAAATGAGGTAATTTTATGTATTACTCCTGACAGATAGTGGGGATTCTAAGAAGTTTCCATCTCCCTTTTCCATTTTCATATCCTACCATCCAACATGCTAATTGTGTGGTGTTGTTTTCATATTTCTATCTCTTCCTTTTCTCTTTTTGAGAGAGGAAAGAGGTGCTCAGTCCTTATTCCTCCCATTTTCTGTTTCACCTGCATCTGCCCACAGCAGTTTCCTTAGCATACATTATTAGCTCACCTAGACTTAACAAACTACCTTTCTAACTCAAATCCCTCCTGTTTCCCTAAAGAAAATGCTTCTTTTTTGTTAGAAAATTTTAAAACAACAATAACCTAGGTTTTGAAGAAATAAAAGGTAAAGATTTTAACCACATTTGCGTGTTTCAATTATTAGTGTTTTCCCTGTGGCCCATTCATGTGGATAAGAGACATCTCTGCATTATTATCTTGTCAGAAATACAGCCCCTTTCCCTTCCCCTCATCTGATTAGGCATGCTTCTCTTTGGAAGCCTCATCCCATTTGGCTAATGCATCTTGACAACTCCTTTAATAAGAGTGCTTGGTGTTCGCATTCAAGGATGTGTAGGAGTTGACAGAAATCTACCTTGTAATCTTTCCATGGCTTGAAAATAAAACCCAGGGAGACCTAGCACCCGCATCTCTCAACTCAAAAATGGCGAGAAAGCTTGAGGGGAGAGGGATGGCCATTGATTTAACAGAAACAGTTTTATTTGTTTGTGGTTTTTTTCCCTTCCTTCTGTGTGAAAAAGCTAGCAGAGGGAGGGAAAATTTGGGAAGCAGAAAATGTTTCAATCTACATAAAAAAGAGGAAAATAATAACCCAACAATGAGAAGAGCCAAGAGAATATGAGAAGGCAGCCTCTTTTTGAAATAGATTAAAGGCTTTATTGCAAGAACATCGTAGGACAAAGGTGTCTCTGCAGGACTGGGAACTTCAGCAAAGCACATAAAACCTCATTCTCAGACTTAAAGACAGCCCTGGAAGAGGCAGTCCACAAAGCAGTGTGTGCCTAGGCACCTATTCTAAATTCAGGAGAGCTCTGCAGTCATTTCCTTTGGGGGTGAGGCTTATGAGGCTGGTGTAATCAGGGATATAACTAGGAATCTCCTCCAAAGAATGAGTGTAGACCAGGTCAAACAGAACTATTGTGATGCATTTGTCCTCCACAGTATCAGGATCTCAAGCCCCTTGTCCTCTGTGGTTATAGAATAGCCTGGGGCACCACTGTGGGCCTATGGTGATCATGGGTGCCACTTCCTGAGCACTTCCTGTGGTAGGATTGTACTTCCTCCTTTGTGGAGAAGAACATTGACTAGTGCTGGCCAATGAGAGGCAGCTACAAATGACGTGTGTCACCCTGTGGGTGGGCTAAACATTTTACTTCCAGTGCGAGACCCTCCTGGGCACTCTCTTTCCTCTGTCATGACATCCAGTGACTTTCAAGACTGTGACTGCCCCACTGGGGGTTCCTGAGTGAATGGATGAAAAAAGCTCCTCCCTGTCACACCTGTGATGGATGTCTACTGTGAATGAGAAATAGTCACTGAGACTTTCATGTTGTTGACGATTTCGGCATAACCTACTTATCCTGACTGTTACAGAGTCTGATCTTAATGCAAAACCTAGCCAGGAATTGAAGGCTTTTATTCAGTGGCCCTTTATTTTTGAAGGTGAACATTCTACAGGGTAGTTTGGATAAGTGGCAATAAGGGAATGGTGCTCATTCATCCCAGGATCACTTAAGAGCACAAATAAGACCGCCAGCTGATGCCAGGCTGCACAGCAGGACACTAGGTCACTAGGAGAGTCAGGAGGGCATAACTCCTGCTGAGCGTTACGAAGCACAGCAACTTGTGATTTGGGGCCTGTCAACAGCTATGGACTCAGTAAACAGCCCTGAAATGTGAGGTTTCCAGGCAGATATTTCTGATGCTCTCTTTTGTTGCAGCCTGCTTTGCTTTATTTATGCAAAGAGTGTATCCCTGGGGGAAAAATCAAGTCATATCATAAGTGCATCAGAGAAGCTTACTATTTAAAGAAATCTATGGTGAATCCTTTTGTGAAGGAATAATCATCCACCTGATTTGCATTTGCTTTGTGAATTGTGTTTGTGTATCAGGTTTTATGAGTTTGGGGCACATCATAATTCAGAGCATCAAACATAGAGTCCAACAGAGCTGGATTTTCATCTCAGGTCAGCTAAAACACAAAGCTTGCCTTTGTCCTGGGGGACAAAGTGAGGGGCCAACTGAGGATGAATTTTTTGCCTAGAAATCTCTGCAACTTGAGAATGGAGGTAAAAGGTAGATGGTGAGAATAACCCTGGATGGAGTTAGAGTTGATATAAGGGAGGTCAAAGAAGGGAAGGGCTATGAGGAGTAGAAAGGAAAATGTTAGGTGGGCGTTGCTTCGATTTTAGAATAAGCCTTATACTGTAACAAGGAATTTGGGGAAATACACCTAGTCCTCTGTTCAGGCCCCAAATGAAGCAAGGCAAGAGGGGGCACAGTGTGACTAAGCAGGGAATTGGGGTTAGCTCTTGACTCCACTGTATGGGGATCATGACGTGGTGGACTGTTGTCTAAGACAGATGAGAGAACAAACGCTCACTTTACCCCTCGCCACTTATGGGATGCATCTCTTTGGACAAGGTTTGCATTTGTAAAATTCTATTGTCCTGACTTTAATCTTTCTGAGTCTTGGTTTTCCATCCATATGCTTAAGGTCTTTGTCCCTCCTGGCAGGACTTGTGTGAGGATCAAGAGACCATGAATGTCAAGTGCCTAATATAGCTGACCTCAGATAGGACTCAGGAAATTAAAACTATCAATATTGCTGACTATGTATTTACTTTTTTCTAAGATTCTGAATGTTAAAGCGTTAGTATAGTGTGGAGTCTATGACAGGTTTTTATAGATATTTGTGGAAAGAATGAACCATCTAGTAGCCTAAGAAGTGTGGGGAATGAACACCAGATGTGAGTGCTGAGGGGTTTGGAGCCTCTGTCTGTGAATCTTATACCTTTCCTCCCTGGCATTACAAATGCTCCCCATTTCCCCCTGAAAACATGTCTGTTTCACAGAATCCACATTGCTCACAAAGATTAAAATCATTTTCAATGACTCCATGGTTTTTGTTTTTTTTGTCCTTTCTGTCTTGCCACATCAGGTTATCTGACCGTTTGATTTCAGCAACTCAAAGAGCTCTTCATTTTTTTCCTTTCTTTCCTTTTTTCTTTTCCTTTTCTTTCTTTCCTTGTTTTCTTTTTTTTTTTTCCTGTTGTCAGAGCCCTAGGAGTTTCTTTTCCCTTTTTAATTAAGAGCGAATGAAGGTAACAAAATGTTTTATAACTGGAGAGAATTCACCAGCAGGACACCAAGGCAGAAATCCACATCCTGAAAGAAAGGCAGGCAGACACCAGATCAGCGCTGTGGGGAATGTGTCCTGCACACACTCTGCTTCCCGCTGACTGATGGTCCAGCCCTCCCTCTGCCATCAGCCTGGAAGCTTTACCTCTGGCAGAAGTCTCCCTGTCTTTTGTTAGGAAAAGCTACAATTGGAAACCTGCTTTTCTAAAGCATTTTTAAACACACAGTGTGCTCCCCTGAAATACGCCTGTGCCTGCAAGAGTCCTGTAAGTTAATTCCTGCCACCCAGGGAAGTGTCCTAATTTTCCCTGACTTTTACTGACCTACTCCTCATTGTGTACCTGGCTGTCTTTAAGCTGGGGGACAGTTTGAGATTGGAACAGCAAATTTCATGGGAGAGCCTGTCAGATGGGTATGTATGTGCCGATGTAAAGCCAGATTGAGCCTAAGAGAAAGAGTGTGAGCAGAAGAAAGGGAATAAAATCCTACTGCAGACAGTGATGTGGAAAGGGATGTCGTTTCTGGCACTGACACTGTGCCTGGTCCAGTGCCCTGGCTGTGCCATCCCGGCAGCTCTGAGGCTTTCTGACAGTCCTGAGAATGGAGCACAAGCCCCCAGGGACGTCTTTGGAGCCCTAATTCCGGTGCACTGCTTTCGTGCACTCTGTTTTGCACGCCACACTTGGAAGATGGCATTATAAGACTGCTTCCAAGGAAAGCGTGCTTTTATTAAACTCCTAGACCAAATTGCCTCCCTGTTGACCTCTTTCTTTGTCATGAGACGTGATGGGTTATTACATTTGTGATTAAAAACATCCGTCATCGGTGTGTTTTGCCTTTTCAATTTTGTAGGAAGGTGATCATGATGCTGGTTCTCAGAGGAACAGAAGGATGGAGAAGAGAGACCATATTTTGTGGTTTAAGGAACTTGCCCCTCAGAGAAGGTTACCCTTTTTTTCTGAGTTCACTGCTGAATGTGTGGCTCAAATGGCCGTGGAAGGTCACTGAGCTGACCGAATACACGTTATATCAATTCTGCACAGCATGAGTGAAGAAAATGGACAGACAATTTCTTAAGTCACTAGATTGTAGAGATCAATACAGATAATTTTGGAATTTTTAGAAAATCCAAACACTTATCCTCACCACGGCTGTTCATGTAATACCTCAGCAGCTTCTTGCTTCATATTAGCTTTGATCTTACTCTCTATTTGGAACTAAGTGTTTCAGAAATGATTTCTCCCTCCTATAAAACATACTGAACACAGAACTGAGTTCTTCAAACTCAACTTATGTATGACAAAGCTATAGCCCCAGCTTTTAGCTCACCTTGGTAACTCCGATGGTGGAGAAGACAAGGATAAGGATTTCTTTTCTCTGAGGCTAGACTGGTGAAGTTATAGGATGACAGATACAGTCTAAAGGTCAGTCCCTGGCTGCTCTTCCCAGAGACCCTCTGCCTCATACCTTCCCAGCCTCTAGTCTCCAGTCTGCTCGGACCTCTGCTATACTTCTTTGTGCTAGAAGAGTGATTTGGTCATGTCTCTCCTCTCCTTGAGCAAACCTTAATGAATTTTCCCTCCAATGGCCAGTCCTGTCTTATCTTGGCATTTGAAGCTCTTTATTAAGTGACCATTTCTACTGTCTTTTTTTTTTTCCTCCATTCTCTTCTGCTAGGCTCTAATATGAACTCTTTACGGCAACTGATGCTATCACAGAAGGACCTCTTGTACTTGCTCCAGTCTGGGGACTTGGTCAGGTGTCTTTCTGTCTCCCTGTAAAGCGTTTCCACTCTGCATTTTTGCCTATCACAATTGTACAGTTTCCTGAAGGCACAGCTGTGTGCTATCTCTCTTAAGAATTCCCTGATGGAAGTATCATTTATTGGTGCCAAGTGACTGAGGTTATATTCGCAGCTCTTGGACAGGGCTCCTAGACTCCCCTTAGTCTCAGTTACTTATCTGTGTATAACCACTAAGCACCCTTCATCTTACTCCCATAAAATGAAAGTGACCTGATATTTACATGTCGATCTCGTATGGGCATTATCACAATGTATGCTCTGTGGCATTGAGTTGTTTTCATACATGTTAATTATAAGCACCAGCAAGCATGGAACCATTTCTTATATGATTAATATCCCTTATAACAATTAGGTCTACAATTTGTAAAATTTGTTCCATTAAATATGTGATTGAAGAACTGAATAAAGTCACCTCTAGTGAAAATTCTACTTGATATTGATACTATGATTTGAAAAATAATAAACTGAGAGGGGAACTCCTTGACAACAGTTTACTGCACTGTTTCTAACATTTAACTTGAAGTATAAATAAATGGATTTTAGCAAATCAACCTCTCTTTGAAGTTAACTGAATGCTAACTGTGTTCTGGAATGAAAGGGTTCATGCATCTCTGTTAAGAAATGGAAAACAGATAATGGCAGCGGAGTCAATAAAGTCAGTGCCTCATCTTGAACTGGGTGAGCGGTCCCTAAACATTTGTTACGTAGTTTCTTCAGCAGACTGTTTATGTCTAATGTGTTCTTTTTTTCTTAAAAGAAAAGGATATTTGCATTTTTGATTTACAATTTTATTACTTACTGTGTACCTGACCTTTACAAGCATTATCCAAATTAATTCTTATAACAATTCTATGACTTAGAGTTATAATGCACATTTTAAAGTTGAGAAAACTAAGGGTGTAAGTAAGTTGGCCTAGGTCACACAGCTAAGTGAGCTGTAGAGCAATTATTCCAACCCAAGCCCATCTGATTCCAAAATTTAGGTTCTCTCTAGTACCTCAAGTGGTTTCTACATGTGCTCTACATTTTCCTGCTTCTTGGAATCTGTGCATGCTCATTCCTAAGCTTGTAATACCTTTTCCCTATTCTGTATCTCAGAAGGTGTCCTTCTTTATTCCCAATCCCTGTTCTCTCTCAGTTTGGAAGTAATTGTTCTTTTATTGCAAATTCTCACAGCACTTAGATTTTTATCTCAAACTCTTTAATGTAATTAATTGTTTTCATCCATATAATATAGTCATGTGTACCTTTATGTACCACATCTTCCTTTCCACATAGGAAGCTCCTTGAGGGCAGAAGCGATGCTCTTTGATTCATTTTGTATTCTTCAAGATGGACTAGAACAGCGTAGTCACCTTGTAAACCTATGTGGTGGATAGGGTCGGGGAAGAAAGGAAAAAGAGGGAAAAGGAAGAGAGGAAGAAATCAAAGAACGATAGAAGACAGTATATAATTCAGTGTTAAATTGTGTGGTTCAGACTAATTATAAATTCCTTTAAAAGAAATGCAATTTTATTACTTTCAAGAACATAAAGTTAATTAATGGCTAACAAAATGTTATCAAGTAGCTGTCTTGTCATTCCCACTGTAATTAATCAATGCTTTTGGAATGAAAAAGTGGACTTAAGCCTAGCCCATCTCCAGATTATTGAGAATTTTAAATTAGCACAGTCTGAAATAATGAGGTTATCGCCACCCCTTGGTTAAACAGACGTCTGAAGATGAAAGCATATGATGATAAAGAAGACGTATAAGAAATTTCTAAACATGTTTTTTCTCTTTAGTGGTACTAATAAGGGATTCCTTAATTGTTAAAGCGCATACAGGACCTTATTTGCCAAAAATTGTAGCACATTTGCTTAGAATTTTGAGTTATTTCTTAATTCCTCTTCTCTTGATTAATTTAATGGCTCATTAATTCATTTTTTAAAAAAGAGAATCTAAAAAGGTTATTTAGAACAAGCTAAATCCATACACAGTAGTGAAGGTGCTGTAGCCCATCACAGAGTGGGTGGGAAGAAGGGGCTAGAAGAAGGATCTAGAAGTGGTAGGAGAGGATGCAGGAGCCATTCAGAATACGCATCAGGAAGAGGAAGCACTGCTGAGTAGCCTCAGGTTTCTTTCTTAGGTGACTTTTCGGAGAAGATTAGGGAATGTAGAGGGATAGAGAGATTTGTGAGGAAGAATATGGAGTTAATTTTGGACTTACTGTGTTTGGGATGCTTATGAGATATCTAATTGGAATTGTTCATGGAGCAGTTCACATACAGATCTGATGCTCAGAAGTGAGGGTTACTTGAAGATAACCAATTTTCGAATCACTGACATGTAGTAAAGGAAGATTTTCACAAGGGGCAGCTGTGTGAAGTCAACAGAGACTAGAACAAGGAAGGGTACCATGAAGATTGAAGGTAAGGTTCAGAAGAAGTTGAAGAAATTGTTTTGAGAAGTGATATCCAAAGAAGTCAGAGAACCACTTGAAGAGTGGTGTCAAGAAACCTAAAAGAAAAGATTTTTAAGAGGGGACCTATTAAATAAGAACTGAAAAGAAGCCGTTAAATGTTGTGCTTAGAGAGTCACTGATGCTGGCAGCTTATCATCCTAGTGGAAAGGAAGCCTGACTGGAGTTGGTTGTGAAGGAAGAAGTGAGAAAGTAGCGATGTCTGTCATAGACCATTCTTTAAAGAAACATAGCAGTTAAAAGAGGTAGCTAGTGGAGGACTTGGGAGAAACAAGGAGATTTGGGAGTAAACAGAATCTAGAAAAGTGGTGGTAAGATCAGTCTTGAACAGGGACAGCACCAACTCCCCTGCTGAGAGAAGAGTGGCATAGTCCTGAATGTTTATGACTTCAAGATAGATCTGATGAAGAGTTCAGCTCACTATTTCATTTGTATTAGCTTTGTTTAGGCATATTTTATGGACCATAAAATTTATCCACTTTAAGTGTACAATTCAATAATTTTTGTGTTTTTTGTTGATACATAGTATTTGTTCATGTTTATGTGATACATATGATATTTTGTTACGTGTATAGAATGTGTAGTGATCAAGTTGGGGGGTTTAGGATAGCCGTCACTTGGGTATTTATCATTTCTGTGTGTTGAGAACATTTCGAGTGGTATCTTCTAGCCATTTCGAAATGTACAGTACATTGTTGTTAACTATATTTACCATACACTGCTATTGAATATTAGAACTTATTCCTATATCGTATGTCCTTATTTTTTATTCCTATATCCATTAGCCAACCTTTCTTCATACCCTTCCTCTCCACCCCTTCACAGCCCTCACATCCTTCGGTAATAATCATTCTACTCTCTACCTCCGTGAGATTTTTGGCTCCCACATATGTGTGAGAACCTGTGATATTTGTCTTTCTGTGCCTGACTTATTTCACTGAACATAATGACCTCCATGTCAAATGAAAGACATGATTTCATTTGTTTTTATAGCTGAATAATATTCTATCTATTCTATTTTGTGTAGATGCCACATTTTCTTTATCTATTCATCAGTCGATGGACAGTTAGGTTGGTTCCACATCTTTGCTATTGTGAACAGTGCTGCGGTAAATGCGGGTGCACAGCTATCCCTTTGATAAACTGGCTTTTTCTCCTTTGAATAAATACCCAGTAGTGGGATTGCTGGATCATATGATAGTTCTATTTTTATTTTTCTGATAAATCTTTGTATTGTTTCCATAGTGGTCGTACTAATTTACATTCCCACCAGCAGTATGTAAGAGTTGCCTTTTCTCTGCTTTCTGCATTATTTTTTGTCTTTTTGATAATAACCATTCTAACCTGGGTAAGATGATATCTTGTTGTGGTTTTGATTTGCATTTCTCAGATGATGAGTGATGTTGACCATTTTTTTCATATACCTGTTAATCATTTGGATGTGTTCTTTTGAGAAATGTCTATTCAGATCATTTACCCGCTTTTTAAGAGAATTACTTGTTTTTTTTTTTTTTTTTTTTGCTGTTGAGTTAAGTTCCTTGTGTATTCTAGATTATTTCCTTATTGGATAAATAGTTTGCAAATACTTTCTCCCATTCCACAGGTGTCTCTTCACTCTGTTGATTGTTTCTTTGGTAGTGCAGAAGCTTTTTGGCTTAATATGGTCCCATTTGTCTATTTTTGTTTTTGTTGTCTGTGCTTTTGAGATCTTAGCCATATAATTCTTGTCTAGACCACTGTCCTGGAGTGTTTCCCCCATGTTTTCTTCTAGTAGTTTTATAGTTTTAGTTCTTACATTTAAGTCTTTAATCCATTTTGAGATGGTTTTTTGATATGATGAGTGATGGGGTCTAGTTTCATTCTTCTGCATAGGAATATCCAGTTTTTTTCAGCACCAATTATTGAACAGTGTGGTCTTTCTCCAATGTATGTTTGTGGCAACTTTGTCAAAAATCAGTTGGCCATAAATGGGTGGATTTATTTCTGAGTTCTGTATAATGCTCCATTGAATTATGTGTCTGATTTTATGCCAATACCATGCTGTTTTTGTTACTATAGCCTTTTAATATATTTTGAGTCCAGTAGCGTAATGCCTCTGCTTTGTTCTTTTTGCTCAGGATTGCCTTGGCTATTCAATATCTTTTTTAAAGTTCCATACAAATTTTAGGATTTTTTTTTCTATTTCTGTGAAAAATGCCATTGGTGTTTTCGCAGGGATTGCATTGAATCTGTAGATTGCTTTGGGTAGTATGGTGGTTTTAACAGTTTTAATTCATCCAATTCATAGGCATGGGATACTTTTCCATTTGTTTCTGACATCTTTAACTTTTTTTTGTCAGTGTTTTGTAGTTTTCCTTGTAGACGTCTTTTACCTCTGAAGTAAAATTTATTCTTAGATATTTTATTTTATTTTATTTTATTTTATTTTATTTTATGCAGCTAATGTAAGTGTGATTGTTTTCTTGATTTCATTTTCAGCTAGTGCATTCCTGGTGTATAGAAATGCTACTGATTTTTGTATGTTGATTTTGTATTATGCAACTTTACTGAATTTTTAAATCAGATCTAATAGGTTTTTTGGTGGCATCTTTAGGTTTTTCTAAATACAAGATCATATCGTTTGCAAAGAGGGACAGTTTGACTTCCTCCATTCCAATTTAGATGCCTTTTATTTCTTTCTCTTGCTTGATTGCTCTGGCTAGGACTTGCAGCACTATGTTGAATAGGAGTAGTGAAAGTGGGTATCCTAGTCTTGTTCCAGTTCTGAGAGGAAAGGCTGTCAGCTTTTCTCATTCAGTATGATGTTAGATGTAGGTTTGTCATATATGGTCTTCGCTGTGTTTCTTCTCTGCCTGTTGTTGAGAGTTTTTTTTTTTCACGCAAGGGTGTTGAATTTTATCAAATGCTTTTTCTGCATTATTGAAATGATCATATGGTTTTTGTTCTTTGTTTTGTTGATGTGATATATTGCATTTGTTGATATCGTATGTTGAACAATCAATGATTTTTTAAAGTGAATGTATAGAGTTGTGTAAGCATCACCACAACCCAGCTTAGGAACATTTCCATCACCCCAGAAAGTTCCCTTGTGGCTACCCACAGTTAACCTCCATTTCTAACCCCAGCCTTAGGCAACCACTGATATGATTTCTGTATCTATAATCCTTTTCTGGACACTTATATAAATAGAATCATGCAATATGTTGTTTTTTGCATCTGACTTCTTTTCATGTTTTTCATTTTCCTTCTTATTGTGTAATAATATTCTATTATAAAAGTATAACACATTTTGTTTATTAATTCACTAGTTGCTAGACATTTAAATAGCTTCCAGATCTGAGTTATTATGAATAATGCTGCTATGAACATTCACCTACATGTCTTTATGTGAACGTATGTTTTCATTTACATTGTGGAGATCCCTAGGAGTGGAATTGCTAGGTCATATATTAAGTTTATTTTAACTTTGATAGAAACTGCCAACCTTTTTTCCAAAGTGGTTGTAACATTTTACATTTCCACCAACAATTTATGAGTTTTCTGTTTTCTCTAAATCCTTACCAACACTTGTTACTGTCTTTATTTTTTATTATAACCATTCTAGTGGATATACAATGTTATCTTCTAGTGGTTTTAATTTGCATTCTGTTAATGATGAATGACTTTGAGAATCTTTTCACATGCTTATTACTACTCATGTATCTTCTTGTGTGAGGTGTCTATTCAAATATTTTGATTATTTCTTAATTGAGTTGTTTATCTTCTTATGTTGTAAGAATTTTTATATATTCTGGACACAAATCCTTTATTAGCTGTATGATTTGCAAATATATTTTCCCAGTCTCTGAGGGCTTTTCTTTTCATTTTTTAAATGGTGGGTTTTTTTTGAATCACAAAATTTTAATTTTGATGAAAGTCAGTTTATCACTTTTTTCTTTTACAGATATTTTTTACTTTGATATCTAATAATTTTACAATCCAAAGTTATGAAGATTTTTCTTCTACATTTTCTCCTAGAAATATCACAATGTTAGTTCATACATGTCGATCTGCTGTGTATTTTGGGTTTTGTGTTTGACATGAGGAAAGGGTCTACGCTCATTTTATTCACATGGATGTTCAGTGTTTCTAGATTCATGTGTTAAAAACAGTCTTTTTCCTCACTGAGTTGTCTTAACACTTTTGACAAAATTCAGTTGACCGTAAATGGGATTCATGACTCTTGATTTGCTCCTGTGAATGGGATTAATTTTGGAATCTCAATTTTATGTTATTGATCTAAATTTCTAACTTTGCATCAATATCACACATTCTTGATTACTGTAATTTTATAGTAAGTTTGAAATTGGATAGTGTAAGTCCTACAACTTTGGTTTTCTTTTGTTTTAGTTTTTTCTATATCTTTTGCATATCTATATATAGTTTAGAAACAGACTGTCAATTTGTATCAGCCTGCTGAGATTTTAATAGGGATTGCATTTAGTTTATAGATCAATTTGGAGAGAATTGCCATCATGATATATTGAGTCTTTAAATCCATGAACATGGAATGCCTTTTCTTTTATTTAGATCTGTTTTAATTTCACTACACAGTATTATGTAGTTTTCAGTGTAGGCATTTATTGCTGTTTAATTTTTCTCGATGCCATTGTGAATGGAATTATCTTCATTTCATGTTCGGCTTGTTTATTGTCAGTGTACAGAAATACAATAGACTTTTGTATGCCAATGCTCTTTCCTGAAACCTTGCTAAATTGTTTACTAGTTCTAATAGTTTTTTGTGCACTCTTTAGAATTTTCCATATCCAGAGTGTATCACCTGAGAATAAGGACAATTTTATTTCTTTATTCAATCCTTTTCCTTCTTTGTCCCTCTCTCCCTCTGTCTCTCTGTCTCTCTTTTCCTCCCTCTCTCGTTTCCTGTCTCCCTCCCTTCCTTCCTGTCCTTTCTCCCTCCCTCATTCACTGCCTCCTTCTCTCTTTCTTCCTTTTGTCCCATATTGCATGGGTAGAACCTCTAATACAGTGTTGAAAAGAAGTGTCAAAATTAGACATTCATGCCTCTTTCTTGATCATGGGGGAAAACATTTAGTCTTTCATCATTGTTGTATGATGTTACTTGTGGATTTTTCTAAGGTACCTTTTGTAGGATTGAACCTAATCCTCTTGGTTGAGAAATTTTTATTGTTCATTTTAAATCATGAATGTGTGCTAAATTTTTAAAAATGTTTTTCTTTGTCTTTTGAGATGATCATGTGGCTTTAAAAAATTTATTATATACTATATTTCATTAATTGATTTTTAGATACTAAGTCAAGCTATCATTTTTGCAATAAGTCCCACTTAGCATGGGTGTATGATCTGCTTTAAATATTGTTGGATTCAGCTTACTAATGTTTTATTAAAGAGTTTTGCATCTATGTTTATGAGATATAGTAATCTGTATTTTTATTCCTTATGTTTTTGGGCTTTAATATTGGATGACCCTAGACTCATGAAATAAGTTGAGAAATTGTTTGACTTTTTCTATATTTTGGAAGAGTTTGTGAAGTATTGACATGTTTTGTTTTTAAATATTTGGTAGAATTCACTTCCGAAGTCACAGAAGCCTGGCTTTTCTTTGCCGAAGATTTTTCATTGCTAATTTAAATGCTTGATTTAGTTTTATTCAGATTTTCTACTTCTTCTGGAGTCATTTTTGGAAATGTGTGTCTTTCTAGGAATTTTCACATTTCATATAAATTATCTAATTTGTCGGCATAAGGTTGTTAATAGTATGGTCTTCTAATCTGTTCATAGTCTGAAAACGTAGAGTCTTTACTATTTTTCTTCTCTCTTTTTCCTGGTTAATCCAACAAAAAATGTGTCAGTTTTATCAAGGAGCTTACTTCTTGTTTTATTGACTTTCCCTAATTTTTTTGTTTTTTTTCATTCTCTTATCATTATTATATCACTTGTTCTGTTTGATTTGAATTTAGTTTTCTATTCCAGTTTTTTAGATGTAAGCTTAGGTTATTGGTTGAGATCTTTTGCCTTTTTTTAACATAGACGTTTACAGGTATAATGTCCCTTAAGCACCGATTTAACTGCATTCCATAAATTTTGAATATGTCAAGTTGGTTGATAGTGTTGCTCAAGACTTGTGGTTCTGTTGTTTCTTGACAGTGGGGTATTGAAATCTCCAACTTTAAATGGTGACTAGTCTATTTTTTCTTTCAATTTTGTCAGGTTTGCTTGCTGTATTTTGAGATTGTGCTTTTAGGTATGCATACCTATATAAGTATTACATCCTCCTGATATATGAACTCTTTTATCATACTGAAATATCCCAGCTTGTCTTTGAAATAGTTCTAGTCTTAAAGTTTATTTTTTTCTGGTATTAAAAAAATTTCCTTTCCAATTTACATGCCTTCTTTCTTATGGTTACTGTTTGCATGGTATATATATTCATCCTGTTACTTTTAACCTCTTTTTAGCTTTGAATCTAACATGTAGAAACCTGAGATTATTAAATATTTTAGATTTTTAGATAGCTTATAAGAAATTGGATCTTACTTTTTTTATCCAATCTGACAATCTTTGCCTTTATTTTATTTTATTTTTGTTTCTATTTATTTGGTTTTTTTTTCAGGGGGTACATGTGCAGGTTTGTTACAAAGGGATCTTGCCTGACGCTGAGGTTTGGAATATGATTGAATCTCTCACCTGCATAGTGTGTATAGTACCTGACAGGTAGTTATTCAATCCTGTACTCCTCCCCTCCTTATATTCCCCCATGTCTATTATTCCCATCTTTATGTCCATATTTACCCAGTGTTTAACTCCTGATTATAAGTGAGAATAGGCAATATTTGATTTTCAGTTTTTGTGTTAGTTCACTTAGGGCAATGGCTTCCAACTGCATCTATGTTGCTGCAAAGGATATGATTGCCTTCCTTTTTTATGGCTGCGTAGTATTCCATGGTTTATATGTACCACATTTTCTTTATCCAATCTACCACTGATGGGCACCTGGGCTGATTCTGTGTCTTTACCATTGTGAATAACACTAATATCTGCCTTTTCATTGTGATATTTATATTATTCATATTTACTGGTACTTATTTTTATGACTGGATTTACATTTGACATTTTGCTATTTGATTTCTGTGTGATTTCTCTTTTTAAGTTCCTCTATTTCTTTTACATTGTCTTATTTTGTATTAAATAAATATAGATAAATATTATAGTGTACCATTTAATTATTGTATTAATATTTTGTCTATTTGAGTTAATGTTTAGTGGTAACTCTAATGAGTATGCTACACATTTTAGCTTATCACAATCTACTTTAGATTGATAGTAACTAAATTCTGGTAAAATGTGGAAAATGTCTGAATTTATCCCTCATATTTGAAAAAAAAGGTTTTTCTGAAAACTAAATTTCCGGTTAATAGTATTTTATTTTCCTTTTGGTACTTGAATATATGTTATCCCATTGCCTTGGCCTTCATTATTTCAGATGTGAGGTCACAGCCATCTTAAACTTCTCAGTGTTCCCCTATAATTTTTTTGGATGGCTATCAATTAATTTTTCTTATATGGTTGTTTTATTTTTTTCTTTGGTTCCAAAAGTTGGATGATTATATGTCAAGGTGTGGCTCTTTTTGTAGTTATCCTACCTTGGATTTGTAGAGTTTTTTAGATATCTAGATTAGTGTTTTTAATCAAATTTGGGAAGTTTTCACTATTATTCATTGAGTGTATTTTTTGCTTCCTCTTTGCTCTCCTTATGGGATTCCCATTATTATATATGCTGGCACTCTGAGGCTTTGTTTATTTTTCTTCTGTCTTTTTTCCCCTCTTTTTCCAACTGGGTAATTTATATGGATTTATTTCTACATTCATGGATTCTTTCTTCTGTCATCTCGAATCTGCTGTTGGGTCCTCCAGTGAGATTTTAATTTTCTCATTGTACTTTTTGTTTCCATAATTTGCATTTGGTTCTCTTTATACTTTTGTTTCCTTTGTTAGACTCTCTACATATGGATTTTTTTGTTGTCATATATTCCTTTAATTTCAAAAACATGGTTTTCTTTAGTTTTTTAAACATATTTATAAGAATGGCTTGAAATTTCAGCTGGTAAATTCAACATCTGGGGACAATCAGAGAGTTTCTATTGCCTACTTTGTTTTGTATGGGTCACAGTTTCCTCTTTCCTTGCATATCTCATACTTTTTTTAAGTGCACGTTTTAGAAAATATATTTTAGCAAATATTCCTAGCCTCACTTTTCCCGCAAAGGTTGTATTTTGCTGTTTTTTTCTGTTTATGTCTTTCCTTGTTTAGCAAACTGGCTAATCTGTGGACTCTGTCTTCTTTGCTATGCATGAACAGTCACTAATGTCTTAGGGATTTTTTGATGTTTTTAAATTTTCTTTAATTTTATATCCTGTTTTAATTTTCAAGTCTCTCTTCCCATAGGTTGCCCCCCAGGACTGAGTTGACATCCAAGGCTTAAACAGAAGTTGTGCTCAACCATCTTGAGCCAGTTAGTCCCCTTCTGATAGATTTGTGTATGGGTAGTGAAGCACCTTCAAAGTGCGGACCATTTCCAATGTCTCCTGATATTTGCTTCCTACTGAGTCCTGTCATGTCCTTTCTGCTCAGGTTTCCAGCTTCAGTGTCAACTAAGAATATAGGCCTGACTTGAGCCCTCTCCAGGCTATGGTGTGTTTGCATGCAGATTTGTACTTGCCTAGCCCTGAGCAGAACCTGGGGTAGTCATTGGCCCTCCCCTCTAGCCTTTGAGAGAATGACTTCTACCAACAGTGCCACTGGCTGTGGTGTCACTCACCATTCAAAGTAAGTGAGCCTCTGAACCAGGGCAGAGATGCCACTGGTCCTCAGGTATTACCCTACCCTGGAGGAACCTCCATGACTGAGCTGGGGCTGGAGTCAGAATACCACAGAGCCCCACAGTTCTTAACCGAAGTTCAGAAGTTTCACAAGAACATATGCTTCTCAGATTGTTAAGATTTCGTTCAATTACCACTCCACTGGAATGGTTGATTTTGTCAATTTTGCTCGACTTTATGCTCTGTTTTCTTGGACAGAATATTTGACAGTCTTCTTTCTTTGCCATAACAGAAGTCACTGGTCTTTATTTAGCACTGTTCTCAGACATTTATATTTGTAGCTTTGGGTGATGTTTCTTCAGAGTCCGCATGATATTCGTTATCACAGCTCTCTAAATTTGTAAGTACACTCTTAGTCCCACGTGGCCCTGCAAAGGACACTACCCACTCTTTGCGAGTTCCCTTGTGCTCAACTAAGAGCCCTCTAACACTTAGGTCCCTAGATCCTACCTCTGACTGTGAAGTAAATTACAAGTTCATGTTTGTTGAATATAATAATGTCAAAAGACAGTCCCTAATCCATGCTTCTCTTGAATTCCCTGGTTAAACTCAGGGGAAACATTCCACAGACAGCTTTATCCCTGAAGTTGTCATGTGGACTAGATACCTGTAACTGCATGGAATCAAGTACAGCAGGAGGAATCTAAGAAAATGTGCACTGTGGTCCTTTAAGATTTGAAAGATGCAATTCAAAGGCTGTTAAGACCTTCAGCTGGTGATAATTGGATTTGTAAGTCAGTGCAACATGTGATAAAAATGCTCCTGCTGGATGGGATCCCGGTTTTCTTCTATCCTTCCTATTAATGTGATAAATGTTACTGTCTCAGCTGATAGGGCCACGTTGGCTAATCAGATTGGAATCAAGTTTGAGTTCCTCAGGCTGGCTCCATGTGAAGCTCATGGGAAGATGTTAAAAAAATACTATAGAGAATACAAGGAGGACCTGGGTTTGCAGAGGGGAAAATTTTACTTTGATTAGGAGGCTTTGCAGCGTGGGGAAGACACATTTACCATAGACCCTAGTCACGTGCTGCCGCCTGGGCATGTTATATCTCATGGGGGACTGTGGGACATTATCTCCATTGTTACTGGGCACATGCCATCGTGGAGCCTGGGGAGAAAACAACAGCAGCTCTCCATGTGGGTTTTGGGGCAGAGAGGAGCCAAAATAATGTTGGAAAATTAAACCTCTCTTAATTAAAGCTGATGGCAAACAAACACAAGTAATAATGCACTACAGCTGGGAAGCACAAGTTCAATATGAAGCTGAACAGCTGTGAAATTGAGCCTTCTGGTCACAGCTGGGCCTGTGAGAAGGCCAGAAACCCTGGCAAAGGTGTTGACCCTGGCTGCAGGGCTGGCGGGGCTAGGGTGGGCAGCCAGAGTGGCTTGCTCTCCTGGTTGTTTTGGAGTTTGCGCCCGCTCCAGTGTCTAGCTCTCTTTGCATTTCCAGACTCCTTCTCACCAAGAGCACCCCTCTGTCCGATAGGATTATTCAGGGTTCTTCTCGAAGTGAACAGCGTTATTGCAAGCACTAGAATTGAGGGGATAGAGGGAAGATATGCTTTGTTGTTGTTGTTGGTTTTGTTGTTGTTGTTGGTTTTGTTGTTGGTGGTGGTTTTGTTGTTGGTGGTGGTTTTGTTGTTGTTGGTGGTTTTGTTGTTGGTGGTGGTGGTTTTGTTGTTGTTGTTGTTGTTGTTGTTGAGATGGAGTCTCACTCTGTCGCCCAGGCTGGAGTGCAGTGGCGCGATCTCGGCTCACTGCAACCTCCACCTCCTGGGTTCAAGCAATTCTCCTGCCTCAGCCTCCCGAGTAGCTGGGACTACAGGTGTGTGCCACCATGCCCAGCTAATTTTTTTGTATTTTTAGTAGAGATGGGGTTTCACCATGTTAGCCAGGAGGTCTCGATCTCCTGACCTCGTGATCCGCCCACCTCGGGCTCCCCAAGTGCTGGGATTACAGGTGTGAGCTACTGCACCCAGCATTTTTTTTTTAATGTAATAAATTTCCCACAGAGAGGGAAGGAGGATAGGGTATGTTTGTTTTGTGTTTTTAAAATTGTTTGCTCTCTGCATTTCCCCAAAGACATCCAGGCTGTGCCTTTACCGTCAGCTTGTTTCTTTGGTCAGTGTCTGCCACTGTGTTCCTGACCTACAGACTTGAAAGGCTTGTGCAGTTGTCCTGGCCTTCAGTATCTGAGGGGCACTGGTTCCAGGATTTCCCTCCAATATTAAAATCTGCAGATGCTCAAACCCCTTACCTAAAATCGGAAATTATTTGTAGAAAATCTATGCATATCCTTCTGTATACTTTTAGTCAACTATAGATTACTTATAATGGCTAATACAATGCAAATGCTATATAAATTTTTACTGTATTGTTTTGGATTTTTTTGTTGGTTTTGTTTTTGAATAGTTTCGATCCCCAGTTGGTTGAATCTATGCATTTGGAACCCGTGGATAAGGAGGGCCAGTCATATAGGGCAAATGTGGGACTGGCTTCTCTCTAAAGAGAGGGATAAAGTACACCTCAGATGCGCAGATACAGTCTGGCTGCAGTTACACTGGGATAGGTATATTCCGGACTTTCCCTGAAGTTGTCAACTTCTGACTCAGTCACATTCTTGACCTCTGAGCATGTAGCTATCACTTTCACTTGCATATTAGCCTTAGTCCTCTTACTCATTTGTCTGTCAGATTTAGTTGTTCTCTGTGGAGGTTAGGAACACACACCGACTACAGGCACTGAGTGTCAGGATTGTCAGGATGGACTAGACTATGCTGTGGAAACAAATACACCCTGAGATCCTAGTGGCTTCATGCGATAAAGTGAATTACTAGTCTCCTTATTGCCTGGAGTAGGTTGCACAGACCCACAGAATGTCTCTCCACTGACTGGAGACTCCTGTGTCTGAATTCCTTCCCTCGTGTGGCACCAGCACCTTGGAGTCATGGGATTCAGCTACAGAGGGGAGAGAGAGAGGCTAGAAGGCTGAGCAGTGGGGTAGCAGGAAAGATTGAGCAAGATGTTTCATGTCCAGGCCTAGGACTGGCCTTTCTCTTCATCTTCCATTGTCATGTAGTCATTCACATGCCGTTGGGCTCACGGTAAGGGAAATTGGAGAAAGAGGTCTGCCATCCTGTGTGCCCAGAATTTGGTGGGCAGGTGGTCAGTCTGTTCTACATTTTAGCAGTCTACCCAATTATTGAAGTCTTAGTGCCTGGGCTTGAAGGGATCTTTGGAAGCAATTTTGTAATTCTTTTATCTGCACCTAAAACCTTAGACTAGTGCTTCTCAAAATGTGGTCCTGGGACTTGGCAGTGAGCATCACTTGGGAACTAGTTAGAAATGCACATACTCGGGCCCCATTTCTGACCCATTGTACGAGAAATTCTTGGGGTTGAGTCAAGGGATCCACTTCAAGCAGCCCTCTGATGCTCCCTAAACTTTGAGAGCCACTGTCCTAGACCGGCAGTTCTCACTCCACTGTGACTACCCACTGGGATTGCCTGGGGAGCTTTGGAATGTTCTGATAGCTGGGTCCATAGCCACAGATTCAGACCGAATTGGCCGGGGGTGTGGCCTGAGCTGAAGATGAGAAGCATTGCCCTAGAATGATTATTGAGGAATAGCTTTTATCCTGAAGTTCTCTGTGAAAATAGATTTCATATGGCTCCATTGGCACTTACTAATCACTCAAAGGCCATGGGAGCAATTGATTTTCATGTCCTAAGCCCTTCCCTTCCCTTTCAATTGGAAGCAACCTCCCAGCTTTGCATAAAGTACAGACAAAATAGAGATTTGGGAACTTAGACATGGAATCCTGATTCTGTCACTGACTCATCACGTGGCCCTGAGTAAGCCAATTAATTTCTCTGTGTCGTGTGTCTGTAAAACGGGAGTAGTAACACTTGCCCACAGATGTTGCCAGCATTATCTAATTAATGAGCACAGAGTGTTTGGGAAATACAAAGTACTGTACAAATGCTAATCATTATGATGAATGCGGTGCATTTTGCAGATATAAAAGTGCTGTGTATATGCTCATAATTATTATAATTATTGCTAATACCGATAATATTCCTACTGCTAATGTATTTCCCTGGCAGTAAGAGCTTAGTGTATTCTTTGGGTTAACATCTTGCCCCGCATGATCAGGAAGTCTTGCTAAGCAGCTGTTAAATGCCCCTGGCTTTCCACCTTTCAGAAAAGTATCATTCATCAGGAGTACAAATAGTCACGTATGTAAACCATCCTGGGGTCCACTTATATGAGACATCCCTGGCTGTCAGGTCACTGCCAGATCATGTTCAAGAAGCTCTTTTTAGGTTCCAGAGGTACCCAGAATGTAGAGTCATCTGCTTTTTCTTGTATTTTCATCAGAGGTATTTTTTTTCCTTCTACTGGTTTTTTATCTACAATAGCTTTGTCATCTGCTTTCATATGGTGCTAAATGTGCTGAAGAAAATTCTAGTGTGTGTTGGTGAGTGTTACTAGGTTCCAATGCTGACAATTCACAGATATTATCTGCAGCAATTGGTGTTGAGAACAAGACAATTATTTTTGCTGTGGTTTTGTTTGTTCAGTTTTAACTTGGGTTTTGATTGGAGGAGAAGTGTTGGGGAAAGGCAATTGTTTCTCTCTTCTCACTTTGCAAGAAGGGAACGGTATTGAGGATTGTGGGACTGGTTTGAACAAAGCAGGCAGGCTAGAAATAAAGAGAGCAAATAGATGACTTTAGGATGCAGTCAGCAGTTACAAGACCATTGTTTCTATCCTCATGTTCCTTCTGTCCTTCCGACACCCATTTCCTGGTTATTAGATGTGGACCTCTGTATTTTGTAGACCTTGTCTACGCTACTGCTTCCTGAATTATTCATAGCAAATTGGGCATGAAACTTACAAAAGAAACTCATCCTGAGAATTATCCCAATTTAGTACAAGGCTTGAAAAACAAACAAAAAGCAGAGTTTACTGACTGTCCATACCATAGATCCCTGATGGTCCAACTCTTGTCTCCATTTCAAAAGCCCTGATGATCCTTTTCCTTTTCCCCTTTTGTGGCCCCACATGATATATGAAATTTCAAGTTTCTTTGCCTTGGGCTGGAACTACAACAACTGATGAATTTGTGCTGATTGTCTTATGCTGATCTGAATCTCTGATTGATAGAGGAATCCCTGATAAATAAAAATGGGGAAATAACGATCAATTTATGTAGATCAGAATTTCTTAACGATATCATTTTCATTTTCTCTGAAGAACATATTTTAACATTTATTGCAAGGCAAGTATCCTGGCAACAAATTCCCTCAACTTTTGATTGTCTGAGAAAGTCTTAATTTCTCTTTCACCTTTGACGAATAATTTTGCTGGATACAGAATTCTAGATTGGTGGTTCTTTAGTTTTAATACTTTAAATATTTCACTCGACGCTCCTCTTCCTGTATGCATGGTTTCTGAAGAGAAGTCCAATGTAATTCTTATCCTTGCTTCTCTATTGGTAAGCCCTCTTCCCCGACCCTCAGTTTCTCAAGTTTGCCTGTCTTTGATTTTCTGCAGTTTGAATAAGATATGCCTAGGTGTAGTTTTTTGGTATTTTGATTAGTGTTCTCTGAGCATCCTGAAACTGTTGTTTGGTTTCTGTCATAAATTTTTGGAAATTCTCAGTCATTATTGCTTCAAACATTTTTTCTGCTTCTTTCTCCCATCTACGTCTAGTAATCCCATTGCATGTATATTACACTTCCTTTTGTAGTTGGATATTCTGTTCCATTTTTTTCAGTTTTTCTCTTCAAATTTCAGGTTTGGAAGATTCTATTGATATTCTTCAGGTTCACTGGTTTTTCCTTGGCCATATCCAGTCTATTGATCCATGGCATTCTTCATTTCTGTTGATTTTTTTTTTTATTTCTACCATCTTCTTTTGAATTCTTTTTTACAGTTTTCATTTTCTGCTTACATTCCCCATTTGTCCTTGCAAGTTGTCTGCTTTTTCCATTAGAACTCTTAGCATATTATTCATAGTTACTTTAAATCCTCAATCTGATAATTCCAACATCTCTGCGATATCTGAGCCTGTTCTGATGCTTACTCTGTTTCTTCCAGCTGGTTTTTTTTTTTTTTTTCGTCTTATAGTATGCTGGTGGTACTTTTATCTTTAAAGCCAGACATGATATACTGGGGTAAAAGAAACTGGAGTAAATAGATTTTTAGTTTAAAGTTTTATGTTTCTGGCTAGGGATCAAGCTGTAATTATTGCTTGTTGTAACTGTGTCAGAGGTTAAAGTTTCCTCTGGTGTTCTTGTTTTTGATTTCCCTGTTGTCCCTAGAAATTTATTTTCAAATACCATCTGAGATACAGAATTCTTTCATTTCCATTCCCCTCTTGTTATGATGAGCTACTCCTATGGATGTGACCATGGGTGTGGGGGGAGGGAAATCTTCTATAGAGCCATGAGTAGGCCTCAGTATTTTACTAAGCCTGTGCCCCTGCGCCGTGAGCTTCACAAGTGTGTCTCAGGGTTGCTTTTCTTCCCCCGCTCAGGTGAGACAGGAAGTGTAGAAGGGGCTGCAGTTGGGTATTTTCCCTTCCCTGCATCATTAGGCTCTGGTAATATAATTTCTATTGAGGGCAGGCCTTCATAAGAACAGGATGCATGTGTCATATTTCAAAATGGCTGCCTTTGCTCTCCCCCTGCTGGATGCATGAGGGGATTTTTCTTTGATCCTTACTGTGAGAACCTCCTAGGGCTCTTGAACCTCCTAGGGCTCCTATTGAAGTGTGGAGTCTCCCAAAGTCTGGAGCTCTCATGTTTTGACCCCTAAGACTTGTGCACACTGAACCTCCAGCAACTCATCAGTTCCATTTTAGTTTTTCTATCCTGATACTGGCTCCCGTAGAGGGTTGTATGGTTGGTTGGTGTGGGTTTTTTTTTTTGTTTTGTTTTGTTTTTTTGCTACTGGGCTTCTGCTCTTATAAGTTGTGATTCTCTGTATCCACCTGTCTTTTCCAATTTAGGGGCAGTGTTTTGCTCTGTGACATCTCTGAGGATCTCTTTTTTTTATTTTTATTCTTTAAGTTTTAGGGTACATGTGCACAATGTGCAGGTTAGTTACATATGTATACATGTGCCATGTTGGTGTGCTGCACCCAGTAACTCGTCATTTAACATTAGTTATATCTCCTAAAGCTATCCCTCCCCCCTCCCCCCACCCCACAACAGGCCCCGGTGTGTGATGTTCCCCTTCCTGTGTCCATGTGTTCTCATTGTTCAGTTCCCACCTATGAGTGAGAACATGCGGTGTTTGGTTTTTTGTCCTTGCGATAGTTTGCTGAGAATGATGGTTTCCAGCTTCATCCAAGAGTTGTTGACTTTCGGTTTGGTCAGCTTTTTCCTTTTCATGTGAAAAGCATGATGATGATGACTCCAGCCTGTTTAGGTGCTTTAATGGAAGCTGGAAGGTGTTTGCTCCAATAATTATCACTTAACAAATTCAGTCCACATAGTCCATCAGTCAAAAAATAATCATATGGGCCTTTAGTTGTGAAAAAGTGGGAAATAGAGTGAACATCGGCTTATAGTTACTACTATTTGTTCTTATTAATGGACTTTTTTGAAGGAAAAATAAGAAAAGCATATAAGGGAGGGAGTGGAGGAGGTAGTCAGAGACGAGGAGTGGGTATAAAGTCATTTCTGCCTGTTATTCATGAGGAAAGAATTATCAGGACCTTCATTACCAGTCCTCGTGTTTACATAGGGCAGGCTTATTTAGGAGGCATCAGCAGTGTTCCACATGAATGAATTTGTCATATAACTAAGCTATCATCCTTTAAATGGAACTTAAAACATTGCAATCCTTTTTGATAGAGTTCTTTTTCTAAAATATATTATTGTTTTGTCTTATTGAGCAAAACATGGAGATTATCATTTGTCTTATTTTGTTACTCAGGTCATTATTGAAAACATCAGTCACAGAGTGACTCTGTTGTAATGTGGAGTAGGTAACTGAGGCCATCTACACCTAAACACACTCCCTGTCTGGCTTCATAATGCCTAGCTTAGTTACCCCTCTCCTCAAACACTCCTAAAACCCCTACCCCACCTACTCCACCTAAAATAAAATTAAATTTATTAATTACTATTTTATTTGTGTCTAAGCTAGTCCAATTATCTCCTAAAATCATCTCGTATATCACTTTGTGATATACATACAACAATTAGGAAACCCAAACCAAAACACTGTGCTGTAGGATAGGGAGAATGGAGCCTATTATTTAATTACTCACCAGACTTTATGCATGAAAATCGTTTTCTGGCCTATAGGCTAAAAAGTAAATACATGCATAATATGTCATTTGTACTGTGGTGTACTATGGAGAAAAATAAACCATGGCCAGGGGCTTAAATGGGACTAGAGATAGAGGTGGTCTTGGAAGCCCTCTTTGTTAAGATAATATTTAAGTAGAGATCTGAAGGAAGTGAAGAGGGAAGCCATTTGGATATTGTGGAGTTGGAAGAGGGAACCTCATATGCCAAAGCCCTGTGGCAGGAGTATGCTTTGGATCAGGAAACTTAAGAAGAAGATATGATTCTGAGAAAGGGAACAAAAGCAGGAGTGAGAGTGAGAAAGGGAGAAGAAGCAGGAGATGAGAGCAGAGAGATAGTGGGAAGCTAGATCACTGAATTAGTCAGCTAGTGCCACAATAGTGCTGCATAAAACTCATGGGCTTACAAAATAGCATTTTTTCTCACTTTGGACTTGTAGGTTCGCTGGGAGGACTATAGACTGAAAATTGGGCTCAGGCTTCTTCCACATATGTTCATTCTGGGGCCCAGACTGAGGAGCCAGCAGCTACTCACCCAGACCTGGTTGATGGAACACCAGGGCGCAAAATGACAAGCTAGCCACTCATGCACATTGCAAGCCTCAATCCTGTCTACAAACATCGTGCAGGCCAAAGCAAGGCACAGAGCCAAGCTCCAAACACAGTGGTGGGAAAGTATACCCTGCCAACAGTAGGAGGGGAAAAGATATGTGACCAGTTATTCAATCTACCACACAAACCAGAAAGAGTGTGGTTTTTGACTTTTACTCTTAGTGTGAACATCTTTAACTTTTACTCTTTTTGTAAAGGGAAGTCATTAAGTCATATTGATCTGACAAGTGACTTGTTCTTTTATTTTCAAAGAGTAACTCTGGGACCATGAGAATAGACTCCAAGGGTCAAGTTGGAGGCAAGAAGACCAGTAAGGAGACTGTTGCCGTATTCCAGATGAGAGGGGATAGTGGCTTTGACCATGGTGTAGGAGTGGGGATGGTATGAAATAGTCATCTTCTGGATTTGTTTTTCAGGTAGAGTTTCGAGAATTGGTTGGTAGATTGGGTGTTGGTATGAGATAAAGAGATGGGTCAAGGAGGTCTTCAAGGTTTTTGGGTGGAATGATGAGTAGGGAAGACTGGATGAAGTTCAAGTTTGAAGGTTGAGGGCAGGGAATCTGGAGTTCTACTTTCATCATTAAGGCTTGAGATACCTCTTAGGCTTTGCGTACAGATACCAAGTAGTCAGTTGTATACATGAATCTAGTGCTCAGGACAGAGGTGCAGGCTGGAGACAGGGTTGAATGAAAATTGATAATAGACTTAGACATGTCTTGGATGTTGAAAATAATATTTTACTCAGTGAGAGAGCATGATTTATATAATCTCTTATGTGTGAAAGTCTTTAAATCTTCTTGTTCTCATCTAGTTTTTCCCTCCAAAATGACATGCTCAAAGGCCCTCCCACTCATTAATCTTTCTCCTTCTCTATCTCTGTGTTTCATTTTTAATTGGCATTTTTGAAGACTAGTCTTTCTTTATTTTTATTAATTTATTGATCAACTGAAGTCTGTATTATGACTGCTGAGGTTATTAAAACTGTTCTGACCAAAGTTCTCACACTCTGCACACATCCCAAGTGGACTCTATGCTGCTGACTCCACCACTCCATCCCTCCGCCACTGACCATGCATCCACTACTGTGTTCAAGCCATTCCACCGCCTGTCTCTTCTGAAGCCCTCTCCCACTTTGGCTTCTGCAACTCTGCTCTCCTGGTCTTGTTTTCTTCCTGCTGTTCTGTGATGCTCTGGCTTTGTCTCCTTGTGCATGCTTTCTCTCCTGTGCTAACCCCTTATATGTTGGTTCTGTCCTTGACTTGAAGCTCTTAGCCCACTCTGTGGGAAGTCTCATCCATTCCTTGGATTTTCACTGCTGTTTGGGTATAGGAGCTGCACACTTCATTGTCTCTGACCCTGGCCCCTCCCTTGAATGTAGTGAAAGTATTTCCAACTACATGTAGGATATATCCAAGTCAATGTTCAGTGATACCTCAATTTCAACATATCCAAAATGAAACATCCTCTGGTGATTGGGGAGGTAAGAGCCATCGCTCTTCCTCTGTGTCTTAGTGACTAGGACCTTCTTGTAGGTGTCATACTCACCAATCCCTACTCCAACATCTGTTCAGCTCTGAATTGTCTTATAATGCTCTAGAGTGGGAAGTCCTCCAAGTCACCCCTTCAAGTTTTCATTTACTCATACTTTAAGATATCTGATTCAATCGGTATCTCCTCTAAGAAGGCTCCTCTGGGTTTGTAACTAGGATACAGCATTCTTCCTTGGTATTCTGCCAACATTTTATTCACATCTCATCATATTATGTTGATGTTATGTGTATATATTTTTCCCTAACATCCTAAGTTAAACTTCTCCAGGGAAGAATGCTGTATTTATCATCTCAAGTACCTAGATCAGTGTCTAACATTTAGTAGGATTTTAGTAAACATTTTTGAGCTTGACAGAAAGGATTAATTTGGATTAATGAACCCAACCAAAGGTAAGTAAAGGCTCAGATACAGCCATATATGCCTGGTCTTCTAAACCTCATAGCTTTACCTCTGGGATTCATAGTAATGTTGATCCATGCAAAAGCTTTTTCTTTGTGCCCACTATACACAGATAATGAGAGCACGCTCATGGCTGCGGGCAAGTAGCACTGCATGATTGACATGAGTTCTGACAACTCCTCCGAAAGAGAAAGTAGCCCAATCATCCCCAGCTAGATGATGAGTGTGTCTCATGTTATTTTCAGGCAATGTAAGGTTTTATTTTTGTCATGCACCAAATGGACTTGGTGTCAGGCCGTCAAATGTCTGGCAATCTGCCTAGCTGAAGAGATAACATGAGTGGTGAATAGAACATTATTGTGTGATAATGATTTCCAGCAGCTATTGAAGATAAATTCCAATGCAAAGTAGAAAGCTTTATTTCCAGGGGAGGAGATATTGATCCTGTGGCCACTGTAAATAGAATGAGAATTGCAGGTGTAGACAGAAGTCCAGTCTTGTCACAAACATTGAGATCTGACTAGCAGAAGGAACTGCCTCCTGAAGGCAAATGAAAGCCCACCTGTTTAGGAATTGCTCGTTGCTCCCCCTAATGCTGTCACTTTCCTGTAGGAATGTACCATGTGAACCAGATGCAGCGTGAGAAGCATATTACCAACACAATTCTTAAATGAAAAATCAAAGACCTCTGCAGATCAGCCATAATTGGCTGTGGTATGGTCCCTGGGATCTCGCTTGGTTCTTTAAGAAAAATGTTTTTATGAGTCAGAGATAAATCCGGAGACTGGATTACGGGATTTGTTTTATAGACTTAATGGTTGATTGAAAAAGAATCTCATATTCTTTATATACAATTTGAGATTGATGATGTGGTTAGTCTTCATTAGGTTTTGACAAACTGGTCATTACAACCTGTCTACTTCATAGAATATTCAGTTTTAGAAAGACCTTAAAGATCATCTCATCTAATTCTTTTATTTTTCATGAAGGAGACAGTGACCTTAAGATGGTCTTATAGTTAACTTGGACACTTTTTTGAGGCATTATCAAAATACATGACTTTCTTAAACCTTACTAGGATTGTGCATTAATGCAAAGCTGTTTTCTTTGGGATAGCACTTATTTCAGAATGAGAAAAATCTTCCCAGAGACCTTGCAAATGCTTCAAGGTCTGGGAATTCTAACTCTCTCTTGTTTCACAGGCTAGTGCACATAGTTTATATTCCTTCTGTGGATAAATGTAGACTATCTGGTGCTCTCATCTCTTTCCTGCCTGCCCAGAGATCACCTGCTAGTAGGCACTACCCGTCCTGGATTGCCTCACCACGATTTGCTTCACCCGTCTCAGGGGTGTCCTGAACTTCAGTGTGACAAACTTCAGGATGTATGTTAAGTGCATCTGTGCACCTCTTAGTGAAGGACATTTGCAGGATGTTGGAGATCTGTGGCTGGAAGATTAGCAGGTCAGAAGCTAGCTCAAGTGGGCAACTGGATAGTGGCAGATGGGTTTACATTCAATCCAGATGAAATCCCAGAGGGCATTTGGGTTAACCCTCAGCAATGGCTGGATGGTAACTCTGTCGTGTTTCTCCACCTTTGACACCTAGTTTTGCCATCAGATGGTTGTGAGTTTAGGGACAAAGGAACCTGGAGAGAGGAGTAGACTTTCTTTTTCTCTCCTCAGAGTCTCAGAGAAATGACCTCCCTGCTCCTGCAATGGACTATGCCCCACTTTAACTGTGCCGAGGCTGGATGCTTTGCCAAAGGCTTTCCTTGTTTGTTCCATTGATGACCACAGTTCTCCAGATCTTGACCTAGTTGCTAAATCCCTGTGCTGATCAAAAATGTTCCCACTACTGAGGGCAGATGATATACATTCATGATACAAGCACATAAACTCCAGAGGGATAGTGCCAATAGGAGCATATTTCTGGTCTCCTAGCATCTTGATTATTCAGTTTTAAACTTGTTTATGCTCATATTTCTGATGTTTTTCTTCCCATGGTTTTCATTAACAAAAAATAATCTGTTTTGCTGTTGTTTGCTTTGAGTAACTGAGAGGACTGTGGACTGAGAGAAATTTAAAATGTTCCTTTCTAAAAAACCGTACATGAACTTGATATTCAGGCTCTCCTAGATGTTCATTTTAATCTATAAGAAGCTGTGTTTATGATTCTGTCATACCAGAGTGAGTCCCCTCTTTTCTCTACTTCCATAGCTCTTGTTGTCTGTACCAGTCATTGGCAATTAATTATATACTGCCTTGTGGCATGATAATTTCAGTTTGTGTGTCTTTATATCATTGATGTAAGTGGACTCGGATCCTTGAGGGAGAGAATTGAGTGTCATGCTTCTTTGTTTCCTCTCTAACACCGAGCAGAATGCTATATGCATAGTCGGCTGTCAAACAATATTTGCTGAATGATCCACCACACAGAATTTCTTAATGCCTCTGCATAATGGTCCCAGAGATAATGTTGCATAAAAAGAGACAATATTCTTCCCAGTATTAAAATATTCGGTGAAATGCCACAATAGTGATGTTTCAAAGGTCTGCAGATTAAATGTTTCAGGGAATGTAAATTGGCTATTGGGCTATTGGCATGTGTGTGTGTGGCAGTGGGAGGGGTGTGTGTGTGTGTATGTGTGTGTGCCCATGTACATGTGTAATGTTCCTGTGTGCGTGAGCCCCATTGCTTTCATCTTGAATTTTGGAGCCCTCTGTCAGTCCCTCTGATTGAGGAAGGAGGATGCTGGCTGGGTAATGGATGTCTTGCTCTAGCTGGCAAGGCAGTAATGCTTCAACTGGAAAATCATTAAATCCCAGATTTCAGCCTGTCTCTCTGCCACCTCTCATCAGCAGCAAATCTGCTTTAACAGCTAAGAATTCCCTTATCTCTCCGTGAGTGTGGACCATGTGCTGCTGCTCTCTGTAGATGGGAGATAGAGCTGCATCATTACGCGGGGGTGACAAGGATGTAATTTACAGGCTCAATCAGTTCTAGTTACCATGTAATTACAGAGTTATTACATGGTCATTTGTTCCTGATGGACACCAGTGATCTCTTATCCTGTTCTACTGTGGTCTGTTTCTTGTCTTATGCTACTAAGGATATTTAGTTTCTTCTGCATGGCGTGTTAAATGGTGTACTAGGGAGGAAGGACAGAAACGAGTTGGGATAAGATGTTGATTATGCTGTGATGCTATTTGTTCTCCTCAATTGGCCTGGTGATAATAACAGCATGCTGTGGCTTTCCTCCCCTAGGCTCCAAGTTCACATTTTCTTCATAAGAGAGACTGGAGACAATATTGTACTTGGCAGCATGGGGGAAATTGGGTGTAAGGAATATTCTGACCCATTCCACTCAGCGAGGAGATGACAATATCAACCCCAAGATTATGTCACTGCCTCTTGTAATTTGAAGCTCATGTTAATGCAGTGGCTGTTGGAGAAAAATTCCTTTTTATAATGAAAAAGGAGAGGGAACCATTTAAGTGTGTAATTCAGTATCAGGGAGAAATGATGAGAAGGTTCAGTAACCTGCCCAATGTCACCAAGCGAATGGTGTATCTGGGACACAAATGACAGAGCTTGGCCCCCTCCACTCTAACTCATTTCAGTGAATTCCTGTCATTAGGAGGCAACACACTTTTAATAGCACAAGTACTGGAAACCATGTGGAGAAATCTGAATATTCCCTCATATTTGCTTGAATGACCTGGGATAAGCTCCTTTCTTAACTCCTTGTTTTTATTAATTAAGAATTGATGTGTGTGATACCATGACACATTCTGAAGATGTCTAACATAGGTGGATTCCTAATCCTTGGGAAATGGACTGAAGGGCCATGTGTCTTGCTATTAGAAAGTGTGGCATCCATATGGTGCTGTGGGTGGTATCCTGGGGTCAGCACTGAATGCACGTCAGGAGACCTGAGTCCTGTCTCAGTGTTTCCACTGAGTTGTGTGATTCACAGTCTGCTACTCTGCCTGCTTAGGAGTCAGTTTCCTTCTCCAGATGCTATAGTTTGGATGTTTGATCTCTGCAAACCTCTGCTGAAGTTTGATCCCTGATGTTGGAGGTAGGGCCTAATAGAAGGTGTTTGGACCACCGGGATGGATCCCTCATGAATAGATTAATGCTTCCTCTTGGGGGGTGAGTGAGCTCTTGCTCTGTTAGTTGCTATGAGATCTGCTTGTGGAAAAGAGCCTGGTAAGAGAGAGGGGGAGCCCTTCTCTCTCTTGCTTCCTCTCTCCCCTGTGATTTCTGCACATGCCGGCTCCCTTCACCTCAGCCATGAGGGGAAGCAGCCTGAGGCCCTCACTGCCACGCTTCTTGTGCTGCCTGCAGTACCATGAGCCAAATAAACCTTTTTTCATTATAATCCATCTTGGGTATTCTTTTATAGCAACACTAAATGGACTGAGACACTGGACAATAGTCAAATAGGCCAGACAATTGCTGAAGTCCTCTCCAGCTGACCATCGTCTGTGACTCCATGATTTAAGTTGACCTGCGAGAAGAGTCAGAAAGCACTGTGGTATCATTAAGGCTGAAAAACAGAGGTCATGGGATGAGGATATTCAGTGTTGTTATCAGAGAAGCTTCTTCCCACTGGGAGCCAGAAAGGTGCTTGCATGCCCTCTCTGCATTTCAGTTGATGGAATGCTGTGAGTCATTAACACGCTCTCCTACTTCCCTCCAATGAAAACACCTTGCTGATTTAATTAAAATACATTTTTTTCTTCTTTTGGATGTCTTTGAAAATGGCACTAATTATAACATAGCTGCTATGTAACTAATATGTGCAGGTAATATTGTGATTATATATAGACAGCCATATGCTACTATGCAGCCAGTCTCATTGCTGTTAAACTGCTGAAGCAGATAACTCCATGTCCGTGCACACAAAGTAATTGCACCAAACTAATTTGTGTTTGCAAACAGATCCTAAATTAACTATGTAAATAGGCAGATCTGCAAACAAAATATTAGACCGTGCATGTGTGCACACACATGGGGCAGAGAGGAAGTGGTTTTTCACCTGCTTGAAAGATGTCACAGGACTGGGGCTTGCCTGTGGCATGTGTTGCCTTGTGGGCCTCTTGGTCCCACCTAGCTCCTGTCTTGCATTAGTAAGTCTGAGTTATTCTGTTCCGACACAGGTGACTGAAGGCAACCTGAATTTGTTTTCTCTAGGGGTAAAGGGTTATCTTGATCAATCCACCTTTCTTGATGGTGCTCGCTGCCCTCATGCATTCTTTGACCAAAGATATTTCCAAGACAGCTGGCCCCGGCTGTGTGTTGTATGTGGAGTGGAGATGTTCTTAATGCAGAGAAGTTCACGGGTGTGATTGAGGACAGTTTGGTTCCTCGGCTTGCAATTGTTAGTGCCCGGAGGAGTGTGTGATCCTTTGAGTCTAGCAGGGCTGTTTGAAATCTGGTTCCACCTTGGGCAAGTCACATATCCTTTCTAAGGCTCAGTTTCCCTGACTGTAAAGAGGGGGTGAGATTGGAGTTTCCTCCTGGGGCTGTTTAGAGGATTAAGTGAGCAAGTGTGCGTGTGTAGCGTTTAGCACATTGGATCCGTGTTCAGTCAACCCTTGCTGCTGTTGCTGCACTTACTGATGTTGTCACCCCTGGCAGACCAGCACGCTTCCCTGTGGGCCCTGGCAACAGTGTGCTGACTGCTTGCATGGATATTCCAGGTGAGGAGGTCAGCCTCAAAGAAGAAAGCCCACTTTAATCAGGCAAGTTGGGCCCCAAAGGACGTCTCGCCTGTCTGCCTTCCTCACGTCCCTGTGTCCCTCCGTCCCTCCTGCACTCAGCGTCTCCCTCTCCTTCAGCGTGGAGCCTGTGGTCTCCACCTCCACAATGCTCTACTTAGACCTCTGCTCTTCCATTTCCCAACATGCTTCTTGTGTTGTAAACCTTACTCTCCCCAGGCTTATTCTCTCAAGTCTTGCTCCGTGTCTGAGTGGTTATTTGAGTGAGGGCACCAGTCGGGTACAGCAGCCACACTGGTGTCCATGGGGTGTTTGTGCCAGGTAATCCCTCTGTCCAGAACACTCTGCCCAGGGAGATGGGTGAGGCCCGGCCCTTTGGGCTTTGAGGTCTGTGCTCCAACCTTGCCTTCTCCAGCAGCACTGCCTCCCACCCAATTGGACCGCAGTTGGCCCCACTCCCACTCTCCATTCTTCTTACCCTGTCCTATTTTTCCTTTGTTTCATAGCCAACCTCACCTTCTAATATTTTGTGCGCTTGACTTATGTATTGCTTACTGCCTGTTACTCCCTGCTTGCTTGTAAGTTCCTTGAAAGCAGGGCCTTTTGTTCATTAATGTTTGTCAAAGATCTCAGCCTGAGTCTGTGCTAGGAAGGCCCCTCATAATTTTTTTTTTTTTTTTTTTTTTAGAAAGACAGGGTCTTACAATGATGCTCAGGCTGGCCTTAAACTCTTAGGCTCAAGCGATTGCTGTAATTGTGAATCTGTTTCCTGTCTGGATTCTTTTGCTTTCACTCTCAGAAGCCAACAGACTTCAATGGGAAGGACCTGAGGGCCAGGAAGAGGAGTGGAGAAACCTTCGCAGAGGTGGTCAGAGGACAAGCAATTCAGGGACCAGATGAGGCTGGGAACTTAATGGGCAGAGAGGCCCAAAGGGGGCCTGAACTGGAGGAAACAGAGGCAGGCACCAAGGCAGGTGTGTGGGAATAAGACAGCAGCAGGAATGTGCGAGTCAACTCCATGCTCATATTGCAGATGTAACCAAGTGACTTACTTTCTCTCTCTGCGGCGCAGTTTCCGCACCAGTAAATCACCATGAAATCTACCATATTCACCTCATCGAGAATTTGTGAGCGTCAACTAAGATAACCACCTGAAAGTCATTCCCAAAGCAGATATTACTTTTTTTTTTGGAGACAGAGTCTCGCTCTGTCACCCAGGCTGGAGTGCAGTGGCGTGATCTTGGCTCACTGCAGCCTCTGCCTCCCAGGTTCAAGCAATTATCCTGCCTCAGCCTCCCTCTGGAGTAGCTGGGACTACAGATGCATGCTACCACGTCCAGCTAATTTTTTGTGTTTTTATTAGAGACGAGATGGGGGTTTCACCATGTTGCCCCGGCTGGTCTCGAACTCTGAGCTCAGGCAGAGTTCTGCCTCCCAAAGTAGTAGGATTCCACCCGCCTCTGCCTCCCAAAGTAGTAGGATTACAGACGTGAGCCACTTTAAATATTATAGTTGCTTATTATTATTTCTGTTTGTATCTCAGTTTACTAGTCTGGGAAATGGGCCCTAGCAAGAATGGCCATTAACTAGAATGGAGGTAAAGTGGGAAGTATGATGGATATTTCTGAAGGATTCTAAGACACCATTGAAAGCTGCATGCACCAAGAAATGGGGCAGTTTGGGTGACACATTTCAGGAGAAGAGCTTTCACTTTCCTCAGCACACCTGAAGGCATTTCTTATTTCATTAACCTAAGATTAGGAACAGCCCCATGACAAAAAATGTTGGCAATATTGATATGAACAAATAATTAATCCCAGGTGCTACCTGCTTTCTCCCAGGTCCCCCTGTGATCCTTCTCCTTATGCTAAGGGGTCTTGTTCCCACTCCCATCCCCAGGCTTAGGGAGTTGTGGACAGGACAGTCTATTATAACACTTATAGCCATTAAAATGTGAGAACAAAGCCCGCTCTGCTCTCCTGTTTTTTAACCTCTTTGCTGAAGCATAACTTCTGTCAATAGGTGACCTAATTAACCTGTTCAAGTCTTGAGGATTTTTATCTGTGCATGTTCTTTGATTTCAGATTAGGATTCTCAACATCAGTTCACCACTAGCTAGCTATGTGACCATGAACAAGTTGCCTGACACTCAATGTCCTTATTGGTTTAAAAAAGGGGGTCATAGCTAGCTCCACGGTGTTATGAAGATTAAATTAGTTAATATTTGCAGAAGTACCTAAGACAATTCCTGGCATCCAGTAGATGTCCAGTAAATTTTAGTTTTGTCCTTTGTTCCTAAAATAAGCATGCTGGAGTCTTCAATACCCCACATTTAAAAAGAACTGTTGCAGTTACATTTTTCTGGATTGGAAGCTTTCTTTGTGTGAAATACACGTATCACCTGTACCTTTTTGTTATTTTTGCTCTGCCTTTTTGTTTGTGTGTGGGTGTGTGTGTGTGAGAGAGAGAGAGAGATAGATAGAGAGAGAGAGAGAGAGAGAGAGAGAAAGTGAGAAGTGGTTTGTTTTGGGGATATCATTTTTGTTCCTTTTTGTTGTTGTTTTTTAAATTTGTAAGCAAGGTGATGGAAAAAACCAGAGGAGAAGCCAAGTGTATCTGAAGACAAGAATGTGGAAGTGAAGAATGTTTATGAGACTCACTCTAACATGCTGATAGCAAAGGACTTTTGTTCATCAGATTCCCTCACATGTATTCAGAATTAACCTTAAGCACATTTAGTCAGTCATACATTTTATTTTTGTCTCTGGGCATTAATGTGCTGACTTGTGGGATTATTAAACTATAATTCCCCAAGATATATTTCTGTCTCTCAGTGGGTATGAACGTGCAATCATTAGCAAATCCAATATTTAGGAGTCTTTCTTCTCTCTCCACGGTAAATGGGAGCAGAGGAAGGATCATGGCTGATGACAGCATCTGGGTCAGACAGCCCCCAGTACTGCTGAGTTGCTGGGCAGTCCTGAATGATAGTGGAATGACTGTGGCCTTTGGAAGCATAAGACATGAGGCTTGCTTCTGGCTCTCACGTTTACTAGCAGTGTGACTTTCAGCAAGTCACTGACCCACACTGAGGCTTAGTTTCCTCATAGGTAAAATGGGGAGAATACCTGTCATATTGAGAAGGTCAAATAAGTGTCATGTATTAGTATATTAATGAGCTGTGAAACAATGACTATTGTTATATGTTGTTAGTGGTGTTGAGTTATCACTTAGATTTCCAACCTGAGGATTGAGTACCAGGATTGTAAGCTAATTATCCTGAAGGCCTGGCATTCTATTGAACTTGTTAAATTTATGACTGTGTATTGTTTTAAATGAGTAAGCAGTAGGTTGCCACAATGTAATCTCCCTTTTATACTTCAAATTGCAGGTGCATGTCTACACGTTTTCCTCTAGACCCAAAATGAGGAATGCATTTGGGTCAGAATCTAGAGGAGGTGTTTTGCTTTGATCATAGATGCCAAATAGCAGCCCCTCGTTCCTGTTCTGTGAGAGCTGTGCCCCATGTATCAGTAGAAGAATGGCCCCATTTCTAGAGCAGCTATGGCTACTGGGACTGGAAATGCCCAAGGGATGTTTATACTTCCTGCTGGTCAATCAGATCTTTGTATGGGCTCCAGATGTGTTGCTGAAGAGGAAAAATTTGACCAAACAAAAACAAAACAAAAAGCTGATGTGAGCCCAACCTTTTCAATGTCCCAGATGCTGGGATTTTCCACA
The DNA here is from genome assembly GCF_000001405.40 of Homo sapiens. Taxonomy (NCBI): domain Eukaryota; kingdom Metazoa; phylum Chordata; class Mammalia; order Primates; family Hominidae; genus Homo; species Homo sapiens. The sequence goes on from NC_000011.10 coordinate 132,042,493, forward strand.
GCATCACTCTTTTCAATGAGTGCCTTTAATGCTATGCTGAAATCTCCCTGGACACCTCCAGTGAAAAGGCTCTCGCTGTTGGGCACTGCCATTGTCTGCCTCCAAGAAGACAAAGAGCCTTTGAGCTTAGAGCTGGGAACACAAAATTGGGTATGAGATGGGTCCTGCCATCAGAAGCTCGCAGACATCATGGTCAGAAATACCTGTTCACAATGTTCTGTCACAGTCAAGTATTGTACAGACCATATAAGGCAGGGTAGAATAGATAGGATACACAAAGCTAGATTACTTTTTTAATTAAACAATTATTTATGCAACATCTGCTATGACATTGTATATAATGTCTGCCATCCCCATTACATCAAATCTCCATAAAGACAGTATCTCTTGTTCATCTTATATCCCTGGTTTGTAGGACTCTATCTGGTATATAGTTGGTGCACAAAATAAATATTTTAGAGCCATATTTCATTTTCTGAGCTTATTACTGTTGATTTATGCCTCTGTTACATAAGTGGAAGTATGAAGAGGCCTTGATTAAAGTGGAATACATTGTAGAGGCAGGGGCAGTTCTTATGATGCTGTAGCATAAAATTGCAATTGAGGAATCCTATTCCATCATTCTAATGGCCAAGGGATGGGTAGAAGACATTGCTTTTTGGTCGTAGCTGAGGAATCCTAGGTTTAGTCTCACATTCTTGCTACTGCTTAGCTTTGGTTAGTCTTTCTGCAAGCTCCTACATGGTCACTAAGGACCTGAGCTTGGTTTTAAGATTTGACCTAATTCTTCATCCTTCAAGCAATATGTGTTCTGGTTAATGAGTTTGTCAGAAGCAAAATGAACAATTCTAACCACCTGTCCCTTAACAAAGGCCACTTTAACAAATGTGAGCCATGTGCATTTCAGCTAAGATGAGGGAGGGTGCTTTCAGCCAACTGTCAAGAGCTCATCAAGCCCCTTCCTGCATCCTCTGTCACTGTACAATTATTGAAGTCCAGGGAGTAGCAAAGCAAGAGACCTGGGTGCACGTTGGCCCCACATGGAGCCACAGACTCTGACTCAGCCAGTTTTTACAGATTGTTGATTTGGGTTCAGTTATAGTTTCTGCAAGATTGGAAAGTGGTCACCCGTTATGGCTCTTGGCCACTGCTTCTGGGTCATCTCAAGCACATTATTCAAGTATTCTCTTCAGAATGAGCTGGCAGACGCAAACAAGCCACAGCATCAGGCTTCATGGGAAGTCTGGGGACTTACCATTGTCGAGTAGTATCAGGTGGTGTCTGGAGGGGAGAGGAGAGAGGTAAGATTGAAAATTCAAAGAATACAGAGTTTTGGTGGTATGAAATATATCATCTGGAAAATGTCACTTTGTCCTGAGAACCATTCTCCTGGTTAAAGAAGGCCCAATCTTGGGATAAATGGCATTACTGCCATCTCAGCATTTTAAGAAGACAGACACCAACTATGTGTGTGTGTGTGTGTGTGTGTGTGTGTGTGTGTATGGGTATGTGTATGTGTGTGTATATATGTGTGTATGTGTGTATATGTGTATGGGTATGTGTGTATGTGTGTGTATGTGTATGTGTTTGTGTGTATGTGTGTATGTATATGTGTGTATGTGTATGTGTGTGTATATATGTGTGTGTGTATGTGCGTGTGTGTGTGTGTGTGCTTATGTGCATGTGTATGTGTGTGTGTTATCATTTAAATGGGTCTTATGCACTACCTACCACAAGGTCATTCTATAACTTGTGGCACTTCAGTCTCAATAACCTCTGCCAATAACAGGGCTCAAGTGATAATAAGTTTGCCTGTGTGACTCTTTCTTTCATGCAAATATAAGGCATTTGTATGTTACGGCTTACCTTTTCCCTGCAATACCTGGAAATCAGAGTCAGTGAGACACTGTGTGTTTTAGAGTTGGGAAATCTGAGGCCAAAAAGAAAAATAAATTGTAGAATTCAGTAGATGTGTCTGTTCAAGAGGAGGACCCCTCTTCTGAATTTCCTCATCCAGTAGCACCTCTTTGTGGATCTTCTCATGAGTCCATATATTTTCTTATTTCCATGTTCCTGAGGTGGCCGACAACTGAGGGAAGCAACAAGCTGCCCCATTGCTATCATGGGTGTGATAGGAACGAGCCTCCACATTGGGACCTTCGCCAGTGCATGTCCTCTAGTGACATTTTATCCCTGAGCTCCCAGTGCTTTTCCCGAGCACAACTCCATGGGACACTGCCTAGTGGAAGAGACCACAGCGGGATGAAGGAAGAACTAGAAAATCTAGACGAAATGGATAAATTCCTGGACACAGGCACCCTCCCGAGACTGAACCAGGAAGAAATTGAATCCTTGAATAGACCAATAACGAGTTCTGAAATTGAGACAGAAATAAATAGCCTACCGACCAAAAAAAGCCTAGCACCAGACAGATTCACAGCTGATTTCCAGAGGTACAAAGAAGAGATAGTACCATTCCTATTGAAAATATTCCAAAAAATTGAAAAGAAGGGGACTTCTCCCTAACTCATTATATGAGGCCAGCATTAGCCTGATACCAAAATCTGGTAGAGATACAACAAAAAAAGAAAATGTCAGGCCAATATCCTTGATGAACATCAATGCAAAAATCCTCAGTAACAGCGTTAGTGTTTCATATCAGGCTGTCTGTTGCGTTCTGTTTATTATTGGGATACAGTGCTTTTGTGATAAGCAGTTACACATCTCTTTGTACTTGTTAAAGGGTTAAGTGCTGGCAGTTCTGGGAGGCAACTGCCATTTAAAGGAAGTAGAATAAAAGATGATGTTGAGAAGGAAGTGAAATGGAGAAGGAAGAGGTCAGAGGAATGAGGGGGAGAAGCTGGGAGTAAAGGAGCCTGCCCTTACAAATGTATTGGTAATTAGGCTGTGCTCTTTAAAAATTAATAACATTTTTCCCATTGATTATTCTACATGTAGAGATATCTGAAGTTATTATTTTTGTGTATTCCCTTATATTCGGCTTCTTTTACAAACATACTAGTATGGTCTTCCATGCAAGTATTTATTTTTCAGACACAATATGAATGGCAATTTAATATTCTAGTTCATGATTCATCCACCATTTTCTTAGGTTTAATCCAACCAGAAAGGTACGGGATATACTTAGCTCCCAAATATGAGTACAGCTAGATCAGAGACAGGGTTTCCTCAAAGCACGTTTCTCAGCATCAGTCAATAGCAGCGGGGTTGAGGTTTTCCTTTCTGGACTCTTCCTTTTTCCCACGGCACAGCACGTGGGACATGGCAGCCATATATGTCGGTGTTCCTGGCTGACTTTCTTAGAGACCCTGGAACTGGTGACCCTTTTCTCTGAGCTCTTTCTGAGCTTCTTCCATCTCTGGAAATCTGTCCGAGGATCTGGAGCAGTGTTGTTTTGGATGGGAAAGTAAACAATGAGTGAATACTGCTATTCTCGTTCTGCATAGGTTGTGTGTAAAAATAGAGTTGCTTATATAAAGACTCCAAAATGGAATTTTATCTGTGCATTTCTGTGTCATCCCTTCCCCTTTTAGACTATAACCATCCAAACTGTATGACCTCGAGTGAGTTACTCAACATATTCAAGCCTCAATTTCTGCAAAATGGGGATAATAATAGTGCTTACTTCCTAGGATGGTAATGAGGATTAAATAAGATAAGTAAAGTAATATGCGTGAAGTGCTCAGCACAGACTGGACCAGTGTGTGCACAGCTAATGCTGACAGTTCATGCTATTTTGTCATTATTGCTATCATCCTGAGCTCTTCCACAAGACAAACCATATTGTATTTATTTTTTGTTGAAGGCATTCAATAGATATTTGTTAAATTGAACTAACTGTTTTAAGTAAAAATAAATAAGAAAAAGGAAAAGAAAAAAAAAAACCCACCCCTTTACATAACAACACAGCAATTCTACTGGCCAATGGGGAAATCATACATCTTTACTGCTGTGAGTTATTATACTCTCTGAATAAACATAAGCCTTTCATATGACCTAATGATTAATGGCTTATGCAAAGAAATTTTAATGCCATTAATAAAAAATTAAGCAGCAAGCTTCCCCCACTTTTTTGACAGTGTCAGGCTTTCACCTGTTCTCCTGGGGACAACAGGTTTCCGGGAACATGCTGAGTACAGATAATAGATCATTCCCAGGCGACACTCCCCTGTGTGCCTCATGTCTTCCTGGGCAGCATGTAGGATGGATACAAGGCACTCTTTAGAGAAAGGCAAGGGGTCTTTGTGGTGAGGAACAGAGATCACAGCTGAGCACTGGCTTTATCTATCTATCTGTCTGTCTATCTATCTAACTATCTATCTACTGTTTATCTATCTACCATATATCTATCATCTATTTATAAATCATCAATCTATCTGTTATCTATCTATCACCTGGTTATTCTCTCATATTGAGTATTTATTCTGTGTCAGGAATTACATTAAGATCTTATTCAGTCCTCATAGCAGCCCTAGGAATTTCAAAGTTAATCTCCGTTTTACCCATGGAACCCTGGGCTCAGAGATCATTTCCTGTTCATGGTCATATGGTGACTGAAACACAGATCTGGGATTGGAATGTAGGTCTGTCTATTTCCCAAGTGTTTCCTTATCCTTCTTTGCCTCCATCCAGTCTTCTGTGCCCCCATGGGCTGGGATCTGACATAGGTATCATTCATTCTAAGAAGAATGAGCAGGATTCTGACACTGAATGCTCCAGAAGGGAAGTTTATCCTTTTAACTAAATACTCTTTCAGTGTTGAGGTCAAATTTCACACAAAGTCTCCAGGCCAGCCTGATGCTGAATTCTGAATATCCCTTATGAATATTTTGTCCTATTAACTAAATAGTCTTTCAGTGTTGAGGTCAAATTTCAAGCAAAGGCTCCAGGCCAGCCTGATGCTGACTCCTGAGTATCTCTCTTGAATACATTGTCTCTAAGCCTTTGGTCAGCTGTGCTTCCAATTCAAATGCCAGTTTTCTTCAAAGGATTGATCTCAGCACCTCTTATTTATTTTGAAGCAAAAGCTCCACATTTTCAAAACTGGGATTCCTGGTCTGCGAGGCAGGGGAGTCAGCTAGAGCCTGGTCATCACTGGCATTCTGAGCAGATAGCAGCCTCCTAGCCATAGCTCTGTTCTTGACCCGGTGGCCAGGCAGGGCAGTTTGCAAGCTCAGCTACAGACACATGCCCTCCACAGGCCTCCTTCCTCTTAGGCCCCACTGTTTTTCCACATAACTTTTCTGAGTCTGAGAGAAGAAAACTGGTTTTCTCTAAATCAAGAGTAGGGTCCTCATTTAGGAAAGCCAGAATTTTCTGTCTTACGTATCATATTACATCCTTGACCTGTGTGAGACCTCCTGTTGAGGTCAAAGTTGGGTGGACGACCCGCTTGACATCTCAGTGTGGAGCTGGATTGCCCTTCAATCCCTAATGCCCTCACTTTCTACCCAACTTAGCATTTCACTTGTAATTAGTTCCTATTAACTTTTTTTTTTTTATATAGCTGAGTATGTCTGCGTGTGTACATGGGCTCATGCTTGCATGCCTGCTCTGCTTAGCTATGTTTAAACTGTTAGAAAGAAGAGACCATTCCTTTTTTATGTGTCTTTTGGATGAGCTCAAAATCTAGGGGTATATAGAAGAACTTCAGATCACACTGCTGCCTGACCAATCCCTGGGGATCCTCTCTGCTGCCAAATGTGAAGGAACGCATTGTTAGACAGCAATACCCCCCATGCCGCCACCTCCTCCCTCCCTTCAGCGGCAAAGCAGAGCCCAAGAGCCTCCTGCAAAGAGAGAAAACAGATTATATTTTGTAGTTTGTAAAGATCTCTGGGTCCACACGATCAATACATTTCTGGTCCCTGTGTGGGGAATTGTTAAGTCATTCTTTAGCACCAAGAATAGAGGGGCCAGTACTTCCTGGGGACTAACAGGACAACCATGACAGCCACTGAAGCTTTTCTTGTGTTCACCTCTGGAAACAGGAAAAGAACAGATTCTTCTCACCCTTCAGAGTGCAAAGGGTTCTGCATTTCTTGTCATAATTCCGGAGTCTATCTGAAGCCTTGTGTGAGAAAGTAGTGTGAACACGGTTGATGTTTGTGTCAAGATACAACCACAGTGGCTCAGGGACCCAGAAGTTGAGAATCCCAGCACAGGTCAGCCTGGTCTCAGCATTCTCATTCTGACATCCTCAAAACAGACAGACACCCCCAACCAAAACCCAGCAATATCGACAACAAGAACACAAAACTAACAAAAACACCAGAACTACAGAGCTGTTTTTCTTTTCTTTTTTCTTTTTTTTTTTTTTTTTTTATAGCAGCTATTACATGAAAACCGTGTACTCTTTCCTTCTGCACCTATTTGTGCACGGTGCTGGATCGGGGCTTCTGAAGAGTCGGCCCTTACCCTGTAGGAGATTCAAGGCTGACTGACCTGAGAGAGAAGGACTTCTGCATTGCTGCTCAGGATTTTTGTTTTTATTTTTCTGTTAATTATGAGCCCAGAAAAAGGGAATTTCGATTTTTCAGATATGACCAGGTCATAGGAAATGCAATTGAAGGGAAATATAATTGGAGGGAGATGTAGCCTCCTGACTTTGAGGCCACACACCTCACATACCTGAGGACAAGAAACAAAAGAGGAAATCAGACACATCTGACAAAAGTGAGACGGATAGAGCATAAAGTATGTCTGAAAACAGCAACAACAAGAACACTTCCTCCAAGTGACCCCTGGAGGAAGACACCCCCAGGCGGCCCAGGCATGGAGACTGTGAGACTCACATCTACAGGGCACACTTCCTAGGAGAAAGGCAAGGGCACATTCCCCCTTCATGCTATGGGGCTGGCCGCACCTGAGGAGGGAGCCACACCCTTTCATCCATGCCAGTCTCCTCCCTGGAAGAGAGGCTAGGCTGGGGCAGGGGTGCGGTTGTGAGGCTGAAGAGCAGCCAGGAGGAAACCCTTCTAGTGAGCAGAGGATCAGCTCCTCCAACACACACTGGCTCTGGGGTCTCTTGCAGGGGTTGTCAGTGAGAGGTGAGCGCCCTTGGCTGTGAGCTGGGAGTTATCAGCATGGCTGGAGATGAGATACACATTGCTCCATCACCCTCACCTGGGACCAGGTTTTGCCTATCTCAATGGCAGCGTGACTGGTGGGATGTGACACCTCTGGGGAAGAGGACCAATGCTGTGTTCAGCCATGGGTGCAGGGTGGGAAAACCTGATGGGGGAAAAGACAAAGCAAGGAGGGACATTTCAGTCTAGCTCAGTCATGAGGATGGCCACCAAGGTTTTTGCCGGTCAGACATGTCTCTGATTTGATGGAGGAGGAGCCACTTTCTAGGGAAAACTGATGTCTCATTTTTGAGAGTCTCCTTTGCTGGGTGGGGGGCCCTTCCAACAGTTTTTGATACACAAAGATCTGCAGCCTCCTGAGCAGGTGATTCTGAAAGATGCAGTGTCTCTCTCCCAGCTTTCCCACTGACCTTTACTGAATTTCAGACTTAGGCTATCCCAAAAGGCAGTCGGAAATTTGCTCAGTGGCATTTACCTAACTGAGGCCACTGGCAGCATGACACAGTTGGGTGACTTTAGGGTTTAGAGAGAAAATGCTGGCAGGGGACTGGGGAAGGGAGAAGGGTGAGGTAGGAGGGATGAGCTTCTCTTTCTCGTATTGCTATGCGTTGCTGAAAGGCAAGCTAATAGTTACCCAGCCAGGGTCAAGCAGCTGGAGAGGGAAGTTAGAGAAATTCACAGCCAGGGCCCTGAGAGCAGCCTGGGAGCACAGCTCTGTCCTGCAGCAGCAGAACCTTCCATGGCTGGTCCTCAGAGCCCTGTGAACCAGCCCACCCCTACGAGGATTTTCTTGCTCTGGAAATTCCTGAAATTGATTCCTAACAAAGTTGGGGGGAAAGGGGCTGGGCAAATGATTTTTTTGTATAGCAGGCACTGTGTTCACTGTGGGGAAAGAGAGAAACTGCCCCTGCCTTCACAGATCTTACCATGAAGTGGGGAGACAGGCGAAAACATGCAATTACACAAATAATGGCTTCCAATTGAGATCTGTACTTCCAAGGAGAGGTGCGTGCTCTGAGAGGGTTTATGGCGGCAAAGCCTAGATTGGGGCATCTGGAAGCTCCATGAGGATGAAAAGGAGGCAGCTAGGGAAGGGCAAGATAGAGAACTGCCTGTGAGCAAAAGGTGCCCAGGCCACCAGATGTGGGGCACACAGACACCTGCAGGGCCAGTGTGTCGAGAGCAGAGGCAGAGGCGGAGCTTGCAGGGCTGGCTGGTGTCTCTTCTCTTTTGGCCTTATTTGCCTGCTTCTGGCAGTTTTCTTTTCATACTTACATGTCTTGCCTCCAGCCTTGTCTGGTTCTTCTTCTGCATAACTATGCCTGCCTTGTAATAGGAACTTGATAAAGAGGACTTGATGAAATCTGAGCCCTGCAGCAAGTCGGGGGTGGTGGAAAGGATGTCTTGGTGCCAGTGGGTTGGCTGACCTTGGTAAAGACAGATGCCTTGCTCCTTGGTTAAGGATTTTCCCTGTGGAGTCAGATACATGTCAGTTTGAATTGTAACCCTGTGACTTTGGTCGAGTAACTTAATCTCTCAAAGTCTCAGTCACACTGGTGGAAAAATACAGATAGTGCCTACCTTTATTTATTTGTAACATATGACGATGATTTTTTTTTATGCCAGACACCGTTCTGACTGCTTCACAGATATTAGCTCATTTAATCCTTAGAGTAACCCTGTGAAGCAGGTACCATTATTATCCTGATTTTATAAATGAGAAAACTGAGGCCCTGAGAGATTATGACATGACTACTCTGTGTTAAAGTCAGGGTTCAGAATGATGGAATCTGGATCTTGAATCCGCAGTCTCAACTGCTTATATTTTTCTTATATTTTCACTCCGTGTGGGTTCTGGAATTGCTGGGATACCAAGTGTCTACAGTGACCAGGAGGGAAGGAAGTAAGATTTTTGGCCACAGGGAGCCTTATCCTTCTTGGCATATCACTTAATATTTTCCTGTGTCTCCAGTCCCCCAGGCTCCGACTGCCTGGACCAGCAGCCCCTAATGATGGTCAGGCTGACAAGCTGCTGGCAGGACTGGCACAGGATGCCAAGAGCCCCCTCCTCCCCAGGAGGACCCCTTAGACAGCAGTGTCAGTAGAATGCTGGCTAAGCCCTGGCCACTCCTCACTGCTCATCTAACTACTCCGTCTACAGTTCTGATCCGGAATGTGAGGAACAAAGCCATATGTGAGCTTTATCAAGTGCTGAGTCTATTTCAGAAAAGACTGTGGAGAATGCATCAAAGCTGGTTGCTTATTGCACCATGATCCCTGAAGATTGGATCCAGTTCTGTGGAAGCTGGCAGAATAATGGGCCCAGACTGACCAGTGAGCTCACTGAGGGATGTTACTAGTTGGTCCATTGCTCATCTGCCAGGTCAGAGACAGGTGGGAGGCAAGAGAACTAATTAAATTGGCAGTGGACATTTTACCTCTAAAATGTAGGGCAAAAAAAATTGCAAACAGGCCTTTTATATAGAAGCTAATTATTAAAGGAAAGTAAAAATATTGGGGTGTTAAAGAAATATGTGACTGGTTTAGAAAATCCTCAACAGATATTTATCCCAAGGAGGGAGATTTACAAAGCCAAATTTGCTCTTAATCCTTAATCCACAAAGCTGTGATCCCACAATTTCACCAGGAATAACTGACATGAATGCTAATTGGAACTCTCCCTTTTTCCCTTCCTCCTTTTTATGTTCTTGGACACCAGCATTCCGGCATTCTCTCTAAGTTTGGGAGTCCTGGTCTATTTCCCCCCTTAGACAGTGATGTTTGAGTACCACTACCCACCACTCTTTTGGCATTCATAGTGTAAATGGCACTTTATCAGTTGAAAATGTGAATCCTGTCAACAGCCCCCAGCTCTGCCATGCTTATCAGGGCAAGGAAGAGGGAGAGTGAGATTCAGAGAGATGTACTCCACCCTGTTCATTCCAGAAGAGTGATAGATAATAACATTTTCCGGCAAGAAACAGCAGGAAATCTAACAGACAGGAATTAAGGCACCAAATGGGAAAGTCAATTGCTTATTCGCTCCAAGTTTTGTATTTGAAGGGAATGTTATTTGATTTGGGGATTCCCTCATTCTCCCTTTCTTTTTTCTAGGGGGCAAGTGGAATAGTAGAATCAATTATCTCTTCACAAACGTATTTTCCAGGCTCACTGTGTGTGTGTGTGTGTGTGTGTGTGTGTGTAAATGCTCATTTAACCTTTTAGTAATGTTTCACAAACATATATTTCTCAATTATGTCAAAGCTCCCCATAAGTAAAAGAAGGAATCCCTGGATTTTTTTTTCTCATGGTGTCTCTTGTCACTCTAAAATGGACCTAAACTAAGAGGTAGAATAACAATAATGAAACAACAACAACAAAATACTGCTTTTGTAGTGCTACCCATCTTGTTTGTACAGTGTTTGATAGCTTTCCACTGCATTTTCCTTGCATTTCATCAACCTCACTAGTTGCTGTGGTATACCGATCACAACAAAAATGATGAGCATCTCAGCCCTGGGCATGCATGATTCAGCATAATGCTTGCAATGGCCTTATCAGGGGGTAGCTGTCATTGTCCTCCTTTACCAATGAAGACACAGGCTTAGAGAGATTGAGTAATGTGTCCAAGGTCACCCACCTGACAAGTGATGGAGATGAGATTTGATCCGAGGCTTACCCGATGCCAGGGCCTGACCAGGTAAAATGGTCATTCTTTCGGTGACAGAATTGAGGCAGAGGACTTGTGAGGTCACCCATAGATGAAGAACGGATCCAGGCACAGAACTCTGGTCTTGTTAATTCTCACAGCTGCTCTTCTTACCTCACCAAGGCTAGGAGAAAAGAGCATCTAGTCACCAAACAAACTCATGCTACAGAGACTCTCTAGTCTCTTTCATAATGCAAAGGAAAAGAATTCTGAAATTCTATACCAAGCTGTTAGGTGTTTTCCTTGGATTGGGGAATGTAGAGGGATTAATGAGGACAGGAGGCAGACCTTATCAGGGTGAAATAACATGAAAAAATGAGGATGAACTACTCTTTCTTCATCTACTACCCAACCTCTCAAATAAATTTCTTGCAAAATTAAGTGAATTCTTGCTTCAAATACTCAAATAGAGGATTTATCTTGTTTGTTCCATCTTGTGTGATGAATCCAGGTGTTTTCTAAAGCAGAAGGCACTTAATGTAGGTTCTTTATTTTTTTGTGCTGATTACCCTAATTGGTGGGTTTCCTTCCAGGATCAGCAGCCAATTCTCCACTAGAGTAGTATCACTGGACCTTAGGGTCTATTTACAGTAGCAGATGTAGTGGTCACCCAATAAAAAAGTCGCTGGGTGCGGTGGCTGACAACTGTAATCCCGGCACTTTGGGAGGCCAGGGTGGGCGGATCTCTTGAGCCCAGGAGTTCAAGACCAGCCTGATCAACGTGGTGAAATCTCATCTATACTAAAAATACAAAATTTGCCAGATGTGGTGACACACGTCTATAGTCCCAGCTACTCCAGAGGCTGAGGCAGGAGAATCACTTGAGCCTGAGAGGTAGAGGTTGCAGTGAGTCAAGATTATGCCACGGTACTCCAGCCTGGGCAAAAGAGTGAGACTGTCTCAAAGAAAAACAAACAAAATAAATCAAAATATTGTTTCCACAGTGCAGTTTTAGCCTGCTGTCTCAAAAGGGCCTGAGATTTGCTATATAGCCAAGCTGTGTGGACTCCACAGGAGACTCAGGATTAGCACCTTAGAGTCTTGACTGGGTTTTCTTCTTTAAACGAAGCTGTAGATTTAGCTATAATGCCATTTGTCTGCGCTTACTACTGGATGGGCACAGTGGATTCTGATTCGTAGTCCTATTCAGTGAAAATAGCCAAATCATTGTGAATACACTTTAATGTGAAATCCTTCTTCTGAAGAGCCCAGAGCAAATTCCCATGTTAGGGAGAGGCAGATGGATGGAGGCAGAGTTAGCTCTCAATGAGTTAAAGGAATGTCAGCATCTTCTTGACTATACTGGTAGCTGGTAGAATAGAGTGTATTCCATATTGTAAATATAGAATACAGTCAATCTAGACCCAAAGAAAGAGAAAGGAGGGGCAGCAGGGGATATACTAACTTATGAACTTGAGATTTATAAGCATTATCAATCTTGAATTGAAAAAGTGAATCTCTTGAGGGAGTACTGGTGGCATTCCAAAAGCTAACCCAAGTATCCATCTAGTTTATAGCAAATCTAGGCACATAATTCCCTTAGATGATGGAATTGAGATGGAGGACATGGAAAATGATCAGACACCCTTCCTGCCTGGAGTGTAGCTCAGAATGAATTATCTGTGGTTAAGGGAGGGGTCAAGGGAGGAAACGGTGGTACTGGTGAGGCATTCCAAGGGCTTGGTGTGAGGTTGCAGTAGGAAGTGGATTCCAGCTTTTGAAAACCACTGTTACATCTACATTGCCAGCAGAAAGCTGAATGCCTACATGGCATTGGAATGGAGTGAGGCAGATTGCAAAGGATGGGGCTGGCCTTGAGGTTGGATCATATGTGGCTGTTTCTTTGACTGTCAATCTTCATTCTTAAATCTTCTCACTTGAACACCTTTTATTGGCACTAAATTTGTTTTAGGATAATGAACGCAGCTGTTCCAATTATGGTGCTCACCCCACTCACCTCCATGTTTCACCTCTCAAAGACACTGCCTCTCCCTTGGGACTAGCCCTGAGCATGGTGAGGCCGGCATGCCCAGGGCTGAGGCTGGCACTTGGAGAGCCCTAGCGTCAGAGGGGTTAACACATTATCTGGGCATACTCAAATAGTATGAGCCCATCAAATAAACAAACACACCAACTTGCAAATGAATAGAAACATGTTTATTAGAGTAGAGGAAAAACAGCTTTTTGGCACATTAACCCTGTGGCATCAGGAGTGGCAGCTGCAGCCTGGGACGACAGGCAGGGAGGAGGAGACAGTAAACGTGCATTTTGAAAGTGCTTAACATCAGGAGAGGGTATTTCCAAGCAAAGAGGTGTGTGTGCGTGTGCATGTGTGTGTGAGAGAGAGAGAGAGCGAGAGTGAGAGAGAGAGACAGAGAGAGAGAGAGAGAACCATCAAAGCAGTACAAAGGCCAGGAGGCAGTGGTAGTGTGCACATAAGACCTAGGAGGATGTGGGTTTGAATCCCGTCTCTTTCAGGAATTGGGTGGCCTTGGGCCCTGTGCCTCTCTGAGCTTCTGTCTCCACACAGTTCTCTTATAATCTGTCCTTGGCAGGCTTGTAAGTGAAGATCATATGAGATGACCTGTTTTAAGCATCTAGCACAGAACTCGGCACTCAGAAGCTGCTGGATAAATGCCACTCCTCACTGTAGTTCTACGTTAGAATATTCCAAGTTTTCCATGGTTCCTGAGGAGGAAGGCAGCTGTGTGTTCAGGTAGAAAAGTATGAGGTGTGGGACAGTGGGAAATTCTCATGAGCAGGTTTCAATTGAGGAATAATTCATTTTTGCAGTAGGCAGATTAATTGGAAATGATAAACTCCTCCCATTGTAAAATTAAGAATTAAAAGTGTTTATTTTTATTCAGTAAATACCAAACCATGACTGTAGTATACTTGTATTCCAAACTTTGATGATTTAAAAAGGGAAGAGAGAAGGAGGGTGAAGGGAGGAGAGAGAGAGAATGGCTATGAGAAAGAGAGCAAGACTACATTCTGAGTTCCTACACGTCATCCCCTATCCCCAAAATAGCAGCTCCACTTGTATACATTGATAAATTTTCAATGTAGCAGTTCATTGGCAGAGAGATGTCCAATACCTAAAAATAGCTTGATAGCTCCTAGCATAGATCATCTGCCATATCACCTGATATTTCATCTTCCCCACTAAAATGTAAGCTCCCTGAAGGCAGAGATTAATAATGCATATAGGAGGTAATCTTTGATATTTAGGATGAGGCAATGAATACATGAATGAATACGTCAATGAATGAATTAATCAATGAATGGAGAGACAAGGAGAATCAGACTCTCTTGGACTCAGGGAATCTTATATCTTTGAACACTAAAATTATGCTTCTGTCTTTTCTTGCTCTTCTCAACCCACCTTGCCTGACAGTTTGTTACATTGTCAAACTCTGTCATTTCTTCATTTAGCCTGCCCCTATTTCACTGTTAGCCAAATTCTTACACCCACAGAGATGATCCTCAACCTTTGTATGTTCAACTCTTGCACAGTCCACAAATCCCCCAGTGCACTCCACGGAAACCACTTTGCAAATGCCAAGCCTAGCCTTGTGTGTCGCCTTGATGAATGAGTCACCACCAGCTGTGCTGCCCACCAGACAGCTTCTTGGTTCCAGGGGCGCCGCCTGCTTTGTCGTATAGCAGTGTTAGTACGATTGTTTGAATACTTCACTGCATTCTTCCCCCACAGAAAAATGAAAGTGCTGATACCAGTGATAAAAAACATAGGTTTCATAAACTTAACACAATTGAGGCAAAGATGGAAATCATTTGGCGTGCAAAAAAGAGCAAATGTTTAGCCTCAATCGGGTGCTTATCATACTTGAGCTATCTGATTGTGTGCTCAGCTGTAAAGGAAAAGAAAAAAGAAAAGAAAGAGAACAGACACAATGCAGTAAATATTGTCAGAGATTAAGTCTAAAATATACGGTGTATTTTGGATTTTTTTTTTTTAGGTTTCTAGAAATGCAGATATAAATCTAGTTCGTTTTCACTCTCAGGCATGTTTTAGCAATGTGATGTGGTAGTGCAAAAACTTCTTCCCTGATTTTCTTGTCCTACTTTGTCAAACAGATTCAGCTGTGTGTTTATATTTTCAAGAATTGTAGTAATGTCCTTTCAGTTGCCTAGTTTTTAAGAAAACATCTTTGAAAATAAATACTTGCAATTTTTCCTACTCCTCCCAACATGAGTGTCCACCACGAGTCCCCTTTCGCCAAACACTTCATGTTCCTCTGAGCTGTGCTGCCCCTTCCTTTCCTCTGTACTTCTGCATCCTTAGTGTTTTCTCTTGAATCCTGTCTTCTCCTTCATGGTCTCTGGAGGGGACACTGCAGATGCTTAATTTGTGAGGGGAATCACACAAACATAGTAGACCCTAAAGAAACATCTTAGTTGGATTTTGAAGTGGGCCTAGACTCCGCGTGTTTTTTTCTCAACATCTTTCTTTCCCTTACTCAAAATATCCTGCAGCTGGGGACTTCTCTCACTGGCGCTGTTGGTTGTTTTTTGGTTTGTTTGTGCCTCATCAGCTTCCTCTACCTCATTTTGTGATCATTTTGACCTAAGACCATTGCCCAGTGGCTTCTCATTTCCAAGATCTCTACTTGGGTCCTTTTTCACAAGTCTGTGCTTGTCTCATAACTCCTAGCCTTGTTCATGACTGAAATATTTTTTTATCTCTCTGTGGACATGAAACCTACATATACAGTCCTATTCTCCTTTCCCTGTTAGCTCTGATCCCTCTGATTTGAGTTGTTCTGTCTGTTGAGCCTCTTTTATTTTGTTTCTTTATTTGATGTTCATGGTGGCGTTCTTTGTGAAATGTTTGGTGATTCTGGATTGAACCCATCTCTGTAACGCTGAATGACCATTTGTCTGCTTGTTGCCTGTCCTTGCATTCTGATGGAGGAAGTGGGCGGGAGGTGCTGCTGCTGGAATGTGTGCTGGTTTCGGTAAAAATGGGGAAGGCGTGGAATGTGCTATGGGGCAGTGCTCTGGTCCTGGCTGTGGTGAGTCCTTGATCCTCCCAATGTCACCTGCCTTGAGAACTCTGCCCTGCGAAGCGGATTAAGTCTCCTTCCTAGCCTTAAGCCATGCACTCCATGTCTTTCTGTTTGGTGTAGAGATTTAGCCTTTCTGACTTCTCCCACTGCAATGAGATGACTAATGCTGTGTTGCTTCCAACCATCTCGAGACTTTCATCCCCCTCTTGACATGGGCACTTGCCATGGTTGGTTCTCTCTGCTTGCTATCTTTCAGGGATTATTCAAGTTCCTATTCTTAGTATGTTTCTCTTCCCTTATTTTGTGTGGGTTTGGCTGGGGCAGGGAGTTCAGAAAGGAAGAGAAGATTTTATTTAGCAAGCCACCTAAAACAGGAAGTTGCCTTCTTCGCTGAGTCTGAGACATACTGACTTCCAGAACATCACGAAACCAATAGGATCACAGCCCAGGGCCTGAATCCTCTTGTTTGAACCTTGTTGTAGATGCACAACCTGTGCATTTCAAACGTAGGAAGCAGGGTGCACAGTGGGTACTTGCTCTATATTGAATGAAATTAAGCCAATGTTTCCCACAATGTGTGTGATAGATATTGTGAAAATGTGAAGTAGAGGAGGAGTGAGAGGGAATTCAGTGTGCTGGTGGTATCAAGCGTGCAAACTCTGTTTAAGAACTCCTTTCACAAAAGTTTTAAGATTATCCTTTCTAGCTTAAAAAACCAATATAGACAGAAAAGAAACCCCACTCTGGTGCTTTCTCCCTTCTTCCATTCCTGCCTTGACCATCCCTTCTTCCTCATAGCCTAGAAGCAGCCTCTGGGCCTCCACCTTCCCTTTTGGTTGTCCCCTCACCCTAGTCTAACACTTGCCTCTTTGTAGAGAGGAGCTTGTCGGACACATGGGATTCACGGGCCAGGTGGTTCAGCAGCCCAACAACCTGGATCCTCCTCACCCTCCTCTCCTCATGGCCAGCCCAGCTCAGGGCCGCCTCTGAGAGTCTGGCCTCCACAAAGGAAGATGAAATGTAGAGACGCATTTGCTGCCTCCAAGTAACAGTGCTTCAGGTGTTTACCTTTCCTCAAGTCATAGAACTAGAGAGCAGGGCGAGGCCTTAGGGACTGTCTGTTGACCGATTGACACATTCTTTGTATTTTGAAATGAAGAAACTGACCCTAAACCCGTCAAGTGACTTTCCCAGTAAGTGTGTGGTACCGGCTGAACTCAAGTTCAGATCCTAGGTTAGCAGTCCTATAAATTGAGAAACAGAACCTCACTACTCAAGCCAAGCTGATGTCTACCCCAAACCAAACATCCAAGTATGCACTGGGGTAGGTGCTTTGTGACCAGTTCCCATGGACTCCACTTGAGAGCCCTTCGAATCCTCCCCCGCCCCACACCACCCCCCATCACCCCCTGCCACGAGCTCTGCATCAGCCTCAGAGCCTGGTTTGTTTCTTCAGGGTATTTATGTCAAGGATTCCCAAATTTGTTATTCAGTTCTTTCCCCACTGATTCCCAGCTCCATTCCTCAGCCACACACCAAGCTACACAGTGCCTCATGGACTCCCCTCCTGCAATGGGTTCTCTGGAGTCCCTCCTGCAGCCTTTTGAGGGAGGTGCCTATTTCTTCCAGATTAGAGACCCTCCTGTCCTCTAGATACCTGTAGCTCTCCAGGATCCCCCAGCTTCCTCTAGACAAGCTCATATCTCAAGCAGTGTGCATCCAGGAGGGGATTCTTCCCTCCACATGAGACATAGGCCCCAGGTTGAGTGGCAGAACTGCCTCTTCAGGCCAAAACCCAGGCGTGCTGCCTCAACACGAAGACCACACTTTGGCATTATACGTCTTCCCAAAGTTACAATACATCCACCCCCTGGGCTTCGTTCTAGATTCTTTCAACACTTAAGTGTCTTATTACAAGTCTCTTTCCTGTTTAGGGAACGGGCAATGAAATTGTGTAGGCAAGGGGTGCTCCGTTTACCTGGTGCATTCGAGGCTGAAGACAAGGAGACATTATCCTCCAAAATACTTTTTTTTAAAGCAAGTCTGCCCTAGAGTAAAGTCTTCCTAAATTTTGATTGTTACTGCGCTATGAACAGAGGTTGTATCCACATTTAATGGAACATAGCAGTGAGAGAAACTGGAATATTGGAACTGCTGTCCTCCGCTGATGAAAGGAGGTTGTAAATAACATTTTGCTGTTGGTAAACACGCACAATAAATACAGAAATATGGAGCCATGCAAAAAACTTTCGACTCTGTCACATGTTATTGGTGGAAACCACTCATAGAAAATCAAACACAGACTTTGACTTGCAGTCACAGAAATAGTATACTACCTGGAGTTTCTTTAGGATTTGCAATCTCTGTGCGGTTGCAGGCTCTGCTTGTGTTATCTTTTCATGAGGGTCTAGACCTGAGTTTGCAGAATGATTCAGAAATCAGTGTATTTCCTGCTTCATATAGTGTGATTAATCTTTTTTGATTTTACATGTCTACAAATGGTGTTAGTGGTCATAACTGCAAATGATTGTGATTTTTATTGGTCTAGAATGTGAATGTTTGTGTTAGAGCATCTGCAAAAGCAAACACTTTTGCTATGTTGAAAAAATAATGAAGATCTAAGTGATTTTAAGATGGCATTTTGTGAATGCATGCTAAAATGCTGCTAGATTTTTATTTGTTTTACTGTTAATGCTGCATTGAAGATATAGTAGTGCTGCAGCACAATTTTTTTCTATTTCTTCTTTTCCTTTGTCCTTCAAAAAATACCCATTCTAGTTGCAATTTTTGTTCAAAAATCAAGATAGTCACACACTAAGATAAGTTCACTATCTAAGAAGTAAAGAAATGTAAAAGTAAAGCATCTCATAGCAGTTATCAGCTGTTTTGTGTCATACATAAATAACATTTTGCTTAGCATTGGCATATTTTTTGTGTACGTTCTAATAGAATGGCCAATAAATCAAAGTCATCTAAATGTCTTTATCAACACCTTAGGTATTACACTCACTGATGTTTAGCATCTTTCATATTGCAATTATAAAGGTCCCTCAAACCCTGGCTGATAAATTATTTTAGGTTTCTTGTGAAGAAGGGTTGTGTTTAACTATTAATTTTCATACCAGCTTATACCTAATAGAGTGTGTGGCTAATGAATGTGTTAAATTAAATTGAGTTAGATTGAATCAAATTGAATTGAACAGAAATAAATTGAATTGTATTGAATGATAAACCGGAGAGGGATAATGCATGGTGATCTAATAGCATCTGATAATAACAGAACACTGAATTTACACGCCTAACTTAGGAGATATTTGATAACTCATGAGTGGGAAAATTGCCCTTCTCCTATGTTCCTGGGCATCCTTGCCAAGTGGAGATGAATGTCACAGGAGACCTCAGGCAGTTATACAGTTCAAGCATCTTCTGTATTTGTGTGGCAGGAAATTGTGCCAGAAGGGTCACAAACCTGCTTTATTATTCTGTATGTCACCAAGCAGGAGCTCCATTTTTTAAAGATTTTTTTAAAAATTTTCTTTTGTTCAGCAGCAGCTGGCTGTGTGTGGGCACTTAGGAACAAGTGATGTGAGTGCGTGTGTGTGTGTGGATCAGATAGGGGGTATCATTTGCTAGTTTTAATTGGTAGATTCAACATCTTCCACTAACCATGCAGAAGCCACTGGCTGAGGAGTTACCATGGTAAATCAAACTCCGCTGTGTGATTGGTAGACTTCTGAAGCAGGTACAGTCACTCTAATCAACTCCAGGAAAGTTGAGGCCATCTGGTTTTGCCTCACTTGGAAGTAATTTACCACCCCAGGTGCAAAAAATTTACCCTGAGGTCAGTAACAGTAAACCTGCCTCAAAGATGTTCCAGCTGAGTATGGAAGAGGAGTGGTGTGACATAGTAATTTCTGTTTGTTTTTATATTTTCAAGCTTGGGAAAGTGAGGGGGCTAATCATGCAAGCCAGAGCCAAGAATAGATTTGGCAGGTGCTGACCCAGCTAGTTTCAGACAGCAAAGTGAAAACTCCTGAAGCTCATTCTACAGCACTTCTTTAATGGTCCAGTTCAGAATGTCTAACTAATTGAGATTTTATAAAAGGAACTTTGACTAAGCATCAAGTTGCTGAAGAATATGATGGAAGAGATAGGCTTTTTTTTTTTTATTTGAGTAGTAAGGAGTGAAATTGGGAATATTTGCAAGGAAGGGAATCTTTCAACAAGACTTCACTCTAAAAAAAATAAAAGTATGTTGGGCCACAAACATTATGCATAGCTATTTAGGATTGTAGATATTCTTGTAATCAGACAGGATGTAGCCAGCCCTAACCAAAATATACACAGTGAGAAGACTTCAGAATCATTAGCTCTTTGGAATAGTTAGAGGAATGTGTTCGGCTCATATGACATTGATTTGTTTTGGCTGCACTTGAAATGTGTGGTCTTTGCAAGTCAATAGAAATGAAGTCCTTTATTGAATAGTAGAAACTCCATGGAGTAAATTATACAAAGAAATGGAAGGCCAGGGTTCTCAGTCTCTTGTTTATTTGTGGGAGTGGATACCAGGCAGGATGGGTGGGGCTTTCGAAAGGAAAGCTCAGGGGCTTGGGAGAAAGGTCAGTGTTTTAGACTTTTTGGGCTCCTAGAGCAAAATACCATAGACTGGGTAGGTTAAAACAACAGACATCTCTTTTTCACAGCTCTGGAAGCTATGAAGTTCAAGATCAATGTCTCATCAGGTTCTGTGTCTGGTGAGGGCCCTCCTCTTGGTTTGCAGATGGCTGTCTTCTCCTGTGTCCTCATGTGGTAGAAGGGGCAAGGGGACTCTCCTCTCCCTTTTGGGAGCCTCTGGGAAGTCTCTACTCTCCTTACCTAATTACCTCCGAAATGCTCCTCCTCCAAATACCCTTGCATTGGAGATTAAATTTCAATGCATGAATTTGGGGACACAAACATTTAGCCTATGGCAGTAGGAATAGCAAAGTCAGATTAACGGACAGCCATGGAGAAGGTCATTTTGGAAGCTGGATTCTTCCAGAAGTGTGATAATCCCACAAAGCTGGAAATGGGAAGGCCCTGAAAAATCAGCTGGTGTGACTTCTCCGTCTATTAATGAGAGGGTGGAAGGCCAGAGGGCAATATAGATAAGGAATAATCAAAATAGTGGTGGATTCCAATTTTACAGTACCCTGTTCAGAGATGCACTGAGCCAGCAGAGCCTGAAAAGCTACTGGAATCGTGTGTCTCCCCACCCTCCGGTGCCCTAATTGTGCAGTTATTTCAGACTTAGACTTCAATCATTTTACAAGTTTAATACTGATGTGGAAGGACTGAGGTGGAATTGCTCTTTGTCCAGATTCTCTTTGTTCTTTGGCTCAAGAGCAGTAAGGAATGGACAGACGTGTCCTTCTTTCCCCTGCCTGGAGAGGGAACACAATTAGGAATCCTGGTATGTGAGTCTGTCTCCACTTCATCTCCTCTACAAAAAGAGGCAGACATAGCACTTGTGATAAGCCAGCTCCTCTCACCATCTTCACCCTCTCTAAGCTTTTAGTCAACTCTCCAGAGAGTCAGAATCTGTTAAAACACACTTAACATGACCCACAAAGCAACACAAAGTTAAGGAGCAGGGTGCTGTGTACTTTAGCACGTGGGCACCACACCATTCCCTCTAAAAGCTAACTCAACAAGGGAAAGTGAGGAGGGACATCATGTTGGAAAAGCAGTGTGAGGAAGAGAGGAGGAGGCAGAAAAGCACAAGAAGGGGAGATGAGAGAGAAAGAAAGGAGGAGAGAAAGGAAGAAAGGTAAGAGTGAGTCTTTTGTGGGTTGCACACTCTCTTTAAGAATCTGATAAAAATTCTTTCTTTCTCTGGAAAACAAAATGCATAGGATCACATATTGCAAATAATTTGGGGTTCAGAAGCCCATATATAGACTTGGGTAAGGAGATCTAATCTATCTATCTACCTATCTATCTATCCTAACAACTGCAATTTAGCAAAGTTACATATATATATGTGTATTTGTGTGTCAGTGTGTATATAATTGTGAAATTGCCATTAAGTTAGGTACATGTTACATGCATTGAAATATGGAATATATGTCAAACCCAATCTCTCATTATCCAAAAGGTACAAGAGTGAATAATGGGAAAGAATTGAGCAAAGACACATTCAAGGTGACTGTCAGCAATGAAGAGTTAATAGTGAGGCCTCCTACAATGTAGTGACTTCTTTAAGGGAAGGGATTTGAAGCCATGGGATTTCGGATGATTTAAAATGAGCCTCACTAAAGCCCTGGATCACACAGTGCAGGAAACAAACCTGAAAATAGCCAGAGTAGCAGGCAGAGAAGACTAACTGATCTCTACTCTTTGAACCCCATGGTTCCAGTCCATTTAATTGTTCTTCAGGCTAACAACTTCACTTTCCATAGGGGAGGCAGTGTAAGTGACCATGGCCTGGGGTTATGGGTCAGAACATCATACCTCATTATTTTAAATGAATAAACATTTCAAACAACCACTGCATTTCATTGGTTTTCCAGAACATGATTCATTTTACCCGTGTTTCCTCATTTCTGTTTAAAAATCCAGCGCAATATTATGGATTTATTGTCACACTGACAAGGATGTGTGTGTATGTTAAGATTCAAAGATCACATTTGCCTCTGCTCTCACAGGAAGAGGTTAGGGGAATGGCACATTCCACTGGTTTGTCTGTGCACAGGAGTGCAGGGCATGTGACTCTTGGGGAAACTCCTACAGCTGGCTGTCCGGATCACCAGGAATCATGAAAGCAGGCTTTGTAAACATTGCATGCATTCCCAGACATTGAACATTGTGACATTTCATGACCAGCTCTCTCAGAAGAGATGCCAAGTGTAGATGTCCTTTCTGGAACATCCGTGCATAATTAGGCTGCCCCCAACTCCTCACCACATACATGCAACATTTTCCTGCTGTTGAGTAATCATTTGTGCTTGGCTAGTTTTCTGTCTCCTCAAACATCATCTCAGGGCAAAAAGGCACAGCGTGTAGAATATGCTTCTTATAGCAGAGTTAACCAGGGCTTCCTCATCTCATTACTAGAATCTCCTGCACCAGATTCCACACTGTCTCTCTTCTCACTTCATATCTTGTTCATATGATTGTTCATATCTTTCTACCACTAGATAATGATGTTTAGAAGACAGATCTAGGTTACAGTATCTCGTATTTTATAATTATTCTATGAATTAAAACTCATAAAGTTAGAAACCCTTGACATGCCATTCAAGAATTTAAATTCTGATTGGAACCTAACTTTTCTAGCCTGGTAGTGGAAAAATGAAAGATGATAAATCATGGGTTCTAATCCTGACTTTTCCTACTTGCTTACTTTCTGTTACTGGGTACTTGGTTAAGTTTAAAGAACTGTGTAGGCATGTGACATACATTAGTTCATCGTAACAATTGGGTGAAGCAGGTGCTCTTATCTTTATTGCTTACATTAAACTCAGAAAGGTACAGAAACTTATCTGTGAGCACGTGGACTTGCTTCATTTGAATTCACATCCGTCTGATGCCAATAGCCATGCTATACAGCCTTTCTTTGTGTATGCCTGTGCATCCTTGGTAAGTCTTTATTTTTTTTCCAATGTAAATTGGGGTTGTGGGGAGTGTAGACTAGACCAGTTGTATTCAATATTTTTAGTTCTCCATGTCTCCCATGAAGCACAATTTGAAAATCACTAGAATACCTCTAACATGATGCCTACTCTAACATTCTAATTTTATCTCTTTGTCATTATCATCCCCCTTCCAACCCTTTTCAGCACCATGAATTTCATGTTCCTCCATTTGAACAGTGTCTTCTTCTCAGAATGTGCTGGTCATTTCTGTGCCTCTACTTCTTCCAAATGCTCTGCTCTCTGTGAATCTTTCTCAGTCTCCTCCACCTGAGGAACTGTTCCAAGGCTTTTGCATTTTGCTTACGTCTTTATTGTTGTCAGCCATCCCTGTATTAGAGCTAGCTGGATATTCATCTGGACCCTTCTATAGGTTGATTCATAAATTTTTATGATGGAGACTGATGACTTTCTCATTTTAGTTTTCTGTAGGATCTGTGTTAGTTTCCCATGCTTGCTGTAACAAATTACCACAAACTGGGTGACTTAAAACAACCAGAAGTGTATTCTCTCACAGTTCTGGAGCCCAGAAGTCCAAACTCAACTTCACTGGCCCCACATCAAGACATTGGCAGAGCCGCAGGAGCGTAGGGGATAATCTATTTCTCATCTCTTCTTTCTTCCAGTGGCTTCCGGTATTCTTTGGATTGATACATTATCTCATTCTTCAAGGCCAACATTTTCAAATTTCTCTCTGATGCATATTCACATTGCTTTCTCTTCTATATATGTTCAAATTTGCTTCTTTCTTGCTCTGTTATGAATTAATTGCATTGCATTTAGGACCCACTCAGATACTCCAGAATAATCTTCCCATCTATGGATCCTTAACTTAATTGCATCTGTAAATTACCCCCACCCCAACCTCCTCCACCAAACACACACCATATAAGCTCATGTCCACAGATTCCAGGGATTAGGATGTGCATGGCTTTTGTGAAACATTTTTTTTTTCTTTTGAGACAGGGTCTTGCTCTGTCTCCCAGGCAGGAGTGCAGTGGCACAGTAACAGCTCACTGCAGCCTTGACCTCCTAGGCTCAAGAGATCCTCCTACCTCGGCCTCTTAAGTAGCTGGAACCATAGGCATGTGCCACCACACTCAGCTAATTTGGCTAATTTTTGTATTTTATAGGGTTTCACCATGTTGCTCATGCTGGTCTTAAGCTCCTGAGCTCAAGCAGTCTGCCTGTTCCCAAAGTGCTGGGATGACCAGGCATGAGCCACTGTACCCAACCAGCTTTTGTGGAATATTTTTTAGCCTCTCACAGTGTGCCCAACCTTTGGCTTCCAAAGATTCTTGTCTGTCCCACATGCAAAATACATTTTCCCCATACCAACATACTGCCAAATTTCAGCCTGTTACAGCATCAACTCACATCCAAAATCTTACCTAAGTGTCATCAGCCCCAAAAGTCCCAAACTCAGCATCTAGATCAGGTATGGGTGGTACTATGGATATGATCCACCCCAAGGTAAAGTTTCTGTTCACTTGTTGACCTGTGAAACTAGAAGACGGGTTATCTGCTTCTAAAATTTAATGGCAGAATAAGCATAGAATAACAGTTGTAGGCACTCCTATTCCAAAGGGGAGAAAATGGAAGGAAGAAAAGGTTACCCAGACCCAGGCACCTTCCAAATCCAGTAGGGCAAATTCCATTACATGCAAGGCCTGGGAATAATCCCCTGAGGCTAATTTCACTGCCCTCTGGGCCCATAGCTCTGCCTTCTGGCCTTGCAATTCTGGGCTCTGGTTCCAAAGCTCAGCCCTCACAGTCATCTTTCCTTTTTTCATGAAGGGTAGCACATGTTTGCAACTTTGTAGTTTTATGAGCTTATTTTCTTTCTATGGAATTTTGGGAGTCTAGCAACCTTCTTTCATTTAGTCATGTCCTTGATCCTTTCAGTCTAAGCTGGACATGTTTCTACTGATGTAATATTCTCAAAAACCTGGTGATTCTCCTGTATGTGTCATAGGGATTCATATTATTAGACAAAAGGGTCCTCCACAGAATTTCTTAGATAATCTCATCTTTCTTTCTGACCTATGCTGATATCCATTCATATCCAAGGGTCACATACCCATTCCCTTCAGTTCTAGCAACAGGGTGTTCAGTCATATACTTGGCGTTCTCTCCAGAGGACATTTTGTTAACAGTGGATCTTCTAATTTTAGCATATTTTGCAATTTAAACAAGCTGTTAATTTCTAAATCAAGGGTCTTTTTTTGCGTAACACTTCTTTCCTCAATTAATCTATTTTTGCTCACATTTTACTATAAGCAGAAAGAAGAAACCAGGCTGCACCTTGAGTACTTTGCTTGGAAGTCTCATCAGCTAAATGTCCACATTAATGGCTTAAAAGTTTTGCTTTACACTAACTGTAAAACAATTCAGCTAAGTTTCTGCTTCTGTATAACAAAAATTGCCTTTCTTCTAGTTTCCAACAACATGCTTCTAATTTTTTTCTGAGACCTCACCAGAAGGGCTTCTATGGATTCGCTGGTAAAGACAATCTGGGCTTTTTCTATCATGCACTTACAAGTTCTTTGAGCCTCTACTCATTGTCCAATTCCAAAGCCAGCTGCACATTTTTAAAGTGTATTTCTTCTAGCAATAACTCACTTCCTTGTAGCAAAATCTGCATCAGTCAGGGTTAAACCAGAGACACAGAACTAGTAAGAGACATCAAAAGGGGTGCATTGCAGGGAGTTGGCTCACATGATGATGGGTGCTGGCTAGGCAAGTCTGAAATCTGTAAAGCAGGCCATCAGGAATGGCAGCTGGAGCTTTCTGGCACAGGCTGAAGCTGCTGTCCACAAGTGGGATTTCTTTCCAGAAACCTCAGTTCTGCCTGTAGGGCCTTTCAGCTGATTGGGTGAGACCCACCCAGATTATCCAGGATCATCTCTTTTATTTAAAACCAATTTTATTTTTGAATGTTAATCTCATCTACAAAAATGGCTTCACAGCAATGACGAGATTAGTATTTGATTGACTAACTGGGCATTGCAGCCTAGCCAAGTTAACATGTCAAACTGACCATCACAGGTTAGTAAACACGTCACACAGCCAAGTTAACACAACAAACTGACGATCACAGGTTAGTTTACACGTCACACAGCCAAAACACGTCAAACTGACCATCACAGGTTAGTTAACACGTCACACAGCCAAGTTAACACGTCAAACTGACCATCACAGGTTAGTTAACACGTCACTCAGCCAAGTTAACACGTCACACTGACCATCACAGATTAGTTAACACGTCACTCAGCCAAGTTAACACGTCACACTGACCATCACAGGTTAGTTAACACGTCACACAGCCAAGTTAACACGTCACACTGACCATCACAGGTTAGTTAACACGTCACTCAGCCAAGTTAACACGTCAAACTGACTGTCACCGGTTAGTTAACACGTCACACAGCCAAGTTAACACGTCAAACTGACCGTCACAGGTTAGTTAACATGTCACACAGCCAAGTTAACACGTCACACTGACCGTCACAGGTTAGTTAACACGTCACCCAGCCAAGTTAACACGTCAAACTGACCGTCACAGGTTAGTTAACACGTCACACAGACAAGTTAACACATCACACTGACCGTCACAGGTTAGTTAACAGGTCACCCAGCCAAGTTAACACGTCACACTGACCATCACAGGTTAGTTAACACGTCACACAGCCAGGTTAACACGTCACACTGACCATCACAGGTTAGTTAACACGTCACACAGCCAAGTTAACACGTCAAACTGACGATCACAGGTTAGTTAACACGTCACACAGCCAAAACACATCAAACTGACCATCACAGGTTAGCTAACACGTCACACAGCCAAGTTAACACGTCACACTGACCGTCACAGGTTAGTTTACACGTCACACAGCCAAAACACGTCAAACTGACCATCACAGGTTAGTTAACATGTCACACAGCCAAGTTAACACGTCAAACTGACGATCACAGGTTAGTTAACACGTCACACAGCCAAGTAAGTTAACACGTCAAACTGACCGTCACAGGTTAGTTAACACGTCACACAGCCAAGTTAACACGTCACACAGCCAAGTTAACACGTCAAACTGACCGTCACAGGTTAGTTAACACGTCACACAGCCAAGTTAACACGTCAAACTGACCGTCACAGGTTAGTTAACACGTCACACAGCCAAGTTAACACGTCAAACTGACCATCACAGGTTAGTTAACACGTCACACAGCCAAAACACGTCAAACTGACCATCACAGGTTAGTTAACGTGTCACACAGCCAAGTTAACACGTCAAACTGACGATCACAGGTTAGTTTACACGTCACACAGCCAAAACACGTCAAACTGACCATCACAGGTTAGTTAACACGTCACACAGCCAAGTAAGTTAACACGTCAAACTGACCGTCACAGGTTAGTTAACACGTCACACAGCCAAGTTAACACATCACACAGCCAAGTTAACACGTCAAACTGACCGTCACAGGTTAGTTAACACGTCACACAGCCAAGTTAACACGTCAAACTGACCGTCACAGTTTAGTTAACACGTCACACAGCCAAGTTAACACGTCAAACTGACCATCACAGGTTAGTTAACACATCACACAGCCAAAACACGTCAAACTGACCACCACAGGTTAGTTAACACGTCACACAGCCAAGTTAACACGTCAAACTGACCATCACAGGTTAGTTAACACGTCACACAGCCAAGTTAACACGTCAAACTGACCGTCACAGGTTAGTTAACACGTCACTCACCCAGGTTAACACGTCACACTGACCGTCACAGGTTAGTTAACACGTCACACAGCCAAGTTAACACGTCACACTGACCATCACAGGTTAGTTAACACGTCACTCAGCCAAGTTAACACGTCACACTGACCGTCACAGGTTAGTTAACACGTCACACAGCCAAGTTAACACGTCAAACTGACCGTCACAGGTTAGTTAACACGTCACACAGCCAAGTTAACACGTCACACTGACCATCACAGGTTGGTTAACACGTCACTCAGCCAAGTTAACACGTCACACTGACCGTCACAGGTTAGTTAACACGTCACACAGCCAGGTTAGCACGTCACACTGAGAATCACAGGTTAGTTAACACGTCACACAGTCAAGTTAACACGTCAAACTGACCATCACAGGTTAGTTAACACGTCACACAGCCAAGTTAACACGTCACACTGACCATCACAGGTTAGTTAACACGTCACTCAGCCAAGTTAACACGTCACACTGACCATCACAGGTTAGTTAACACGTCACACAGCCAAGTTAACACGTCACACTGACCATCACAGGTTAGTTAACACGTCACTCAGCCAAGTTAACACGTCACACTGACCATCACAGGTTAGTTAACACGTCACACAGCCAAGTTAACACGTCACACTGACCACCACCGTGCTTGCCTGTATTAAGCCCTTGATGCCTGTGTATCTGTTAAAATGAAAGACTGTGATAGTAGAATGTTCCCTTCCTATCAGTGAGGAGATCATTTGATTCAAATGTGGGAAAAATTAAAGATCATGAAAATACATTAGCCATGATTATAATGGGAGTGTGGGGAAGGGCATGGTAAATATTTAGAATAAGCTAAACTTCTAATGAAATGAGATCTCCTCAGCTGGGGCTGGTGGACCCAGATGAGCTTCAGTGGGTCATGAACCTCCCAGAATTATATGGGGTGTGCGTTTTTGTGTGAAAGAGAGAAAGAACATTTTTTTTTTCTGGAATTAGAGTTCATAGCTTTTATCAGATTCACACAAAAAAGTGCGTTGTATTATAAATGTAACTACCTCATATATATGGTAACCAGGTCATCCATCAGTAGCAATAGGCCTGTATTAGGAGTCCTTGACGGTGGATCTAATAAAATCTTCTGTGCTCGTAACTCACACCTACCTGGATATTCTAGAATCAGCTCTTGGAGAACTCAGAGGTAATACAGATAGTGGTTCTTATAGGGATTGGCTAGGGCAAAATTAGGAGATGCTTGTTGTACCAAAGTCTACTGGTATGTTTCCTACTAATAAATCATGCCTGATGCCCCCAAGTCAATGACTCGATAGAGGAAGTGAGTGATGAGGCAGGCAGCATAACTCTGTGAATGAGCCAACCCCAGCCCTTCCCCTGACTTAAAAAGGGGTTAATGAACACAGATGGCTGCAAACCCCCCAAGCAGCCAGCATACTGTAAAACAATATTAACATCATTGCCTTTTGAATACCATGTCTTGTAAACCCCAGGATATGACAAGCCTCTTTAGAATCTTCTTTGATTGTGTTACTCAGACTCCCGTAGGGAAGTAGGGAGGGGTAGGGGTAGATACCAGAGGAAATGTGTAATTAGGAGTCTCTTAGAACAATAAGGGTTCTCAAACACATATGTGTGCAACTGATTTGTTGCTTTTGGTATTTCTGTTGGTGAGTAATTAACTAACCATGTTTTGGGGGCAGTCTGTGCAAGCTTGGGCAATCTGATAGTTGTGAACCATGGGGAAAGAATAGTTGCCTTTAGCTATATTTTCAGAAAAATACTAAGTGGAGATGTGAATGGAAAGGAAAGAACAGACTTTCTGGAGAGATGCCATTATGGTAATGTCAGAACTTCCTTTCAGTCTCAGATAAATCTTTCTTGTTATCACCCTTATTTTTAGTTTTACTCAAGACAGGAGGCCCAGTTCAGTTGGAGAGTGCCGTGTACACAGATATCCCTGCCACCTCCCCGGGAGAGAGGCACAGGGGCCTCTGCGGGACTCTGGCCCCTTATTTTACGGTTGTGATTCCTCCTCACTGTGGTGCCTGTGTGTGGGGTTTCAGGGAGAGGGGCCTTTTGATTTGACTGCTGAGAGGAATAGGGGTTTTCTCCTGGGAACTCTTCTGAGAGAATAAGCTTTTGACAAACACTCTTTGAAAGTTACTCTATGGCCAGATGCGTGCAGATCCAAAGATGGTGTCATTTGTGAAAAATGAGGCTGGCTTATGAGCTGGGTCCATTTGCACACAGCCTGCAGCCACGGAGTCCCTCAGCTTGGAGATGTGCTAGCTCCTTCTGTCCTGTGGGCTGCTGGGGCTTTGTGTCACTGGCATCAGAAAACAGAATTTGGCAGTTCTCTAGGCTAAGGGTTTCCAAACTAAGTGTCCTCTGTATTAACAACGAGGAGCCAAAATGGGGACTTTTCTATTTGTGAAGGGGATCCAGTGAAAATAAACTGTTTTATTTTGGTGACTTTGAGTATAGGAATTGTCTTCTCTGGACCTCAGTTTATCCAACTAGAAAAATGGGAGCAGAGGTGCCTAGTTATCTTTAGGAATGTTCTGTGACTTAATGAAGCAATATTTATGTAATGATTTGGTGGTGTAAATGTCCCCAGCAGTGCATGATGTTAGTTGTATGTTTGCAAAGTACCTAGCTCCCCTGGTAAAGGTAACCTTTGTAAATGGCAAGCTATGAGTATTGTTAAAAGGACATATGGCTCCACCTTCTTTCCAAAAAAGATCACTGAGGAATATAGGGCCAGTTAAATAGCATAGAAAGAGGTTCAGAGTGTCTTGACCTGGAGCAGTTTTTAAAACCTCAGGCCAAAACTCCACTAGGAAACTCACCAAACTAACCATTATGGTCAATTTCATTTTGAAATAAAGCACCCTAATTCATCTGTCCAGGAGTCCAGGTTCCTGTGTGGCCCAAGGTTGCATTCGGAGGTCAGAGTAAATCCTGTCGCTAAAGAGCCACTCCTTCTAGAAATAGCTTTTTTTAATGTCTGCAATTTCTCAATTCAGTTCTTTGACTCTTTAGTTCTATCCCATTTCTGGCCACAAACCTGTTTGGGGTTTGCTCCACCATAAGTCAACACATGCACATGCTTTCCCATCAGTTCCCAGAATGCAGAGGACACTGTAGGTCTGCTAAGGGGCTTCTTTCAGAACTTCTGGGGTTAACGTGGTTGGAATGTGTGCTAACAGGCTGCTCTCACAGTGGCAGTTCTAATTGGCTGAGGATGAGTCTTGAAATGTCACAGAAAGATTTATCTCTCAGCACAGATTCTCCCTCAACTAATTTTTCAGTAGGCCACCAGATAATGGGTTGTTTGGAAAACAATATGCAGTTCTCAGATGCCTTTCTGTGTTGGAATGAACTTGGTAGGCTATTTGAAGCAAAATGGCTGATGGCAAGGAAACTCTTGACTGACTTACAGGCCATTGGACACTGGGAACACCAGGCCTTGCTTGTGAGGGATTTGGCTGAGTCAGTTTCTCAGGGTCCATCACCATTCTTGTGGGGACTCAGCACACAGGTGGGTGGGGAAACCTGCCTCAGAAGTTTGGCTTATAAAGAAATATGGGGATTGATATCTGGATCCTTTTATATCAGCAGCAAGGATTAATTTTAGAGAAGATATTTCATAAAAAAATGGATTCTTCCCTACTCTCAGTTTCTCAGGAAAAATATATTTGCTTGATTTGAAGGTACCATTGACAGTTAGCTGCTTGTTGATTTAATAACAGCTTTTTTTTTTTAGGATTAAGAGAAATAGAAAAATGGGCACCATGTTCAACATACATACAGATTAGAAGATAAATTTCTATTTCAGAAACATTGCAACACTGTTCGCAACAACCAAGATATGGAAACACTAAATGTCCACTGCTGGATAAATGGATAAAGAAAATGTGGAATTTACATACAGTGGAGAAATTTGTTAAAGAATAGAAACTTACAGCTACACAGTATGGATAAGTTCTGGTGTTGTATACCACTGTAGGATGACTATAAAAATAATACAGTATGTAGTTTCAGATAGTTAGAAGGAGGATATTGAATGTTCCTAATGCAAAGAAATGATAAATGCTTGAGATGATAGATATATGAATTACCCTAATCTGATCACCATAAGTTGTATGTATTGAAAAATCACTATGTTCCCTATAAACATGTACAATTATTAAGTGTCAATTTTTTAAGAGTATATAAAGATGCATACAGGGAATGCTGCAATATGTGACATCATGGATGGACCTTGAGGACATTATGCTGAATGAAATAAACCAGTCAGAAAGGACAAGTACTCCATGATTCCACTGATGTGAGATATCTAAAATAAGCAAATTCATAGAATCAAAGAGTGGAATGATGGTCACCAGGGGCTGGAATGAGAGGGGAATGAGCATGGAGTTTCAGTTACGCAAGATGTGTAAGTTCTGGAAGTCTCCTGTACAACATTGTACCTCTGGTTACCGTATTATACACTGAAAATTTGGTTAAGAGGGTAGAGCTCATGGTAAGTGTTCTTGCTGCTATAAAATAAAATTTTAATCAATACATATTAAAATGTGAAAACATATTTTGTAAAACTAAGGTGCAACAATATTTTTGGTGACTCACCATTAAAAGTCCTACATACATTTGCTCTAGAATCCTATTCCAAGATGGGATTCCAAGTTGATTTTGCATTTCTAAGGTTAGCAAACATTTTGTCTTTTATTGGTTGTTTTATACATATGTATACCTATGTAGCAAGAAAATTTCTGATGATCTCAGGTTCATACACAGCTCTTGTCATTTCCAAACAGCTCTGGATTTTTCGAGCTATTATTAGCCTGGAGAGTATAGATAATTGCAGTCTACACAGAAATCTAAAAATAAACTGTTTATTCATTTTTCTAAAGAATTCTTTTAGCACATAGCCTCTTCCCAGAAAGGTTTACAAGTGCTTAGATTAAAGGATAATTCTTTTCTCTCCCTACCATTCCACTCTAAATTTCTGAAGAAAATGTGAAACAGCCTAAAGGCAGAAAAGGAAGTACAGTAAAGGTCTTAATCTGTCTCTCAGAATTATTGAAAATTGGCTGAAAATCTAATTCTTCTTATGCAATAGGTAACCTTTTTATTGGTGGCATTTACCTGAACTAAGGTAAATGTCGACAGCATTGGTGGGTATGTAATCAATAGCATACTTTCATCATTTATTTTTTTTAAACAACAGATACAATAGTATTGATTACTCCATACATTTCATGCTAAATAGCTGTATTAATCTGACTTAATGAGTATGTGTTGTTGAAATAGCTGTCTTCCAACTGTAACCTGTTTTTAGCAAGAATCCTGCTTGCCAAATACTTCTTTTTTTAATCTATAGCTTCTACTTGATTCTTGTGAACCAGGGGTCAGCAAACTTTTTCTGTCAAGGGACAATTAGTAAATATTGTAGACTCTGTGGACTACACTATTACTGCTGCAACAACTCAACTCAGCCATGCAATAGAATAAGCATGGCATCCCAATAAAAATTCACTTACCAGATCTGCAGGTGGTTGGGACTTGGACCATGGGCTGCATTAGCTGATCCCCATTGTGTTCCAAGGTTGGAGAAAGAAAGCAAAATCAACATCATGATTTGTTGAGGCCAACTATGGAGAAGGCATGGTTTAACAGTGTAGTGGACAAGCTGGGCAAGTTTCCTGCTTTTCTGGAGCTAACATTCTCTTGGAGAGTGGGGAAATTTGAAAATCAAATCTAATAAGTCAGCAAAATAATTTCAGTTGACAATAAGTTCTATGGGAAGAAAAGATGATTTGGTAAAGAACGACTTAAGACTTAAGAGGACATAATTTGTAGGGGGTAATATGGGAGTTTGAACATGCATCCATGTTTTTGAGTCCCACACCAACATTTTTCTAAGGAATCTCTCAACCTCATTTTTTCTATTTATAAAATAATTAATATCAATACTTATTGCATAGGGCTACATTGAAGATCAGATAAGCTTTATGAAGGGTCTTCTGTAAAACAGCAAAGCCAATTACAAATTTATTATATCTTATCAATATTGGTCTTGTCATCATTTTTATTACCCATCTCTTTATTGTGTCTCATGTTTTCTTTGAAGTCTTTTTTTCCAAAACATAACAGAATCTTTAAACGGGATTGTGTGAACTGCAATTCTTTCCCTTCATATTCCCTAGAAGAGGATTTCTCTAAGTCACTGACAAGTTGAAACTGCTTTCTTCACATTAAGCTGACTTGAGAAATCAGTGTTTAATATTCACACTTTACCTTACCCTACTAGAATATCAGTCATTGCCGCCAGCCAACCCTATGGACTTGTTGGTGACACATGCGAAGGCACAGGGTGAGCTGGTCCACACCTTCAGATGAAGAGTGTGAAAAGACTTACAATTTGGTCTTGCATATTGGAAGCCTTAGAAAGACATCTGTTGATAACAGTGATGAGTGACAAACTTAGATAATTAAACCTTCTTGTCTTCAAGTCTTTACTTGATTTAAAATGATGACTGAAATGTCTACTACTGTGTTTCCACTTACTGGAGGAAGATCTCAATAAAAGTTTGGGCCTTGTAAGAAATTCATGCCTACAGAATGGAAAGGGCAAGAGGGAAAATACCAGCAGCTGTCTTTTGCTGAGCCCTTAGAAGCCAGGAACTGGGAAGTGTGTTGGATTCAACTTTTCTTCAACCCCCACTATCTAACCCCCATCACAACCTTCAAAGGAGTAAAATTCTCCTTTTCCACAAGAGGAAGTGGAGACTCAGAGAGACTAAGTGTCTTCTCAAAGCTGTCTGACTGATAAGGGGCAGAGGCAAAATTCAAGCCCAGACCTGCCTGATCCATAGCCAATGGTGTGTTTACCAGACAGTGGTCTCAAAATGTTTTTGATTGCTTATAGCCAACAATAGAAGAACAAAGCATGAAAAATCAAACAAGCAACAAGAACAAACTTTATTTTTTGGTAGAGAAAGGATCTCCCTTTGTTGCCCATGCTGGTCTCAAACTCCTTGCCTCAAGCAATCCTCTTGCCTCAGCCTCTGGAAGGGCTGGGATTACAGTTTTGAACTCCCACACCTATCCAACAAAAAACTTTTGAGTATCACTCATAATATACGTATATTTATTGGCAAGTTAAATCCTTATACCATTATACTAATGTGTATTGAACAAATAATCAAACACTTGAAAAATAGAAATGTATAAAAGGATGCACTACAAATAAATATACATGGAAAAACTCATATTTTCTTGCCCCACACGAGGGGATCATCACTTGCTTCTCAGTGTCTACTTTGAACACCATGACACTAAACCAAATGGACACATCAGGTCTAACAATGTTTGTTCTCCCCAGTAAAGTCAGTTTAATCTCTGTTTAGCCTTGCCTACATAGGCTTAGTTTCTCAAGGATTCCAAATGAGGACTGCTTGGCCTGGTGAGGCTAGTGCAAGCTGCTGGAACTGACACACTCACGGATGTGCGGCTTCGAACCTCAGCAAATTGGTAGCACAGGGTTAGCATATTGCCTAGAGTCGGGCTTAGTTTCCCTCGGTGTGGCTCAGGCTGCTACAGCACACTTAGCACTGGGGTACCTGGGTGAGTGCCACCGGTGACGCTAGCAGTAGGCTCTGGCCATTTCAGAAAATGAACTGCTTCTTCCAGCACACAAATATCTTGCTAATTAGCAATTAGCCGTTAAGGGAGAAGAAATGGAGGGGAACTGGGAGTCTGAAATAATCTCCTAAGAGACATGAAAGAAAGCAGCACTTAAAGTAAGCCAGATAGAAACTGGGAGCTGCTTCATTTGGGCAAGATGTCTCTAGACATTTTTCTAAACGTTTTACATTCAGCAGAGGACCCCAGTGCATTCTGCCAAGTGCTTTTCCCTTTAATTTTTAGATGCATTCAAATTTCAAGGGGAATTTAATCCGTATGTTTCTGGTTCTTTTACACTTAACTCATCAAAATGTTGTTCTTTAAGAGCCGTTGGATCTGTAAGGCTTATGAGCCTTTGTTATAAGCCTTTTCAAAACCTCTTTCCCCTTTTTGAATCAGCAAATGGAATTTTGCCAATTCTGAATGGGATTTCAATAAGGAGAAGTCCAACTTTAGGATTAAATGCAGAACCTCAAGAGCATCCGACCTGATTTTGCAGAGATGCACACTTGACCCTTGCATCCTAGGAGGACCGACAGCATCATGGGGTCGACCCAGTGGCTGGAGCAATGCTTGGTGAGCGCGAGCCCACGGAAGACAAGCAATGTGGTTCAGGGCCTGTGCTTCTGTTACAGAACCAGCAAACCTTAGACTTAGACATTCTCTAGCCCATCCTCCCACCCAATGAGATTTGTGACACATAATAATGAAAATAATGATACTAATCAGTAGCCGACACTCATGGAGGCCACCTATATTTCCAGCTGCTTTTCTACACTCTTTGTATGCAACATCCATCTCTCATAATCCTTATCAGAATGGTGTGAGGTAGATGTGGAGTTAGTAAAACTTAGTGGACACAAGTTTAAGATTTAGAATCAGGCAACCTGGGTTTGAATCCTAGCATCAACACCTATAAACTCTAGCGCCCGAAGAAAGTTCTTTAATGCTTGCCAAAGGGTGCTTTCATTTCCAGTTGCTCCTGTTACCATCGTTGTTAAGGATGATGTTGATGCTATCCTTGTTCCAGTGATGGAAAAAGTCCCTATCTCCTGGTGCAGCCATTTTTATTGGTAACTTGGAGTTTTCCATATTTTCTCTTTATGTGTCAAAATCTCCTGTTTTACAAAGTATGCCCATTTTTTCTAAAATAGAGTTAGGCTAACTCCTCTTTTGCATGGCAGACCTTCACATTCTTGATGACAATTGTGAACGTAACCTGGTTGCATGTTCCTGACACTAAAAGTGTACACAATGTTCTGGATGGGGTCTGTCCAGTATGAAGTAGGACCTTGCTCTCTTTTGTTTTGTATTTTATACTATTAATATGATTGCATAATCCATTAACTTTTGGGAAGCCACATCACACCTTTTTGTTCATCTGGAGTTAATATCACCTAATATAAGTTTTCCTTTGCTTGAACTGTTCATAGGGCAGTGTTCCATCTCTTGTAATTCTGTAGTTGATTTTTTAAATTTCGAAATATGACATTTTCTCATGGGCTCTAATTTAATAAAAAACAAATATGGATTTGGTGGAGAAAAATATACATGGTACAGGGTTTTGATGTTAAGTGTGGGTATGATAAATGTGAAGAGTTTCTGCATTCCAGTTCCTATATTAAATTCATAGCCCCCAAATTTTAAACTTTCAGAGCCTCATCCTGAAGAGTCATTATGAAACTCAGGTAAGTTTTATCATGAAAGAATGCTGAAAAAAAAAATCAATGCCCCCTGGCCCTCCCATTGAGTAAGCAACTGAAAGTGAGCTTACAGCCTGTGTAGGACATCTTTTAATTTGCCAAGTGACTAAATGTGCAGTCACTGCAGCAGGCATCCACCAGCTGTGCCCACATGGCCCACTCAGCTGGGCTGCTTTTCAAAGAGCAGACAGGGCTTATCTTAGTACCAAAACTCCATGCCAAAAAGATCATCACTGGGTTTGAGCATTTGCACAAAATCCCCAGCAGCCACGGGTAGACAGCTTTGCTTGACAAAGGCAGCTTCATTCTCCAGACTAATGGGCAACTTTGGCTACTACTGGGCACCATGATAAAATGGCTGGGCATAGAGACTGTCAGCCCTACTGGTGATTCTAGCCATTTGGCCATTTACCTTTTACCTACATTTCATCTCTGTATTCCCTTGGGCTCTGGGAAGCCCTTTAAGCTTCAATGACCTGTTCTGTATGAGTGCTGGACAGTCCCTGCAGGTTCTTACTTAACCTGAGAGCTTGTTAAATGCATCTCCATGGAATATCTTCTATTGTTAATAGTTGCTGGTTTGGATTTTAATCTAAAAAAAACTGTGAAATGTGCTTGTTTCATATGATGCTTTTCTGAGAGGTTGCATGGAGATCTAATAGTTGGGTAGCTGATGGCAAGTGGGAATGAAGGTAATTGATTAAGCAGCAGCACCTGTGTTCCTGATATGTACCCAGTCCAGTGCTAGATACAGTAAAAATGTAAAAGTTTAGGGCAAGGTCCCATCCTCTACCCAGTTTTGAGGACTACATAACATAGTTGAAGGGAGAAGTTTCATGTAAAGGAAGTAAGATAAGTATATAAAAGAATAAGCACATAGATGCTAAGGGATTTGGCACAGGCTGTAAATGCTGTAGTCCCTCAAATGAGGAAGAGTTCACTGTCACTGAGAATATCCTGGAAGGTAAGACTTCATCTGGGCCTTGGAGCTGCATAGGAATTAGACTGGTGCAGGAAATGGTGAGACTTGGAAATGAGAATGGATAATTAGAAATTTGTCATGTGGAAATCAAACACACATGCATACCTATGTATACATATTACACTACAGAAACAATAACCCAATACTACTTCATTTTCCTTTAATTCCCTAATAACTAAACAGTACCTGATTGTGGGTTCCAGTAGTGATGTACATTGACATCTTGTAGTAAGACCTTTTTTCCTATCCTAAGAGGATGGACAATACATCTTCAAAAGCCAGAGTGGTTGGCCAGGCACGGTGGCTCGCGCCTGTAATCCCAGCACTTTGGGAGGCTGAGGTGGGTGGATCACAAGGTCAGGAGATCGAGACCATCCTGGCTAACACGGTGAAACCCCGTCTCTACTAAAAATACAAAAAATTAGCCGGACGTGGTGGCGGGCACCTGTAGTCCCAGCTACTTGGGAGGCCGAGGCAGGAGAATGGCGTGAACCCGGGAGGTGGAGCTTGCAGTGAGCCGAGATTGCACTCCAGCCTGGGCGATAGAGCGAGACTCCATCTAAAAAAAAAAAAAAAAGATAGAAGCCAGACTGGCTCTTTAAATCTACTAACACTTGTATGAAGTAATAGCTTTCAAAGTAGTATGTGAACCAGCTACTTGGAGGGTTGTGGCAGGAGGATCACTTGAGCCTAGGAGTTCAAATCTAGCCTGGGCAATATAGCAAGACTAAATATATATATACATATATTCACGCCACACACACACACATATTCATATATATATATTTATATATATATATATAGTGATTAAAATAATGCAATTGCTGGCACAGAGAATATGAAAAGCAACTATATTATGAGAGGACTTCAAAAATTCATGGAAAAATGGAATTAAAAGATAAAAAAAAAAACCCTTCATTTCTCAAAAAAAGCTTCATCAAGGTTAAAACACTTTTGTAGGTGGTGATCCTAGCCATTTAGTCCATCCCTAAAGAATTGATGGTCCTGGGAATGATGCAGAATTTTCCCCCCTTTGTTCAGCTAAATCCAGTTCTTGTTTCATGACCAGGAAAAATTAGGCACACGGACACATTGAAAGGTGAGGAGGGTGGAATTTATTAAGTGAAAGGAAAGCTCTCAACAAAAAGAGAGATCCTGCATTCAGGTTTCCCCCTCACAAATTGAATACCAAGCCACCATTCATGAGTTGAAGAGGCAAGGCTCCTCCCAGCATAAGGCATGAATTCCTGGTGGCTCCACTCCATTCCCCCGGTATGCATGCAGGTCCTTAGTCTTCTAAAAAATCAATGCGTACTCCATATTGATTTATTTTCCTTACTGGGCATGTGTTAAGGGACAGAATTTTCCATCATGGGCATGATTAGGCAAGCCCCCTCTGCACAATGACTTGGGCAGGTCAGAGGTTCTCTGGAGACTCCTCCCTATTTGCCTAGGCATTTGGCTGTCTCCTCCCTCTATGATTCCCCCATGTAAAGAAGTACATATAACTGCTGTTAGAATAAGGACAAGGATGAAGACTGATCTTAACTGATCCTGCTGACAGGGGGCACTGTTTGGGGAAAATGGCAGTCAGAGGCCTAAGGGTCCCTGGTAAAATGGGGCCATTGTTCAAGGCTCTGGTTGCATGACCGTTTGGAGTTTGATAGCCTGAAGCCAAGAAAGGACAAACCGGGTTATTAGAAGACATGTACCAAAATGAAACAAAAGCGAGGGTAAGGACGGCTCAAAAATTCTGAGGCTGCTGGCAGGCTCAGATAACCGGTGGCTATAGTTATTTCTGCTAAGATTTGGGTGCATGGCCCTTGGTTTGTGGTTAGCTCCCTTGGTCTTGATTTTCCCAAAAAAGAAACCTCCAGGTTATGGGCACTCTATTACTCCCATCACCTGGCAGGATTTGCAGGATAATTGCCCAGAACTGGAATATTGATTCAGATTTTTATATTACCCATCCCTTTTTGTTTCTTCTGAGTTGCAGCCAGACATCACTGTTTACTTCAGAGGAATGAGCAGGATTAGTTTAAAATGTAGATGAAAAACTTAATGAATGAGTCTAGAATTTAATGACAAATCTATGATTAGCTTTGAAACAGAATTTCTCTCTCCAGTCCTTATTTTTGTTAAAAACAAATAGTGATAGGACTGAGTTGTTTGCAAAATAAACTTTAGTTTTATACTTGGCCTGATTATTTGCATAAAGTGCAGCAAGAATAATTATTTTTACATAGGCTTTTAAAATTGGCTTTGAGGGAAGTTTGTTCCACAAGGAATCTCAGATAGGACTTTTTAAAGCTGAGCCTAGCCATGGGTTTCTATCCTCAAATATACCTATGAGTTGGGTGAATTCCTCTCTTCTTGAAGTCACAAGAATATGGAGTTCCTGGGCCTGTGAGAAAGTGACATTCTTTACTCACCACAGGTGAGGAACCCTGTAAGGGGACTGTGTAGACAAGGTATGAGGCCAATATCCCCAGGGGGCTTTTATTGGCTCTGCAAGTTGAGCTTGATTCCTTAAATGGAAGCATACCCTTACAGTCAAACCCTTAGCAAAAGAACCAGTGTCTCCAATTGCATCCTCTTGCAAAAGAAAATGGATTCTTATTGCACTGATGCAAATAACCATATTGCCATAAGATAAGAATACTCACAGATAGTTTTCAAACTCTAGAGGATCCAGGCAGAGAGAAACAAATGTGCTCCAAATTTTTTCACAGGAGTCTACCTTACTCAATTATTAAAGACTTTAAATAGTTCAAAATAAAAGTGCCCTTGACTCAGAAAAAAAAAATTAGCAATATTTTAAGCAAAAGTTAAAAAAAAAGATTACTTCAGTTTTCTATTACTTCAGTCTATTCAGATAACTCTTGTTCTGCTTGATATTCGTGAAATTTTCAGCTCTTCATAAGTCCTGTATGTTTTTCCTTTATTCCGATGTCACAATTTTCAAAATTATCAGAAAACTGCATTTGACAGCACCTGTCAAATTCATGTAGCTGATTATAAACCATCTTTTGAAGGGGATAAAAACAAGACAACAATTGTCTATGAATAAGAATATGTACAGGGTCGCTACAATCAAAAACATGATTGACAAAGAAATTTGGTTATCTTTGTGGTTTATAATACTTAACACCCTTAATTATGATTGATAGCATATACTCAGACATTAGGATTTTAGAAATCTCATACAATTTTGTGACATATACTAATATTATTTACTAAAATATAACCTGAAGAAGATTAAACACATTTTGTTAATTCTATGTACCTAAACATGTCAGATAATCCTGTTCATCTCTCATCTGGATGCCTCAGGGACCCTCCATGGCATCCAAAAGAGAGAGTTCAAGAAAGACAACCTTGAAGCTGAAATTTGATTTTGGGAAGCCTGTTAAATATGGTAGAGGTTTAAAACACTTGATGTTGTGAACTAGAATTTCAGATTACCATAAGTTATTTATTTTGCCAAAGTGATAACTTGAAAATTATTTTAGAAAGACAAAAACCTTTACTCATTAAGAGGAAATACTTAGCTTTCCAAAAAATGTCTCCTGTCTTTCTTTCTTTTCCTTGGTAGTCTATGCATGAGGCAAACAAAAATATTTCATTATCTTTTACTATTACATGAAAATCTTGTACCAGGGAGAGAAAGCCAAATTTTACCCTTGCATTAGTTTACTATTGATGTCAACCCCAATTTATTAAATGAAACCTTATAGAAAATTCTATGCAATCTTAACCAGCTTGACCATGAGCTGAGATTCTTGTAAATCTTTTATAACCCTTTACAAATTTTGCTAATGAGTGGATTAGTGCCTTAAGAAAACCTTTGTGCTTTTATTTCAATGCTCAATTTACAGAGTTTAGTCAATGTTCACACACAGAATTTTGTTTGCAAGATTAATTTTTAGAAACCTTCTATAACTTGTTTAAACCTTTGTCTTTATCTTATCTAATTTAAAGCAATATTTTATCCCAAGGCAAAAATGTACATTTTCATGCCTTCTTATAATCTTTTACTAAAGACACATTTTACTGTTCTTATACACCTTGCATGTAAATGTATTTTCAGTGGTCTCAATTACATGTTATAATGGTACTTCTTAGCAATTTTTAACTTTAACATAAAATCTGGTAGATTGTTTTAATTATGCAGTAGGTGCCAATAAAGTTTTACTCCTTCTTGCATGGTGAAGGGTGTGGTTAATTCCATATATCCCCAGGCCTTAACAATTGTGAAGCAGGCAAGTGGAGCAGTTCTCAACAGCTAAAGAAGCAGTTTATAACCTTAAAACATTTAGCAAACCTAGTATCTGACCCGTATAATTTAGACCACCTATTTACATTTTAACAACATTTGCATTTTACCAGTAATCTTTAAGACTGTTTTTATTTCTCAAAGATTAAAGTCACATGAACTAAAAGGCGTTAAAGCTTTTATTTTTCCTTCAAAAGTATTTCAGTTAAGCACTTATTTTTCTTTAGACCAATTAATTAGAGCTCTTTTTTATAGATATCATGCACATCACATATATAACTACACAGACAGAAGAAGATTCAGTTGTTACAAGATATTTCATTTGCAAATCTCCTAATTGGATTATTGGTCTCTGGGTGGTGCCCTTTAAGAGCAGGGTTAGGAAAGCATGCTGTTTGTAGGCCCTGATAAACAGACACAGCTGGAAGACAAAACATATTTTGAGAGGGATTTATCTGCCTCTATTTTCTGGGGGTTCCAAGAGGAAAGCAGAGGTCTCTTTCAAAATGGAATCCACGGTGCCTTTTCTGTTTTTCCCAAGGAGTCTCAGAGCATCAGAAGTTATCTTAGGGCCTTTCATACATGCATTAAGAGTGGCAAGACAAGGCAGGGCACGGTGGCTCACGCCTGTAATCCCAGCACTTTGGGAGGCCGAGGTGGGTGGATCACGAGGTCAGGAGATCAAGACCATCCTGGCTAATATGGTGAAAACCCGTCTCTACTAAAAATACAAAAAATTAGCTGGGCATGGTGGTGGGCGCCTGTAGTCCCAGCCACTTGGGAGGCTGAGGCAGGAAAATGACATGAACCCAGGAGGCGGAGCTTGCAGTGAGCCGAGATCATGCCACTGCACTCCAGCTTGGATGACAGAGCAAGACTCCATGTCAAAAAAAAAAAAAAAAAATAGTGGCAAGACAAGGTGGAGAAAGGTAATTCAGTCGATTGAGGAAAAAAAAACTTTTCTCCAGCAAAACAAGATCCAAGAAGAGAAAAACATAAAGGCCTTTTAAATATACCTATAACTTGGATACCCCCTTTTAATTAAGCTGAGTGCTGTTTAAGAAAGTCCTTTTAAGTCCCTTATTACCCGATGTTAGCCACACCATGTGTCCAATGTTTCTGGCTTTTGAACTTTACCAAACGTGACCTCACAGGTGAAACCAACAAGCCTCAATTAAGACGCTAAAAGCACACCAGATTAGCTACAG
Organism: Homo sapiens; assembly: GCF_000001405.40. Classification (NCBI taxonomy): domain Eukaryota; kingdom Metazoa; phylum Chordata; class Mammalia; order Primates; family Hominidae; genus Homo; species Homo sapiens. The sequence continues at coordinate 132,086,646 of NC_000011.10, forward strand.
CTTAAGCCCAGTCTCGTATATTCTTTTTCATTAATCAAAACTTTACAGTAAATATAAACAGTGATCCTTATCATTCCTTTTACTGGTTTGCACAGGGAGAGAGGGGCCAAAAGTCCAACAGGTAAAAAATATTTTACCCTTTTGTCAGTGTGTCAGGCTTCTGGGTTCTCTTCCCCTGAGCTCAATTCTAAGCCAACCAGTGTCAGGTTTTGGAAATTAACTTTTCTCAGTCTGGAGGATGCATCTGAGGGGAGTGTCCTATAGTACAGGGACACAGTTACCCATCTGTAAAGAGGGGACAGAGGAGTAAAAAAGAAGGCTTTCTTCTTCCAAAGGAGCCTCAGAGGTTCAGGATGCATTCAAAAGGAAAGCAGACTGAAGATGAATGGCTGCTCACCTAGAAAGAGGGGAGCCCTGCATCCCTGGTTCCTTTCTCTTCCTAGGGAATACCCAGGATATGTGAGGGAGAAAAGAAAAAAACGTCCTTTTTCCTTCTTCTGTCCTTATATTCCCAAGTCCCAGTGACCTTGATAGGGTGCCACCCATGGTTGTCAGTGTGGCTTTCACCCATGCTAAGGGGAGGCCTAGAGGGTAGGATTATCCACTTTTGCCCACGTACTGCCTTTCCCTCTGCTGTCAGTAGCCTTTGAGTTTCCTAGACCTCATTTATGCCATGGATACTAGCATGACCTTTATCCATGAAACAGGAGGCTTGGCTTAATCAGCAAGAATTAGTCATGCTCACCTACATTGTGCCTTTTAACTACTGTTGTCATCTCCCTCTGGATCCCTCATATCCAGTTTTCTTTCCTAGGGGTTGAACCCAAGGCTTGGAATTGAGTTTGGGACAAAGGAACTGCCTCAAGGAGGTGCCTGGTCTCATCAATCCCCCAGTGACCCACACCAGACTGGCTGCTACCTCCTTATCATAAGCCCAGTGCTAAGGTATAACTGTGGAATAGGGTCCTTCTCAAACAAGGAAGGGGAAAAGGGTGTCCTGTGAATTGTGGTCCTGGTCTAATAAGATGCTTTTCAAGAAAGAAAAACCTCTCACATAAAAGTTAACTCCCGACAGGGTGGAGCAAAGGGAAAAAAAAAAGCTTAAGTGCTGGGCCAAGAAGACCTGGGGGAAGAACCTTTTGTTCCTTTGCAAATGGGTTTCTCCAACAGGGAGAGAAACTTTTGATTGCTGTCAGATCAAGTTGGATTAATTGACCAGGGGAAGAGAAGACTCTGTGGATGTGGATGCATAGTGGGAAATGCTGGCCAGCCGGCTGCACAGGGCCCAGGTCCCTGAGGCCCCCTTGGGTCCCCGGCATTGGCTGTGGCTCATTCCCATCCTGCATGGCCATTGGATGCCACATAGACATGCAGTGGACACAGCCATGCACCCCAGCCAAGAGGGAAGTGGGGCAGGGAGCCACCACTCACCCGTATATCCCACATGCACACCTGTGGCCATTGGGATGGTGGTGGAACACCCCCAATATTGTAAAAGAAAAGATAAATGCTGTTACAGTACCAATAAAAGGAAGGAAAATACCATAGAAAATACAGGGTTGGATTGAGGCCAACATTCCCGACCCCTGAGAGTGAGTGGGGTGGGGGACGTGGGGCAGCTTCCCCTGCTCTCAGAAAAAGTCTGAGGATGAGAAAGCTCAGAAATGAAAGGGAAAGATATTTTTGGGTTCACATTTTACTTACCCTTCCTCATGTCCCCATACTGGCCACCAAAATGATGCAGGATTTTTTCTCCTTAGTTCAGCTGAATCCCGGTTCTTATCTCACAACCAGGAAAAATTAGGTACATGGACACACTGAAAGGTGAGGAGGGCAGAATTTTTATTAAGTGAAAAGAAAGCTGTCAACAAAAAAAGGGGTCCTGCATGCAGGTTTCCCCCTCACACACTGAATACCAGGCCACCACATACGAGTGGAAGAAGCCACGCTCTTCCCCAGCATAAGGCACACATTCCTGGTGGCTCTACCCAATTCCTCCAGTGCGCATGTGGGCCCTTGGTCTGAGCCAGTCCACATTGATTTATTTCCTTTACAGGGCATGTGCTAAGGGATAGAATTTTTCACCATGGGCATGTTTAGGCAAGCCCCCTATGCACAATGACTTGTGTGGGTCAGAGGTTCTCTGAGGACACTTCCCTATTTGCCTAGGCATTTGGCTGTCTCCTGCCTCTATCAGGAATTTAACTCTGTCAATGCAGTCTTTTTTGCATTATTAACTGAAGAAAAATGGGTCCCCTTTAAAGATTTTTTTTTTTTAAGATTTGGAAACAAAAAGAAGCCAGAAACAGCCAAATCAAGACTGTAAGAGGAATGCCTAATGATTTCCCATTGAAACTCTTACAAAATTGCCCTTGTTTGATGAGAGGAATGAGCAGGAGTGTTGTAGCAGTAGAGAAAGACTTTCTGGTGAAGCTTTCCCAGGTGCTTTTCTGCTAAAGTTTTGACTTTCTCAAAACACTCTCATAGTAAGCAGATGAAATCATTGTTTTGTCCTCCAGAAATTCAACAAGCAGGGTGCTCTGAGGATCCCAAGAAACTGTTACCATGAGCCTTGCTCTTGACTGGTGCACTTTGGCTTTCACTGGAGCACCTCCACTTTGTCTTGGTAGCCATTGCTTTGATTGTGCCTTGTTTTTGGAATCATACTGGCAAAGCCTTGTTTCAATTCTTCAAAAAAATGCTTCAGGATCTTGCTCCCACTTGTTCAAAACTTCCATTGAAAGCTCTGCTTTTGTCTGTAGCTTATGTGGGTGCTAGAGGTTTGGCACCCATTGAGGGGAAAGCTTGCTCAATATTAATGTTTTAAGTCAGAATTTGGTAAGCTGAACTAATTGAGAAGACTATGGCATTTGCTATTGTTTCTGCTGTTAATCATCAGTCTCTTCAATTAGGACACAAAAAAGATGAATTTTTTCATAACAAATTGATGTGAATATCCTGCCCTGGGCTTCGTCTTCAACATTGTCTCCTCTTTTCTTAAATTCAGTTATTCATTTGTAAACTACTGATTTCTTTAGGGCATTGTTCTCATAAACTTTTTGTAAAGCGTCAGTGATTTCACCATTTTCCACCCAAGCTTCAACATAAATTTGATGTTTGTTCTTGCTTCTATTTTACCAGAATTTGTGTTGCTCTGTTAAAGGCTTTTTTCAAAATGTCTTATTGTTCTTAGTGCCTCAAACTAGATCCTGTTCAGAAGTTTTATAACCAGTTAGTATGAGTTTATTTTGATGCAAAAAAATTAAAATTCAAGGTTTTTTTTATAATAAGTATTTTCTATGATCATTTTAAATACTTCTTGTATTTACACTTCATGGAGCCCTTAGTGTATGCTAATCACTCTTCCAGATGCTTTGTATATATTGTTTCATGTCATCCTCACAATATCCTTGGAGGGTAGGTATTATTATCCCCATTCACAGACAAGAAAATGACTTACAGAAAGATTGAGTAACTTGCCTAAGGAAAGACAGTTAAAAAGTGACGGAATGAGACTATAAACCAGGTATTCTGACTCTAGCAGAAGGTGAGCACTTAAACCATGGGCTATATGTAGGAAAATAATCTAAATCTGCCTGGCAATTAAGCACTTGCAAGTCACCTTCTTATACCTTGTCTCCTTGGCCCTTCACACCTTCCCTATGGCAGAGAGCGTGTTAGGCCCACGAAAAAGCTGGGACACAGAGAAAGTTTCTCTTAGGTTTTATAATCTCCCTTTCTGCTCAGACCTCCTGTACCCAGGGTATGAGTCTTCCAGTGCCCCACCCTCTCAGTGTTACCTTCCCATGCCCAGTAACTTCATCTGCCCTCCGTTTTAGGGTGCCATCTATGGTTACCCTCTGAACTTTGTGATCGTGCCCGCTGTCTCTAGCTCTTCAGTCACTGAATCAGAAAATTTAGTGAAATTCAGTCACTAAATCCTTCCCAGCTTGAGTTATTTCTCTTCTTTGACCTCACTGGAACCTAAAGCTCCTTGAATGCCCTACTTTTCCTCAATCCCTTAGCTACACCCTTTCTTCACTTTCTTCCCCTTCTTCCCCATCCAGCCTAGATGTGGCAATGCATGGCTTCATCTATCACTGTCAGACTCTTCAACCTCCTTACCCCACTGTCCTCCTATCACATTCTCCTGGAAAAACTCCACTCCAGAAAAAATTCACATCTTAAGAGTTTACACTTGCTGCTGTTGGGGAAAATCATATATTTCTATACAGTGGTGCTTTCACAAATTCATGATCTCTCACCTCACCCAGACCTACCAAAAAAAGTGACAGTCCTCTGTCCCTGTTTTTCTATTCCTCCCATTCTCTATAGCGGCTATTTCCAATTTTCTCCATTCCACACAAGCCTTTACTGTGTCTTTCTTACTCAAGAGGATTATTGGCATTTTTCCTTTGGCAAACTCTTTCTAGGTTTCAGCTCAAAAATTATTTTCTCTTCTGGACATGGTGAGAAACCCTAGCTTATAATCCTAGCACTTTCGGAGGTTGAAGTAGGAAGATTGCTTGAGCCTAGGAGCTCGAAACCAGCCTGATCAACATGGCAAAACCCTGTCCCTACTAAAAATACATACACACATACAAAAAAACAAATTAGCTGGGCATAGTGGCACATGACTGTAATCCCAGCTACTTGGGAGGCTTAGGCAGGAGAATCATTTGAACCAGGGAGGTGGAGGTTGCAGTGAGCCAAGATCGTGCCACCACACTCCAGACTGGGTGACAGTGGGACTCTGTCTCAAAAAAAAATAATAAATTAATAAAATAATAAATTATCTTTTCATAGTTGACTATATTTCTCAATTTTAACACATACCACATATTTATTTTATTGAGACAAGGTCTCACTCTGTCACCCAGGCTGGAGTGCAGTGTGGTGATCATGGCTCACTGCAGCCTCGACCTCCCTGCCTCAAGCAATCCTCCCACCTCAGCCTCCCGAGTAGCTGGGGCAACAGACCTACACCACACACCTGACTATTTTTTAAATTTGCTTGTATACTTGGTGGTCTGCTTACATTACCCAGGCTGATCTTGAACTCCTGGGCTCAAGCAGTCCTCCTGCCTCAGCCTCTCAAAGTTCTGGGATTACAGCCGTGAGCCACCATGCCCAGTCCCACGTGTTTTTATTACCTGTTTAACTTTACCATTATCAGTAAGTTTCCTGAGGTCAGACAACATGTATTGTACCTCCAGCAACTACACATTTTAGTAGATGCCCAATAAATATTTGTTGAGAAAACAGATGAATAAATAAATTAATGAATGAAGAAAACATAAGTATACCATCATACGAGAGCTCTCATAACTTTTTGCCACCAAAGCTGTGAGTCCCGCTTCCCTTCCACCTTCAATCCTCTTAAAGAAAAGCTATTCCACCCAAAGCTAGATCTTCTAGCAATGCTATGGACTTTGTTCACACCTATCTTCTCAGTAACGCCATTTGATAATTTTTCTTGTCTTTCCTATGCCTTCAGTCTCTCACTTTCTATTTCCCTTCAGCAATGGAACGTGATCAAATCTATTTCATATTTAAAATCATTGATTTCTTGTCCAAATTCTGTTCTGTCTCTTCCCTGTGATAGCCACAAAGAATTCCTAGGCATTATTTATACTTGTTGTCGCTTCTTTTTCATTCTGCATTTAGTCCTTCCTCAGAGTGCCTGGCCTCTGTCCTGCCACTCCACTGAAAATGGGAGATCTCACCAAGATGACCACTGGCTCTGCTCTTGTTCTTTCCAAGGGGGAACTTTGCACTTGACCCACCTGACCTCCTCAAGTCACTCAGCACCTATCTCCTTGCTTCTGCAAACCTTAGTTCCCGGATTCTCTGGGCCTATCTCCCTGTCTTTCATGGTGTTCTTTGGGATTCTACTTCCTCTGACAGTAACAGCAGTATTGGTGTCCCCCAGGCGTTGCTTGTTGAGTCCATCATGCTCCAAGGTTCCAGTGCCAGCTATATGCTGATGACTCCCTCATCGATGGCTCCAGCTTAGTCTCTCCCAACCCTCAGTCATTGTTTTCTTGATGTTTCCATGTAAAGATCTACAGACCTCTCAAATTCAGTGGGCCTAAACTGACAGTATGATCTTTTCCTCAAGCTCAGTTTCCATATAGTAGTGGTCCCTTGCCAAGAGGATAAAACCAGAGACCTTGGTATCACCCCAAGTCCTCCATTTTGACTTCCCAAATCTGTCTGAAAACTAAACATTTCTTTCCATCCCCATCACTCCTTGGATAACTCAAGCTGCCTGATCTCTCATTGGGATTATTATGGCAACCCCTAACTGGCCTTCCCACCTCAGGCTGGCCCTGATCCAATTCATTCTCCATGCTGCAGCTAGAAAGAGCCTTTGAAATGGAAATATGATTCTATCCTTACACTTTTTAGAAGTTTCCATTGGCATTCTCATTATATTTGGGATAAAATCTCACCTTTATAGCTTGGTTTTGGGTGCCCTAAGCCTTCCATCATCTGATGTCTTACATGTTTCATTTCTACCCTCGAATCTTCACCTATTCACTCTGTACCTCTCCACATACTCCTGATAACCCACATTCAACTCTGGCAATACAGACTCTTTCCTGTTTCTCTCCATGTTCTCTCTTGCATCTAGACCTTTGCACATGCTGTTTCCTCTGCCTGGTCTGTATTAGACATGCATGCTTTCTGAGCCCACAAGGGCATGAAACACTAGAAAGAGCACAAGATTTGGAACCAGAGACTCAGCTTAGCAGCTTATTTTTCATCTCTCTGTCATTCATTGTTCCATCCAACAGATATTGGACTGAGCAGTCTTCTCTTCCTCCCTTCCTCCAAAACACACTTTGCCTGGTATCTCCTGCCCATCTTCATGCTGCACTTTAGACATCAACCACCCAGAATAGCTTTCTTTAACACACACACATACACATTTATAAATCTGTCTTTTTTGATATTGCATTGTACCCTGAAATTCTCTATCAGAGCAATTTCTTTCAGTCAGCAAATATGTGTTGGATGCCTTTCTTTGTAGAAGGCATTGTGTTGGGCACTGTTTACTTGTCTATGTCACCAACAGGGTGGCATGCTTCCTGAGGGCTGTGACAGTGACTATTTCACAATTTCATATGCCAGTAACTAGTACTACTCTTGGGTTAGGGTAGATTCTCAAAAATATTGTAGATTCTCAAAATATATGTATTTATGTTGTTAAAAGAAAAACTTTAGCTGAATTAAATTTCAGAGTTTAATTGAGCAAAGAGCCAATTAAATCCGGTAGTTTCCTGAGCCAGAGTAGGCTCCAAGACTCCAGCGCAGCTACGTGGTGAAGACTTATGGGCAGAAAAAGGAAAGTGATGAACAGAAAACGGAAGTGAGATACAGAAACCGCCGGTTTGGTTACAGCTCAGCGTTTGCCTTATGTAAACATGGTTTAAACAGTTGGCCACCTTTGATTGGCCAAAAACCCAGTGATTGGCACAAGAGTAGGCTACAGTCTCTTTACAGTTTTATCTAGGTTATAGTTCACAATGCACAGAGAAATCTTTAGGCTGAACTTAAAATATATAAGGAGGCAGCTTTAGGCTAAACTTGATTATTTAACAATGTATTGATTTGCTGGCTGGATGGATAGAAAGGTGGAAAGATAAGTTGGCAAGCTGGATTTCTGGTTCCATGTCTTGTGCTCTTCCTAGGGCACCTTGCTCTTGTGGGCTCAGAAACTATGTGTTCCTATGACAGACCTTCAGATACCCCTCAGGGAGCACTTGCTGTCCTCCATGGGTGCAGCACTTCCTGTCTGTGGCTACTCGGGTGTCTCTCTCTCATTTTTCCCTGCCAGACTCTCAACCCTTAAAGATTTTAGTCCTTCTCTTTAGGAAGACCAAAAATGAATGAGAGTGGCATGGATTTGAAGGATGAGATGACTGAAAGGAAGAGCTGACTGATTTGTTTAGATTGAGTAGTGCATTGAGGACACTGGTCCCCAGGTGTTGGTAAATAGAAGCCCCTTAAGCAGAGGAGCAGCAGGCTTTTCCTCCTCTTTCATTATGGTGATGATTATTATTTTTGTGGTTCCCATGGAAACAACCAGAGAGAGAGAACAAAAATGTCAGGGAGGTTAGAATGATGAGATGGCCCCCATATGCTTAAGAAGACTATGTGAGTCCATGTGTGCATCAGTGTGTATGTGTGTGTGTGTGTGCACTGCCTGCACGTTCTGCTCCAGCACACTGCTGGGTCAGGAGAAGTTGTGATGCTTATTCATGGCATTTGTTACAGTCAGTCTCAGCAAGGAGACAACTCTCAGCTTTTAGTGGTTAGGGAGTCTCTGTAGTGACAGCTCCATCATTGCAGGGAGAGGACAAACAGAGATGGAGACATTCCTCATGTGAGCCAGAGGAGTGTCAAAGAAGAAGACAGCTCAAAACTGGAGTTGCCGGCCTGCTCGGCGCTCCCCTCTTTTTGTCTGAGAGGGCTCACTCTGGGCACCTACTTTGTGGCTGCAGTGGGTACATTGAAGGCAGCTGTCTGCAGATCTGAGGATCCTTGAGCTCTTCATCTGCTGCTCACACTTTTACTTCTCCCCGCCTTTCTGATTCTTTGCCTAATTTGGGAGTGGGAAGAAAATCCAGCCTAGGGCTCTTCTCAGAATGGTCAGCCAGAGCATTAACATCTTGAGCACCGAGAGAGTTGCAGGAGCCCCTCCACAGGAACCCTTTCATCCACTGTCTCCGCCAAGGCTCTGCAGGGACTGGCGGCTACCTCTTCCGCATCATTTGTGGCCAGGATGTTCAGGAAGCACAAGGCTGTAAGTGGTGTCTTAACCACAGAAGGCATAGAGAGAAACAGACTTGAAAGCCCTGAACTGAGAGGGAATTCATTCTGATTGAGAGGAGAACACAGAAGACCAGAACTAAAGAAGACATTGGGACAAAGGCAGCTGCTGTCCATTTCAGGCTGAGTTTTCTCTTCAGTAGTCGGCATGCATGTCCAAAAAGCTCAGGACTCCATCCCCCAGCCATCCTTGTGTCTAGGCGTGGTTGTCACCCACATGGTTATGTGTGCTACTTCCAGACTTTCCACCAGCTGTGTATCATCATGCAGCGTGATCCTAGAAGACACGTATTAGAAAGGGAGGAAACTCCATTAACCTGGGGTGCTTCAAAACTGCCCAGAGCAGATTTGGCTCTGGCCGTAGCCCTGCCTAATGACCAGGAACACCCACACTGTACTCTACCTGGGCCAAAAAGACTCTTCTCGTGTGTCAGCTGCGGACACTTTGGAGTTGATTAGTTCCAGTACTGACTACTGCCCTAACTGCTGCAGCATCCCGCTGTGGGAGGAAGCAGGATGTCATTTCTATCCCAACCCCTCTGCCCCCAGGCCCCATGATCTGCCACAGCTCCTCTCTGACAGAGTGCAGTCAAGCCTCAGTGACAGATTCTGTCTCCTAGGCCACTCTTCTTTTCCTTCAACACCATTCCATTGACTTTCTCTCCCCATACTTTTTAGTCTTTTTTCCCCCCTTGAATGATTTTCTTCTTTATCTTTCTGACCAGCGACCTTTGATTGCAAGGAGCAACTCAGTTTCACATTACTAGAGTAACAGAGTGTGTTGTAATTGGCCGGGCATTGGTCTTGAAATGTCAGGGAAAGATTTATTTCCTAGTGCAACCTCTCTGGGTGCTAATTTTGCTATAGGCTGCAGGATAATGGTTCCCGCTCACAATGGGCGAGAGTTCCTAATCAGAATACAGGGCTGTAATTGGGTTGAAGGGATTTTAAATCATTAAAGTTGCATTTAGAATGGGGAATAGAAATAGAACCCCAAGATTGAATGACTCACTTAGTATTTAATGAGGGAGCCATGGAGTATTACTTATAATATTCGCCTAATGATCTTACAAGCAATGTAACTCCCCCCGCCCTCTAGGGCCTATTCACAAGGCACAATTCTGCAGTCTCAGACCCACCACTCTGGAGCAATTAATTACTGACCCATCAAGGAGCAATCAGGCTCCGCTCGGCCAGCAGAAGCGCTGATTTCTTCCCCCAGTGTCTCCTCACTCTTCATCTTCCTGCCTGCCTTGGTCTAGGGCCTGCGGGGAGGGGAGTCGACATTTACAAGCCATAAATCATCATGCAGTTTTTGGAAAACCCAGCTCACTATGAGAGGAACAGGGTGACCAAGGGTACCTGTGGAGAGTCTGAGAGGAGAAGGCATCAGAAGGAGGCTATGCTGGCCCTGGGAGTGTACAGTCTACAGGTTTCAGAGGATGTTCTCTGGTGCTGCAGACACTAAGTGTCTAGCACATAGTAGGCACTAAATAAATTGCAGCTTCCCATGATATGACTATGACCAAGGGTTACTAACCCAGCTGAATAGATTTGTTTCAGGTGGCGTGAAGCTCCAGCAGTTATTTTGGACTTAATCTCTAGGTAGATCTGTAAGACCAATGTTCCTGTAAATGGAATTCCTGAGAATTTAGGTTACAGAGAGGCTGCTTAAGACATATGTACCCCTTCCTTCTGCAGGTTCAGAAACAGCTCAGCTCTCTAGAGAGAGCACGCAAGTGTTGTGTGTGTGGTGGTCGTGTCATTGCTAATGGTCCTTCCTAAAGGGAACACACATTTGGGAGTGTGATTGACCTGGTCGAGTGGCACTGGAACCACAGCAGGTCACTGATCCTGAGTTAGCCTCACTTGGCTGTTGGTGCCACGTCGGCCAGGATGCTGGGGACACTCAGTCTGTGTTGCACTGGAGGCCAGGATGCTCCTGGGTGCTGATGGCTCACTGTTCTAAATCTCATCAGGGAATGTCACTTGTCCGTCCTGTGTCAGGCCTCAGAAAGACGACTTCCATCTCTTCTAGTATTTCAAGTAAAACAAAGTCTATGGGTTTCTTTGGTGATACCTCAGTTGTAACTTCTATTGTGTTGACATAACAACTGAGATATCATAATGAGTAAATAACACTGATATGACCTCCTAGGTCAGGCTGGCCTGGGAAAAAGCTTTCTATTTGAGAATGTCTTGAACATAGAGCCTGGAAGGTAGTAGAGACTTCGTGAACACTCGTGAACTTCTGATGAAAGGGCTTCTCCTCAAATACTTGGATCTGATAGCTTCATGCAGGTCATTGTGATGAGGACCTTTTCCATAAAGGAGCCAGAGGGAAAAGGGTTCCGGCATTGGTTGAGTTCCTCCCACTTGGGCAGATGGTAGGCTGCTCATCACACTAAAGTGGACTCATCCGTGATGCCCGTTTTGCAATTGAGGCAAACTTTACCCTTGGGAATAAACTAAAATATTCTACCAGTTCTGCTTTTGCCCAATTAAGGCAAAGAAAGATTCGTGGCAAGTATTTTGCTGTAACAGGTATTGTTATGAATATCCATTGATCCTGCTAGAAATAAATCTGTCATGATGTGGAAAGTTAAAACAGCTAGGATATTCTTTAATTATGAGGTGTTGACTGATTTAAATTTAGTAACTGTTAAAATATCAGTAGTTATATCATTAGTTTACCAAAAATTAAAAGTGATAATGCCTGCTTCATACAAATCAGAGCCAAACAGTGTAACTTTGTGCATGAAAGAACATGCTGTGCTTGATGTAATTAGTATATTCCCCCAAAATTGTGACTCATGATAAATCTAATAATATCTTAAATGCAAAAAAGGTAGTCCAATATTTTAAAGAATCCCATAGAGAATCTTTTGTGTGAAGAGCCTTTGGCGTTGCGGCCATCTCCATTAATTCATCTATTCTGAAACTTCTGGGGTCTGTGCTTTTCCTATAAAGAAGGCCACCTCTGTGCATGCTTCATGGGTGGCAGCTGTCTCCTACCCACGTGCTTGAATGACGAGACTAATGCTCTAGACCACGCACCTCAGTTGCCTGCAGATAGTGTCCCTGTCCCGATCTAATGCCAATGTCTTAGCTTTGCCTTTTCAGTCTTCTATTTCAACTCCAGGCAAGTCTGGCTACTAGCCCATAAAGTGCCTTTTAAGAAGTGGGAAACTTGCCCCCGTAGGCAAATATAGCCCCACAAGTACAAGGCGTGGTGAACTTGTAGCATCTCTATGTGAATTCCGTCAGGAGATGTAGCCCCAACCTGGGGTTGATAGCTTAACAAGCAAATAGTACCTGGACTTCAGCCTCACATGCTTCCTTGGCCAGGCACCCTTGTGCAGTGAACAACCTGCACAACCTGTATACAGCAGCCCTGCAGCTTGGACTGTTTTGATCACAACCAGAGCAATGTCCAAATAATCTGCCAAATATTTGTGCAAACATTATGTTCATGTTTAATCGGGAGCGATAGTTTTGTCTTCTTTATAAAAGGAGCAAATCCCCAGAAGCTGGTCAGGAGCACCAGCTGTTTACTGCCTGCAGAAGCCGCTGCTTATCTCCTTGTAACCACCTGCCTCTTAGAGATCATGTCTTAATTAACTCAGTGTTATCAAAACTGAAATTGTAGCAACACCTGTAACATCAAATTGTAAATGAGAGATAAAGGGGGAAAAACTCTGCTGACCAAGAAAGGGAGCTTGGAAACTCTCTCTTGAGCTGTAGGTAGTTGGCTCCAGGTTGATTGGTGGCAGTCTGCTGAGAATTAGAATCAGAGACTCATACATTATTCCATTTGGAAAGTGTCTTGGAGGTCTTCTAATCCAGTGGTGGTCAAATATTTTTTATCTCATGACACACAACTTATTCTTCTGATGTTCAATATATGCTGATATTTTCTATTTTATCTTATTTATTTCATTTTAAAAACTCACGGATAAAAATCATTCCATTGATTTCATGACCCACTACAGATTCACAACACAAAAAAACTGGAAAACAGTGATGTAGTCTAATTTCTAAAATCTAAAGGACTGAGGGACAAAGAGGTGAAGTGACTTGCCCCGGGTAGGTTATCAGTGGGTATTGTTCTTAAACCCAGGTCTATAGACTCCCTCCCAGTGGTTCTGTTCCCTGAAATCTACTAAATTCTGCCACTGCAGGACAGCTCCGAGAAGAAAAGCAAGTCTTAACTTAAGAAACAGGTCTTCTTGGGACCCTGCTACTTTCCGGATAACAAGCCTGAGTACCTACATAATACAAAATGTACCCTTTGAGGAGAAGGTCAGGTGCTTTCTCACATAAAAAGCATTGTAACAACTGGTGGTTTGAACGCCTCACTGCATTCCCATGCTGAAACAGTAGGGGCGCCATGCCTCCTAGTCTTGGTGAGCCTCCTTAAAACCTTAACACCCTGTGCTCTACCCCATCCTTTTCTTCCTCTTTCATTTCCTTCCCCCACTTTGCACCATTGAGATCCCTTTCTACTCACCACCCCCTAAACTTCTCCTTTGAGACACTGGACTAAAATCGTGAACAAAATAGGCATTCTCACAGAAACAGTAATTCCAAATTAAAACAAAAACAAAAGCAGTAACTTATTACACTATGAGAGACCTTTTTACATTTCTCTGCCTATATTTGCATGTTTTTAACATATTGAAAGAAGTTTTCCAAATGAAAGCTGTCTGATTGGTAACCACACCCATGTGTCCCATGGCAGTCACTCGTGGGAGCAATCTTGGGATCTAAACAGAGTTTGTTTAGTATCTTTGTGTGGTATTGATCAGCATCATTGATAAAGTATGCACTGGATGTTGTTTTCCCAGATCAGGGATTGATTTGGAAGATGGTTAGCCAGCACCACTATGATCTGACTGTGGGCAGGCGGATCATCACACTGGGGGGACACATAGGCCCAAAGAGGATCCAGCAGATTGAATTTGCATTATGCAAGCCCCCTTTGAGTTTCACCCACTAGCACATGCTTCTGTGACAGTTGAATTACCAGCTATAGAACTGGGGTGGCAGGAAGCAGGCCATCTCCATTAGCTTCTTTTGAATCCATTTCTTCATTTCCTTTGGCCCTGGGCATGTGGGCACAAACTTACTCGAATGGCCATATTCACAGAAGCACAACTTTCTACAGCAAGGTATTATCAGCTGTTGCTGTCTTCGGAAAGGCTTTATTGTCTCCTAGCTAAGGGAATCCCTCCTTTCCTTCCAGGGTTCACTACCAGCGCCCCACCCCCACGCATACATATACAGACACTGAGCTGTGTTTTGATATGTGAGGTGGGCTATCAGCTGTGATTTAATGACGAGTATCACTGTCAGACTTTACAAAATGGAATTTCATCAGATGGTGAGGGAAGACTTCTGCATAGAAACTACAGAGGGAAATTTGACAGCTTTTTCCATTCAGTTATCAAAGCATTTGCAGTTCAAAGCAGGTGAAACAATAATGTAATCTTAGCACTGAATGCTCATTTGTATCTGAGTGTTTCAATAAATAAAATGGTCAGGGAAATGAAAGCAGACCTGTTGTCTCCAATCCACTAAATTTAATATCCAGGGTATTGACTGACAGCTTTTTATCACCATAATTAGTATGGATTGTTCCTGAGGCCATTGATCAATCTTTCCTACCTCTATGGACTTGAGTGGCTGTTTTCTTCCTCTCCTGCCCTCCCCACCCTTTATTTTAATATTGATCGTGCCAGTTGTGTTCCACCGCAGAGAGGCTGCTCACTTAGGCAAAAGAAAACTCAGGATGAAGAGAGATGGCTGAGCAGCAGCCATTTCTAGGTGGCATCCACCTGTGACATCACTCTACCTCATCTATGTTGACCTTGTAACTTGACCTCTTGGTACCAGTGACCTTCAGCTCCTCAATACGATAACCAGGCACACCGTCTTCCCCACTGGGTGGAAGTTACACAAAGACTAGCTACAGAAGCCGTGGTCAGGAAATATCTGTTGAATTCATGAATACCCCTTCTGTAATGTTGTCAAGCTAAATAAGGGAGTTTGGATAGACCAAGGAACACAACCTTGTGTGTGTGTGTGTGTGTGTGTGTGTGTATGTTTGAATGTATGTGAATATCTATGATGTAACCTGTTCCATATAATGCAGGCCAGAAACCTAAGACCTTCTTATTTCTCACCGAGCTCTTCCAATTTGATGTTGTCCTCTTCTCAGTCTGTCTATCACTAGGCGTATACGGTGTGTAGGTATACACCTCACTATCTCTTGCCTTAACTGTTGCCATAATTCACTATCTCATTTCCCTGCCTCCTGTCCTGCCTCACCTAACTCCAACCTTGCATCTTCAAATCTTCCACACAGAGGACAGGCAGGTTTTTGTAAAATATAAACTATTATAGTCCTTGACTGTTTCACATCTAAGATCCTTGTCATGGCACAAAAAGCTTTCTGTAACCTGATCTCTCCTCCCTACTTCTCAGCCCCATTTCCCACCATTCCTACAGGTCACACTGCTGGAAGGTAGAATTGCAATGGATCCGTTCAGTCATTGCCTGCTTCACGCCTCTAAGTCTTGGCTTATGTTCTGTATTTTGCCTGCAGTAGCCTTCACATTCTTTTTCTCCTTGGCCACTCTTTCTCATTCTTCAGGAATTCATTCAGATGGTATCCCTTTCAGGAAACATTACTTTAGCTCCCAAAGTATCCGAACTATGACTTTTTCTGTCTTCTGAGATTTTAATAGAATATATACATATACTTTTTTATGCATCTCTATCCTATACTAGAGAATAAACCTGAAGGGGACAGGGGCTACGTGGTTTTTCGTTCTGTCTCCAATGCAAGGCACAACTCCTGGCTCCTAGGATGTGTTTCTTGCACTGGAAAGAAGTATTCCTAAGAAGAGAGTCAGTGTGCCTGAAGAGCTGGGGCATACATTATGTCAAACTGGATCTGTCTTGGGACACACAACGTGCTGTGCCATATAACTGCACCACGAACAAAAGCGAGGTGGATCTCACTTATTCTCAGGGTGGTGAGAAGAGATGGGAAAATATCCCTTCTTCTTATAAGCAGGTAGCAAGGTATCTTTCTGACCTTAAAGAATTCAGGTGTTGTCAACTGGTTATTTTCCACAGTGTGGAAGAGTTTTGCTATCTATACACTGGAGTAGTTTTCTCATTGGTCTTCCTAATGGAATTTCCCTCTGCCCCACTTTGTAGTACAGATCACCCATTTGCATAACTTTTCGGAAGGATGCTTCCTGAGGGGAGAGATGCCATGCATTTCTGGGAGTGCCCCATGAGCCCACACTGACCTTAGACAGCCCCCTTGCTCCCAATCTGCAAGCTGTGTGGAGCCTGTCTTCCCTGTTCCTGGCACAGCAGCCTGCCCCAACAGTTACAGGTGCTCGCACACATCAAATGCCTCTTGTTGAGGCATTAAACCAAGTGCAACTTTTCCGAACTGAGCACAACAGAGCCAAATTGGACTGGAAAGGCCACAGGTTCCTCAGGGCCTCAGGGAGCCTGTGGCATCTACATTGCAAATTGGCCCCATAGAAAAGCAACTGATGCCAGGGCCGGCCTTCATTTCATCCCTACCATGCCTATTGTGGAACCGCAGGGGCAGATGTTTCTGGAGGTGACCGCCTGGGCGCACACAGGCGCAGGCAGCACCTCCTCCTCACCGGCCTCTCTCCAGGCTTATGTAAGACAGATTGGACAGACTGATACCAATTGGCACATCGTCCCTGCCAGATTGGAATCAGGCCCTTCTACCATCTTTGGGGTCCACGGTGGCTCCAAATAAAATGTACAGAAGGAATGTGATTCTTAGCTACAGCCAATTTTCCCTTTGCTATTGCGCTGGCATTTCTAATCTCGGGCATTTTGTTGCTGTGGAGCACACCACTACAAATACAGTCTCCAGCTTAGGAACGTTGAGATTTGCAATCATGTGAAAATGCCTTTTCGTATTCCTACAGTTTGTCTGGATAATTTATTTATTTTAATGTATTATTTAGTGCAAAACTATTAAGTGAGCTTCAGGTTATATTGTTACGTTGTTGCTAATTCAGTTACATATGGCTGGGGCAGGTGACAACAAGGAGGGAAGATACCTATGGCACCTGCTCTTTCCTTTCCTGAGATTTCTGCAGCTTCTGCATGTAGATACTTAACCCTAAAAGGGAAGGTAGTGTGCATATTTTGCCTCCTGGATTCGTGTCTCAACTGTACCACTGAGTGGCTGTGAATTTAGTCAAGACACTTAATTCTTCCGAGACTTAATTTCCTTACCTCTAAAGGTCTTCCCAGGCTGGAGGGTTAAATGACGTGGTGCAGATGAAAATGCAGAGCAAGGAGCCTGACACACAACAGAGGGTGGGCAAATGCCTGTCCTCTCCCTTGCTGTCCCTTCAAGTGGCCTTCATCAGCAGACCTAGGCATAGCACCTCTGAACTTCAAATAGTCTATTAGTAGCAGGACCACATTTGAAGTTATGCGTATGGTATACACCAACTTGTATGTGTGTTGTTTAGGAAGGTCATTCTACAGAGTATATCTGATGCAGACCGGGACTGTGTTTTTCGTTGTTGTTGTTCTATTCCCAGTTGTGCAAGGCACAACTCCTGGCACCTAGGATGTGTTTGTTGCACTAGAAAGAAGTAATCCTAAGAAGAGAATCTGTGTGCCTTAAGAGCTGGGGCATCTTTATGTCAAAGTGGATCTGTTATGGTGCATGCAACAGGCTGTGCCGCATGAGGCTATGTACCAAAATATTTACAGTAGAAATTTTTGAGTGATGAGATTATAGGATAATTTCCCTCCTTCCTTCCTTCCTCCCCTTCCTCCCTCCATTTTCCCCCGTCCCATCTTCTTTCCTTGCATCCTTCCTGTTCATGTATTTTTTTCGTAAAGTTTATATCTTATAAAGTAGTAAAAGATACAAAAATACCCTAGCTCTTTAAAAATTGATTTCAGCCAGGTGCAGTGACTCACATCTCTAATTCCAGCACTTTGGGAGGCCAAGGCAGGAGGATTGCTTGAGCCCAGGATTCCGAGACCAGCCTGGGAAACATAGTGGGACCCCCCCCCACCAAAAATAATAATAACTAATAGTAATAATCATAATAATAATAATGGGTGTGGTAGTGCATGCTTTTAGTCCCAGCTACTCAGGAGGACAAAGAGGGAGGATTGTATGAGACCGGCCTGGGCAACATAGTGGGACCCCATTTCTACAAAAAGAAAAGAAAAAAAATAAATTATCTGAGCATGGTGGTACATGCCTGTAGTTCCAGCTACCTAGGAGGCTGAGGCAGGAAGATCACTTGAGCCTGAGAGGTCAAGGCTGCAGTGAGCTGTGATTGTGGCACTGTAATTACTGTAATTACTCCAGCCTGAGTAACACAGGGAGATCCTCTCTCTCTCTCCATATATACATATGTATATATATATATATATATATATATATATATATATATATATATATATATATATATTTCATGGGAAGCCAAATGAGGAGGGCAACATTTGAGTCAAACAAGGAAGCCCATCTCTGATGAGCTTTCACAATGTCCTCCTTCTTTCACCGTGAGGAGACCTCAGGTTCACTGTGTCAGCTCACCCTATCTGACCCACATCCCCATCACTTTCCTCCCAGTGGGTGGAAGGATTCACCCAAAGCTCCAACACGCACAGCTGAAGGAGCACGAGTTGAGACCTGAAGTCTGAACATGGCTTAAGATGGAACGCCGTTTCCTGAAACCATGCCCCGTATCTCCAGATGAATAAACTTGGAACATAGAAAATTCCCAAGGGTGTGGAACACTGGTAGGTTCAGAATAAATAAATATGTCTGCTTATTAATATAGTAGTACTGTTAGCTCAGAAAACTGTAGAAAAGAGAGCTATTAAAATTCAATGATTGGGAGAGAAACATGAGAAGAGAAATCAAAAGAAAGGGAAGAGGAGCATAGTAAAGAGGCCCATTAGGAAGTGGAGAAAGAAAGAAGAGGTGGGAGAAAGGAACCAGAGGAAGACCACGGTAAGCAGGAGGAATGGAGAAAACAGTGGGAAGAGACAAAACCCCAGCAGGCAGCAGAGAAGCGTTGATCCTGTTTCCAGGGTCAGTATGAGACTTAGGCACTGCAGCAGCCAGACCACGTGACTAATTGTCCTTAATTGTCATGAGTTGACTCTCCAGGCTGGGGGTCCCAGGCACTTTTCTCAGATTGGTTGGCTGACACTGCAGGCTTCTGTCATCATGCAGCCTTGCTGTCTGCTTCATGCTGGCAGACATTGGCTTGAGGTCCACCTTCACTCTAACCATCTTCTCCGTTTTAACCTAAAGATTGTTTCCATATCGAGAAAGAGGGGATGTTCTAGATGGCACCTGTGCATGTGTGGGAGGGAGGCAGAGATAGAGAACCTTGTAACTCCCTCCACCAGCCTGCCAAGTCCCTGCTGTAATCCCAGGCCCAGCTCAGCAAGGGAAGCTTAAACCTAAGTCAATTTGAGGGTGGCCTGGGATCATGGGCTCCGTGGCAACCAGGGTGGATATTGGTCTGTAATAAGTCAGTGAAATAGTGAGGTTCAATTACTTACATGTTCCCTGAAGCTGAAACAATTGCCATTATCCCACATAATATTGCTTGACCTACATTTTTACTTGAAAGCCTTCAGCTAACAATTAGTTTGAATGTTGAGTTATAAATGAACACATTCATATTCCAGAAATGAAAAGGGAAAGGGGAGTGATACCAACACGGCTCCCTCTCTTCCCGCCCTCTCTTTCCTTTGCCTTTTGTATGATATTTCAACTTAGCTTTTCCAAGATGGAAGTCATTGGAGAGTTTGTCTAAAGGGGGACCATTCAGAGGTAATGAGACAACTGGGCTTTATCTGGGAAAGGGGCAGCTTGGTCGGTGCCAAGGAGATTTGAGCCATCTGGATTAAAATGGTCAAACTCTCCGCAGGAAGCAATTAAGCAGCTCCATGTGGAGAAGCCACGTGACCACGCCAAAGGAGCTGCCAAGAACAGGAGATTAGTAAACAAAGTACCCAGCAGGAGGTGTCCAGGTTGGTCACTGCTCTGGCCACTTGGCATTTGCACAGCTTCCTCTGTCTTTGGCATCCCATCTGTCTGTACCCACAGCCTACCTATAAGCTATCTGCAGAGTTTAAACAAACTCAGGCAGAACTGAGTTTATTTAAAATGTTAAAAGTCCAGGGCTCGGGTGATCGTGATGATACATCTTAGACTCACACAGCATCCCTTCCCAGGTGTTCTGGCAATGCCTCGGATGTCTTTGATGACTCTTCGCTGCCTGTGAAAAGCCCAGAGGTGTACTGCCATTGAGCTGCGATGTTTAATTCCCTGAGCGTGATCATTTAGCCATAGATAGTCACAACTGGGTTAGGAAGCATGTACCTAGATTATTTTAGTGATTATTTTAGTGCCGGTCTTTGTGAAAGCTTGAGAAAAAGCTGAGTTCTCCTTTCACTCTAAGAATCTTTTTGTTTAAAAAAAAATCCATAAAAGGCATGTAAAACTCCCAGACATATGCCTTTTTTCATTCAGTGTACATTTATTAGCCAGGCACTGTATTAGCCCTTGTGGTTAGAATAGAGACCCGTTCTCATGGATGTTACCCCTGGCCAAAAGAAAGACGCAGAGGCATTGGGACTGTCAGCTACTCCCTACATAGAGTCCTCTTCTGATTTCCAGTCAAGTCAGTTTCACACAACACAAAACTAACTTTTCTCAAGGATTTGTAACATCTTGAAGTTTTCATGTGACCTGCAATGGGCTAATGTAGAATGGTAGTTCAAGTAAAAGATTTATCCTTTTTTTTTTTTTTTTTTTTTTTTTTTTTGAGACAGGGTTTCAGTCTGTTGCCTAGGCTGGAGTACAGTGGTATGGTCAGAACCCACTGCAGCCTCAACTCCCCAAGCTCAAGAGATCCTCCCTCCTCAGCCTCCTGAGTAGCTAGAAGTAGAGGTGCACCACTATGCCTGGCTAATCTTTTTTTTTCCTTTATTTAAAAAAATTTTTTTTGTAAAGACAGTGTTTCACTTTGTTACCCAGGCTGGTCTCAAACTCCTAGGGTCAAGTGATCCCCCTGCCTTGGTCTCCAAAAGTGCTCAGATTACTGACATGAGCCACTGTGCCTGACTTTTACTTTTTTTGAATGAGTTAACGGCAGCTTACTGTGCAGCAATGTATCATGGGAACAATCTATGATATGTTCTCATTGTTCCTAATGTTCTTGACTTCCATGACACATAACTCCCTAGTTTTCTTTGTCCAGCTTTTCTAAGCTCTGCATGGTGCACTACACCATCTTGAATGTTGTCATGCTAAAGACTTCATCCTATGTCTTCTGTACCCTGTCTGCATGTACACACCTGGAATCTCTTTCATAAATTGATATCTTTGCTCCAACATCTCCACTGAGTTCCTGACTTATAGGTATAGTGATCTGATAGAAAGTCCCACACAAACATATAATGATCATTTTGTTTTACTCAAACCTTGTTAATGATGCCTACTCCTTCTCAATAAAGGACACCACCTTCCACGTTGTTGCTCACACCAAAATGCCGCATACAAACTTTATCCCTCCTTTATCTTTCCTCCCCATCTCGTAATATCCATTGTTTCTAATCGATTCACACATTTTGTTGAGTGAACTTCCAAAATATATCCCCACTTCATACCTTTACCTCTATTTCAACAGGCTTTAGTTTAATCCGCTGTCATCAAAACGACAATAGCTGCATGAGCCTCCTAGCTGACCTCTTTGTTATCTTGACTTTCCCTTGATACTCTGTTCTCCAAAAGAAAGGCAAAAACATATTTTTAAGGAATGAAATAGTGCCATTTGTAGCAACCTGGATGGAATTGGAGGCCATTATTTTAAGTGAAGTAACTCAGGAGCGGAAAAACAGACATCATATGTTCTCACTCATAAGTGGGAGCTAAACTCTGAGGACGCAAAGGCATAAGAATGATACAATGGACTCTGGGGACTTGGGAGGAAGGGTGGCGGGGCGAGGAACAAAAGACTACACATTGCATGCAGTGTACACTGTTCGGGTGATTGGTGCACCAAAATCTCAGAAATCACCACTAAAGAACGTATCCATGAAACCGAATGTCACCTGTCCCCGAAAAACCTATTGAAATAAAAAATTTAAAAAAAATTCAAATATTTTTATTATTATTATACTTTAAGTTCTGGGGTACATATGCAGGATGTGCAGGTTTTTTACATAGGTATACATGTGCCATTGTGGTTTGCTGCACCCATCAACTCATCATCTACGTTAGATATTTCTCCTAATGCCATCCTTACCCCCACTCACCAGCCCCTGACAGGCCCCAGTGTGTGATGTTCCCCTCCTTGTGTCCATGTGTTCTCATTGTTCAACTCCCACTTATGAGTGAGAACATGCAGTGTTTGGTTTTCTGTTCTTCTGTTAGTTTGCTGAGAATGATGGTTTCCAGCTTCATCCATATTTCTCCAAAGGACATGAACTCATCCTTTTTTATGGCTGCATAGTGTTCCATGGTGAATATGTGCCACATTTTCTTTATCCAGTCTATCATTGATGGGTATTTGGGTTAGTTCCAAGTCTTTGCTATTGTGAACAGTGCTGCAATAAACATACGTGTGCATGTGTCTTTATAGTAGAATGATTTATCTTTTAGTTATATACCCAGTAATGGGATTGCTGGGTCAAATGGTATTTCTAGTTCTAGATCCTTGAGGAATTGCCACACTGTCTTCCACAATCAATGAACTAATTTACACTCCCACCAACAGTGTAAAAGCATTCCCATTTCTCTACATCCTCTCCCTCACCCCTTCCACCATGTGAGGACACAGCGAGAATGTGCCATCCATAAACCGGGCAGTGGGGCCCAACCAGACCCTGAATCTGCCAGCACCTTAATCTTGGATGTCCTAGCCTCCAGGACAATGATAAATAAATTTCTGTTGTTTATAAGGAAAAAAATTAAATATTTTTAAAACATGAATCTTCTATTATATTGCTCCCCTGCTTAGAACCTTTCATACTTAAAATCCAGTCTACTTATCAAGGTGTCAAGACCTACACGAGTTAGCCCCTACTTTCCCCTCACCTCCATGTCCACTGTGTCCCACTGGGCCTCTTGGCCAGCCATGCTGCTCTCCTCTCGGCTCCGGGACGCCACATTTTCTCCTCTCTCAGCACACTGAGTGTGCACAGCATTGTGTACTGTACCCAATGTGTAGTCTTTTATCCCTCACCTCCCTCCCACTCTTTCTTCCAAATCCCAAAGTCCATTGTATCATTCTTGTGCCTTTGGCATCCTCATAGCTTAGTTCCCACTTATGAGTGAGGACATAAGATGTTTGGGTTTCCATTCCTGACTTACAATTTGCCTGGTTCTCCCCTCTTCTGTCCCCCAGTCCTCCACCTGACAGGCTCCTGCTTACCATTTGGGTTTCAGGACAAATGTTACCTCCTCAAAATGGACTTCCTTAAAGACATAACAACCTTTCACTTGGGCTCAACTCTAGCCCAATGCCCTGTGTGTTGTCTTCGGAGAACTTACTGCTCTCTGCAATAAACTTGCATCTTTTTTCTTCCTGTTTCTCTTCTGAGTAGTGCATAGGCTCCAGGAGGGGAGGGCCTATGCCCTGTCTTTTGTGTGCTATACCCCAGTGGCTAGAACTTTGCTTGGTGCAGATTTGATGCTCAAAAAGTATTTGCTGAACAAATGAATGAATGATTACATAAGTGAATAATGCACTCTTCTTTCCATAATTTTGGTTTTCCTGGCACCAAAACACTTAGGAAATAATATGGTCTTCAAAGTTTCTGCATGTCTTATCTCTGCCAAGGACAGTTGCCTCTCCGGAGAACTGAATTGTCGACATATGGCTGAAGTGTGATCCAGTGGACTGGAGGTATGCACTGAGTATATTCCTAATATCACGTTGCCCTGTGGCATGGGGCTTAATGCCTTTCCATTTTTGGCTGAAGGGCTTCACTGCAAATGCTTTCAATCATATCCATGTTTGGTTGAAATTTTATGGCAAAAGATAACTTAGAGACAAGGATTTTTATTTGAAAATTACATTAAAATATACTGTTATTTCTAAATATATGTTCAAAATTTCAATGAATCAACACAGAGTTTTTATTGAACTTCTCTATTCACATAGCATATGAATTCTCACTTTCTGTCACAAGAGAAGTAAAACTTAGGCCAAGCATGGTGGCTGATGCCTGTAATTCCAACACTTTGTGAGGCTGAGGTGGGAGGATCACTTGAGCTCAGATGTTCGAGACCAGCCTGGGCAACATAGAGAGACCTCATCTCTACTAAAAATAAAATTTAAAAAATTTTAAAAAATATTTTTATAATAAAAATAAAAGGCATGGTGATGTGTGCACCTGCAGTCCCAGCTACTTTAGAGTCTAAGGCAAGAGGATTGAAACCAGGAGGTCAGAGCTACAATGAGCCATGATTGTGCCACTGCACACAAGCCTGGGTGACACAGCAAGGCCCTATCTCAAAAAAAAAAAAAAAAAAAAAAAAAAAAAAAAAAAAAAAAAAAAAAAGAGACAGAGAGAAAGAAAACTATGGTCCAAAGTTTAATCCCTGTTTAAAACAGAACGGGCTAGTCTCCTTGGTAGCAATGCATGTGGCAGGAAGTCCCCAGAAATTTATGTGCATGCCTATGTGTGTGTACGTTTGTGTTGTGTGTGTATTTATATATGTGCACATATATAAATATATGTATTTTTTATATATACATATATATTTTTTCTTGATTCCTTGACTTTTTAATCTCCTTTCTCTCTATGTTTAAAAGTTTTAGAAAACAAAAACAAAACAAGCCTTCCAGTCAAAAAATTTTCAGCACAAGATAAGTGAACAGAAGGGATCTATCATCCTGAACTGTTTTTCATAAGCCTTCATACAGCTTTAATGCAACACAGAGGTTTGGACACAAGGGTAAGCATCAGGCATCGAGGAGCTCAAATTCCAATTCGTGATGCTGCAGTCCTCTGCAGTCCTAAGCAAGCCAGTATGGCTGCTCAGTGTCACAGTATGCCCTGTGTAAGATAGGGATTGTTTTAGGAAGATCAGTGAAAGTTTAAGAACTGACCTCCTGAAAACAGTTGTAGATTCCTCAGACATCAAAGTCAGCTAAAGAAAAATAAGTGCTAGGCTTCAGATTCATCGCACCAAATGACTTCCTATCTAAATTCTACAATAGGTAAAATAGAATACGTTTCTTCTAACCAATCAACACCACTTGGAAGCTGGATCTGTCTCCATAATCCTGGTTAGTAATAAAGATGCTTCACCACTAGTTTGAATTTTCTGGCGAGGTTGTCAGTGATTCGTGCTTGAGGCAGAAGGAAACCAGTTTGATTCTCGCATAGGCGTTTGGCAAAGGAAGAGAGAAACTTTGCTTTTCTCAACAGAGGCTAGAAATGACTCAGACTACAAATAGCTGCTCTGCCATACAACAAAAGGTCATCCCTCCCTCTCATTTTTCCTTTCCCATTTGTCCTGAATGAAGGCCAAGCTATATTTCCCCATCTCTCTCTTCTCATCTCAAAATGCATAGCCTTCTTTATGTGGTGCATTCTAGTTCGGATTGGTGTGTGACCCAGGCTAAGACAGTGTTATGCAGATTGGAGCATCTTAAACAGACCACAATTGAATCAGTCTTGCCACCATTTGTCCTGTCCACTATAAGGCATTGAATGGTAAATGAAAGAAACTAGTGTCTTTTATTCAGCCTAGTTCTCTTCTTGCACACATGTTTCACAGAAGGGTACAGCTCAACTCTTAGGGGAAAAATTTCTAAGGAAGAAAGAAAAAAATGAAGAAAGACATTTTCAGAAACCATTCCCTTAGTAAATAATGAGAAGTCTTAGAGAATCTCTTGTGTTTCTCTGATTTGATAGAGAATGATGTTTCAGCTTTGGTATGGGAATGACTGGTGGAGTCAACAGCAAGAAAACGAGACTCCCAGTGGGAGGGTGTGTACTGCCAAGTACTATGTAGGCAACACTGAATGCAGCCAAGAGGCGGCCTTCCACTAGAGAAGGCATCCCGCTCTCTAATCATGACGTCCCCCCGGGCTCTCAGAGGGCAAAACTTGGACCGAATGCTGTTTTGGTCTAACACACATTTTCTGGGACTGCACACTTACACACACACACACACACACACACACACACACACACACACATTACATGGCAAGTCTTCTGGATTAGCAGGAGAGGCTGCTGATCAAATGCACCCCTGGGCTTCTATTCAGATTAGCTTTGAATGAAAACAACACCAACTCTGTTTTCTTATTTTAAAGATCACAGAGATAATCTTCCTTGGTCACAGTTGGGGAAACAGCCAGAGGGGGTCTTGTTACCTCCAGAAAAGCCGTGGAAGATATCTGAATTCCTGCTGGGCCTATTGGACCATCTTTTATGTTTTTAGACAGAAAGAATCTACCCCAGTGAGATTCTGAAAGCAGCTCCTCCCAGTCATCCTCTCCTAGGTATTGTTTATAGCTGGGCCCGTCCCTCAAAGTGTTTATTTTTCCGTACATGCATACATCATGCACACTACCTGATTGCTTTGATCAGGTTAAGGATGGGAGCAGGCTCTACTTGCGAGTCTTGTGGCACTTCCATGCAGCCCGTGCCCAGTCTCAGCGAGGCACTTCTCCTGGGTGGTTGGTAAGATATTCAACTAGAGACTTGCTTCTTAAATAATGTTGGAATCATATCCACGGTTGTAATGAACGCCTCTGTGATTTGCATTTAAATAGTATTTTCATCCAGAGATCACAAAGAGGAAAGCTATCTTAACATCCTGACTCTAATTCTCTGTATCTGAAAGCCAGTCTGTGTGCACCACGTACACATTTTCCCTCTAGGTCTCTTTCAGATCTGTGTACCCTACTGATCAAAACAAGCGTTTGCTTGCATTAGGATGGAAGACCCCGACAGCTCTGGCATGCACTGGATTCTCTCGCCGCACCCGCTTCATCAACCTGGATCCCCATGAGCTCTGATTGAAATGCCTCCACCACTGGCTGGGATGTGAGAGGCACTCCCAGATGGTGTGCTCAGTGCCAGGCAGTTAACACAATCATTTCTTGGGTTGTCAATGAAGCCAATTGGATCTGGAAATGATTGAGAGGCAGTAAATATAGACCCCCAAAGTCACCTTAGCAGTCTCTTTCCAGAGTACAGTTGTGCTTCGAAGGACTCCATGCAATCCTAAGGCTCACTTTCCAAGCCCTGGGAGGACTAGAGAGACAAAGGGCTGGCTGGGCTCAGAGACAGGAAAGGGCACAGAAGTCAACATCAGGCCCTAGCTTTCAGCCCCACTGATGGCTGCTCCATGCTGATTCCTCAGTTTACCCATGCTGCGGCTCTTTCCACCTGACTCCAGGCTTTTTGTTTCTTTTCATGTCATTCTTCATCATCTTGTGGAAGGATGTTTTTTCATATTGTACAGTTGAACTTATTTCATCATCAACAAATTTTTCTCTTTCCCATGGATTCTTTAAAAGGCGTCTTTTGAAGATTTATTTCTATTCGGATGCAAGCTTTTGTTTAAAAAAATAAAAGAGATGTAAATATGGAATGTTATTGAAAAGATCTTATCTTGCTTTTGACATGACATCTAAAAATGTGTTTAAAATAAAGAGCAAGTGTTGTTCAAGGCATGTATCAAGGCAGTTGGCTTCCTGCAGTGAGAGCTGGGTAGTACTTCGAACACTTTTCTGCCCCTATGAAAGCCTCTCACAGGTTAGGCCCCTGCGACCCAGTGTCCTCCTCCTTAAATGTCCCTTTCTGATCAGCCACGAGAGGGCAATGCAGGGCACTTGGTTGGCTGCCTTGGTTGGATTGCAGTTGGCAAGTTACTTTCAGTGAGGGAAGCTACTCAGACTATGACAGTAATTATATCAGTCTCATAAAAACCCTGCTCTCCCCAACTTGCTGCTGCCCTTTTTCCTTTGCTGCCTGCCTTCCTTCCTTTCCCATACCCCTGGCCATTGGCTTTGTATTTGCAGATAACTCACTCATGATCCTATAAGGCAGAGAAGAGTATGTGAAATTAATGTTTGCATTTTAAACTCCGAACTAGAATAATAGGTTGTTTCTAGGGGGAAGGATCTTGGAGATCATCAAGTTTAGCCTCTTTAAGATGAGGAAACCTAAATTGGGAAAGGTGGCCTGACTGGTTCCAGGTCACACAGTATCACGGGTAGGCTCCAGGGGCATAGACATTCTACAAATGCCTACATTTTCTTTATCCAGTCATCTGTTGTTGGACAGTTAGGTTGCTTCCATATCTTAGCTATTGTGACTAATGCTGCAGTGAACATGGGAGTGAGGACAATCCTTTGGGATAGTGATTTCATTTTCTTTGGATATATACCCACAAGTGGGATTGCTAGATCCCATGGTAACATTTTCGGCAACATGGATGAATGGGGAGGGCTTCAGGCTAAGTGAAATAAGTCAGACGTAGAAAGACAAACACTGCATGATCTCACTTATATGTTGATCTAGAAAAATCCAACTCATAAAAGCAGAGTAGACTAGTGGTTGCCTAGGGTGGGTGGAGTGGGAGAGAATGGGGAGATGCTGGTGAACGGGTACAAAGTTTCAGTTACGTAGGGTAATTCTGGAGATCTAACGAACAGCTTGGTGACTGCAGTTAACAGTACTGGATAGTATACTTGAAGTATATTGAGAGTGGATCTTAAGTATCCTCACCACAAAGGAAAGAAAAGAAAAAGAAAATGGTGAGGAGGCGAGGTGATAGACATGTTAATTAGCCTGGTTGCAGTGATCATTTCACAATGTATATGAATGGGAAAACATGAGATTGCACAACTTAAATATATACAAGTTTTATTTGTCAATTATTCCCCAAGAAAGCTGAAGAAAAGAAATACAATAAGATTAGGGCCGAAAACAAAGGAAAGGTAGACATAGGTAACATTTTCCTGTCAGGAACACACAAACTTCCAGAGGAATTTGGGAAAGAGGAGATGACTCTGTGGGAGGAGGCTCAGCCGTAGTCTGGATGGTGATGCTCTGTTCTACGCACAGTAGCCTCGGTATTCAGCCAGGGACCCAGGAGCTATTGAATAAGCCATGACTCAGTGTTTCTGTGACCACTTGCCCTTGTCTTTCTAATGTTTGCTTAATTTACAAAATGATGATGTTGCGTTCCTCTCCCTTCATTGATTATCACTCAAACCTTGTAGGAGCCTTTACCTGCAAATCATTCACACACTATGTGGCAAGGGCTGGTGAGCCCTGCTCTTTCATCAGCTCTCAACCTGGGAAGATCCTTTCTCTATTGGGGCAAATAAGCAAAACAACCTAAAAATGCCTTTACACAGGCTCATCCTCCTCCTTGTAATGCTCTTTGCCCCATTCATCCATTGGTTGACTGCTATAGCTTCTTCTAAACTCAGCTCAGGTGTGGCCTTCTCTGCGTCTCTCTGAGCATTTCTCCTTTCTCCCAGTTCCCTGGATTAGGCACCGTATCAGTCAGAAACCACTCTAGGTATAACAGTAGTTGGACTTGGTTGCACATGTGATGCAAGGGCTGAGAAGCCTACCAGGAGAGGGTGAGGCAACCAAGGGAGTAAACAATGGTGGACTTGACTACCCTATTCCCACTTCCACACACTCCATAGGGCTGGAGGGACACAGGGTGAGAAACTGCTTTTAAGTAGGGGCCAGGCCAATCCAGCAAGTGCTAGGACCATGGAGGTAGGGGCTGGAGCCACTGGGAGACACTGCCCATAGATAGTACCCAAACAGAAGTGGGGGGTGATACTTTCTCCTACTCTTCCATTGACCAAGACAGTGCTGAAGCCAGAGGGAGAGGAAGCCTGGGAATTATAGGGAATGCAGTTTCTGGATACAGAGCAAGGCAGAGAATGTTGGGAAATGAAGGGGACAGATACATGAGTGCCCGCACCTCTTCTCTGGACTCTTACTGCATCTTGTACTTAACCACCCTCATAGTAGTAACTATAGGGTGTCCTTAACATCATTCAGAGCAGGAGTGTTCCTTCTACCTCAAGGACCTAGCATAGTGCCCAGCACCAGGAGATATGGAAGGAAGGCATGCATAGGTTTGGGAAATTGTGATATGCCATGGAAATGCAAGTCATGATTATTAAGATCCAGCCAAAAGCGTGAGCTCTGCTGAGGATGACAGTTATAGACCTTTCTTCACCACATCTAACAGATGGCTCAGCCCCTTTCCGTGATGCTATCCTCATTTGCAGACTTGAAAACTAGTGTAGTTAATTAAAATAATATGAGTGAATGAAATATAGGTGTAGGGAAGAAAGAACAATTCTGCAAGGAGCCCAGGTCGAAGAAAAGTAAGGGGGAAACTATCCATCGAGGACAACACAGAGCTTCTTATGCTAATATTTTCTCAAGAGGTGAGACTATTTCCTGGCATCATTTGATCAAGGCAGACTCTCATCAGCCCCCAAAGTCATAGAAGTCCAAAGTTCCAGAATGACTCACATTCATTTCTAATTCTGCATTGGAAAATTTCTATTAGAAATCGTGAGTGTTCATTTAAAATGATTGTTTTTTTGTATTGCAACTGCTTTCTACCAGTCTAGTTAACCCTCTAGCAATGCAAATGTTGTTCATTCTTGCTACACGAAGACAAAGAGAGTGTTTGCCAATGTCTCCATAAGGGAAGGGAGCATTGCTTTTTGTTTCTTCTCTAGTTGATTGAGTTTGAAAAGGTTAGAAAAGTGTGTCAGTCTTCAGACTGGAAACTCTGAGCATGGGCCCCTCTCCCTAGTCTGTGCCCCACCTTGCTTGGCTTCCTGGCCATGTGATGGACAATACCAAGCTAAGCTTCTGCTGATGGAAGGAGTGACAAGTCTTTGCTCTCAGAAGTGAAGGGCTGTGATTTGACAAAGGGCTTTGAAATATTCTTATATATAAAGCATTAATTTCATTAATGTAATCAATGCTAAAGAAGCAGACCAACCGGGCCCTTTGATTCTTCCCAGGCTAAAATCTGTTGGGCTGATGTGATATACCAAAAATAAAATAGTACCCCTCTCCATACTTCCTGTTGTCCACACAGGAATTTATTGGTCTGCATTGGATTTACTCTCTGATGTATTTGTTTATTTGGGGTTTTGTTTGTGTAAGTTCCATGAGAACAGGGGCTTAGCACTTAAAAAATACTTTACTGCTCTGTTTCTGAATCTAAGAACAAGCACACAGTGGGCGCTGAATAAATGAGCATTGTACAGAATAAAAAGTACCCCAGACACCTGTCCTACTTCAGGGCAACACTGAGCTGTTAGTTATAGGTATCTGTCCAGTTCCTTGTCTGTGCTCATACCCTCAAGTACCTAATTCAAAACTGAAGAAGAACTTGGGCTGCCTTGGGACCAATGACTCCGCGCTAACTTGAATTAAATCAATCTTGTCACTCCCATCTGCCTGCCTCCATGTCATAGTAGATTAATTGCAACATAATATAAAACACATTTATATTGCATCTTCACAATAGTTTCAGGGTCCTTTACAGTCTTACAATCTAATTAAGCGGTAGCTTCAAACATGAATTTCTTTAGTATTTTAAAAGCGTAAGTTGAGCAGATAAGCTTTTTTTTTTAACTTCCCTATTCTAAAACTGAAAGACCAGCTGATTCCAAAGTCCCTGAGTATTATTAATTACCAGTGGCTGCAATCAATGCACAAGGCTTGTCTAGAAAGCTATTTCCTCCTTAGGTGAATGGTTGGGAATACAATATATGGTAATCAACAATTTGAGAGGGCTGAGCATGGATTGAGGCTGAGAAAAAGCTGGGACTTGGCATTGCATCTCTCCTGTGCAGATGGCAGAGAATAAATCTTGACTTTGCAAGGAAGATAAAGCAAGGTGGAGGTGTTTTCATCGCAATCGCACAGCACATAAATGGCAGAGAGAAGAAAGAAACCTCGGAACACGGGCTTCCTCTCCAAGGACAGCTACTGCTGTTTTGGAGAAAGCTTATCTGCTCTTATTTCACCATGAGAGAACTTCTGTCCTCAAGAGCCACGGAAAGGGTACCAGAAATAGATGAGAGCCCACCAACAAAAGGAATGATGAAGTGGCCCTTTAAATATAAATCTCTGGCACCCCCAAACTCTCTGGATGTTCCCTTACGTATTCAAATGAGATCGCAGCGTCAGATTGGTATGCATTAGGCTGGTTTCAATGAAAATTAACATGTAATTGCTTCAAATGAAGTAAGTGAGGAGGTAATCTGTTCTTAAATTGGATTCCCGGGATTTTGTGGTACCATAATGCAGCTGTGAAATGAAATATATTTTAAGGATGATGTCCTCAAGGGGGTGAAGGGGCTGGGAGGGGGAGGAGTAGAGATAGATAGTGTATAGTAGAAGCGCCTCTCCCCCCAGCCTGCCACATTCTTTCTCTGTCTCATTCTCCAGTTTCCAGCGGATGAAAAGATGTTCTCTCATCCATGGGTGGCCCCCATGCTCTGGGCCCTGGGACCTGGGCAGACAGTGCCCCACATTGGCATCAGCCGGTCTCCTCTACTTCTTACTGTGTCTGGAGCTTATTCCCAGAGGCTGTAGCTCCCCAGGGCTGTAGCTCTGTGGTCACCCTGGACACTGGATTTGTAAGGAGAAGGTGCTCGTCCTGCAAGTGGTGTCTACTGAGATCATCAATGGCTGAAGGGTGCACTGCTACAGTTGGGCAAATTTTCCAAAGCACACTGTGCAGTAAGAAAAACCATCACTCCTTGTACTCCTGGAATGGGGACATGTGCGCTTGACATCATGACTGACCCTTCTGATATCAAAGAGTGGAGCTGGGGTCGCAGCAGCAGGAACAGCCAATTCCATTACCACCACCGGCCTCCACAGCCTGGGTTCAGCCAGACCAGGCACCCCTGCCAGCAGTGATGATATGGTCTGTGAAGTCTGAAGATGAGCCTGGGAATAATTAACCTTCTTACCGTTCAATCAGGACGGGAAGCAGCTGGGTGAGGAGTCAGTGCAGGTTAATGCATTAAATTGTTTGCCTTTGCCATCCTAGGCTGAAATGGGATTTTCAGTCACAATGGAAATAAGCTGGCAGTCTTCTGGTCCCGTGGCATCACGCCTCTCTGCCAAAGAGCCATATCTGATGGGCTTTGGGGACCTTCTGCACCAAGGCTACAGAAGGGCAGAGCTGTTAAATGAAATGCAATCACCTGGCAATGCACAGGCAGTGCTGGGTTAGGGTTCACACAGCAGAGCAGTGCCACTGGTCTAGACCGAGTCCCCATCAAGGGCTAGCATGAGAATGGCATGGCTGCCTTGCATCAGCTCCTGGGGAGATGCAGATTTATAACACGCTATATAAAGAGTATATGTTCTGGTGTAAAAAGCCCCCATCAGAGCTAGAGAGAAGGGAAATTGACAAATCTCAGAAGAATGCGATTCTGGGCATTCTCTATTGCACGCGAATCAGGACCCCCGTCTGAGCCCCCCGCTTGCCTTCCCTCCCAGTCACAGCTTGGTTCTACAGCTCGGCTGATGATTTTTTTTTTTTAGTTCTTGTCTTTGTTTCCTCCTGTTTATGTTGCTATTTTCTTTCTGCACATGTTGAGCAGCTCTGGCTTTAAAACTGATCAGAGCTCATGGCTCCTTCAAATGTAGACGTTGTATTGCTACAGTCTCTCAATATATGGGACCAAGATTTTTGAGAGAATGCCAGAATGTTTCTGCTCTTCCCAGGAGTTGGTAGACTTAGAAATTTGAAGAAGAGAAAAGGGAAAAGAATGAGAGTGAGGGGTGACAAAACTCAGTTTACCCGACTGAGTTTAGGTCTCCCTAAAAACAGTGGCCTGAGACACTTTAGACCCAGCTAATGGCTTTTATTTCCTCCTCTAAGGTTGCAAGAGACAGTGTCTTTGCTGTGGGCAAAAGAGGGACCAGACTATGACCAATGATTAAATTTTGAATCACTCCATATAAAGAATAGGACCTCTTTTGAAGACCAAATCTGTAAACCACATTGGATAAATCATCTATGTTGCTGGCTCCTTTCTTTCTTCATCTGGTAGTAGGCATAGAATAGTATTTGCCTCCCTGCTTAGGGTTCTGCAAGGATTAGTAGGCGTTAATATCCACAGGAGTCCCCAGAGAGAGATATGCCAATAGCAAGAAAAGAGAGCTTAGCGTCCTTTTCTAGATTCTCCGTGGATGTGGAATCTACTGTACAGTTTATTTGTCGTCTGAACCCCAAGGTGCCTCTTGGTAGAGTATGCATAGGCTGCTGCAAGCTTAGCTCTGCTGGAAGAGGTGGGATGGAATGTATTTTGTGGGGAGTGCGTGTGTGTGTATGTTTGAGAGAGAGAGAGCACGTACACTCGTGATTTTTCCATGATCTAATATCTTGAATTAATCATTGTAATGCCTTTTTCTGCTATCAAAATATGTCCAGTGGTCACCTTGATATGCTCATCTGGTTTAACTCTCCTCAAAGTTTGCAGTGTTCACAGGAGAAAAGTAGAAGGGGCCAGCGGTTTCATTCCCATTTTAGAGATGGGGAGGGTTTCACCGCAGGAGCCTGAGGATATGCAATTCATCTTAATCACTAAAGTTGTCTCAGGCAATGACCTCTATAAGCCCTTCTTCCCTGGACCTCATTTGCTTTGAATATGAAATCAGGGTCAGGGTGTTAATGTCCTACTCTTAAAATGCAAACTAACGTCAAGGTCTAAGTATAAAAAGTAAAATATAAAACAAAATGCATAAAGTTGTACCGACTGTAGATACCACAGTATAACAGAAAATACTGAAAAAAAATATGAATCTCGTATAAGACTCCTGGGGTCAACAGAGGCGTGATGAAATGCAGGAGATGAGGGACAAATGGAAAATGCCCCAGCTCCATTTATTTAAGTAAAAAGACTATGAAGTACAGAAAATATGAGTGAAAAGCTGGTTCATTATAGGATCCTGTTCCCAGCTCTATTCTTGCCAATCTCCCTTTGACCTAAGAAATCCTCTCCTGTTTCTCTCTTAAATTCTACCTCAGAACCTTTAATTCTCATTTTATTTTCCTTTCCCATGAGTCATTTGTGTCCTCACACAGCTCTGTGTCCCTCGATTCCAATGGGCAGACCCACCCCTCTGTTCCTCCCCCCTCTCTCGAACCAGCCTAGACTATTTTGCCAATAGTTTTCATGCATAATAACTTAAGTGCATCACTTTTCTACAAACATGTTATCATTAGAGTTCAATTCTTCTGCTCCTAGCCTTTGTGCCTGGTAAATATACTTCTTTGACGAGTGTTTTGGAAGATGGCTCCATTTTATGCATGTGCATTAGTGCCAATTGCACAAAGCAGAAACACAAATTACCTGTATTCTGCAGACAGATCTAATCACCTAGACACCATGGGCTGGCATTCATTGCAGCCTCCACCTCTATGCATGAAACTGAAAGGGGAGCACCTAAACTGCCTATTAATTTGAAATGTAGGCAAAGTGCTATAGGCGCTGAATTGCGTGTTTAGGAAAGCTGTAGCAAGCCATTGTGCTAGGAGCCGTGCACTCGGTGTGGGCCTTTGCTCCGAATAGACAGGGCTTCTCTTTGGGAAGATGTAGGGCTGGGGCGCTGGGACCCTGCCAAAGTGATCTCTGCCTGAGACTGGAAGAGAAATGAGATAAATAAACAAGGGAGGCCAAAGTGGGGTGTGCCCCCTGGATAGGACACTTGGAGGGGTAGACGTGGATTTTCCCCACTATGGTGTTCTGTAAGATTCTTTTCCAACTGGTTTTATTTCAACAACTCTGTAGTCAGCAAATCGGCCTCCCCTGGGGCTGTTAAAGTCAAATCCAGGAGGTTTTCATAGGAATGAATACTTGTAACCTAAACTGGGGCTGCGCCTACTGTCAGAGTTCGTGAGTTTTTTAAGGATGCCTGAAGATGTGCCTCAACTACCTGGCGGGGAGGAAAAGAAGTCCCCTCTGTAAATGAGCTGACACTTGTCTGATAAAAGTGGTGCCTTTGGTCTGATCATCTGAGGACAAATAAGCAGCAGTGCCACCTCATAAAGGGAAGGGGTACCTCAGAGCCCCAGGGGTGTCCTGAGCAAAGGGAGCACTTTCCACACCAGCTGTATTTGGGAAATCTCTCAGCCAGGGACTCACCCCTTTCTCCCAAATCTCCTGAGCTCCTTAGTTGGCGTTTCTTTAAAGATACTTAAGTTTGCCCTGTTCAGAATTTTTCTGGGTTTGTAGCTTGTCACAGTGGTGCCCAGAATTAGATTCCTGTTGCCTTGTCTCACACACACTCACACACACTCACACACACAGACTCACTCATTCATCTAATTGGAAACAAAAAGAGCAAGGGAGATGGAAAACATGGACTCTAGTTGTTCTCCTTCCTCGCCACGTTGAATGTATTTCCTCATGCTCCCCCTGGCTGGCCTCCTCCTGGCACACTTTTCCTATCTTCTCTTCTGTGCATCTCCCCGTCAGCCTTGCTTCTCTGCATCTCACTCCCCCTTTGCTTCTCTCTCTTTTCTCTCATCTGCAATGAGGCTGCTCAACTGCCAGAGGGTCAGAACTGTGAGGGATCAGCATGAGGGCCACATTGACAAGGAAAGCTGTCATCAAATTTTACAGCTTCATGTAAAATGCACTGTCCATGGCAAGGACAGAGAAGGGACTGGAAAGGCACAGGGGGCAGTGTGGGGAGAAGGGGTAGTTAGAAGAGAGGCTCTCTCGTAGGTGAAGGGGGAGGTAAACCTACGTGCTTTCTACAGAAAGGTATTCATGGAGGCAAATCTGCCATCTTTTCTAAACACAACCATGTCTCTGGAAGCCTCACTAGGAGACCAACAATTAATAACAGTGTCAGTTATGGCATGTCTGTGTGGTCCATTGCATAGAACGACAGAGGAAGCTGATCCAAGCTTTGAGTACCAGGAAGCCAAGGGTAGCAATGTGGATGGGCCTATGGCCGTTCTGTTTTCGGCGAGAGCTAGGGAAATCCCCTGCCACTGGTCCTTCCCATACACAATGCTATATGCGCATTTGATGAGCCAGCCAACAGGTGCCTGAGTACCTGCCGTGAGACCAGCTGGCAATAGCTCCTCTGAGGCACAGCAGAATGGACCGTGTGCTAAAGGCATCAACAGCCTGGGCAGGCAAACAGGACCAGCCCAGGAGAGTCCATTAGAGAACCACGCATGTGCCGGTTACTGACCAAGAGTTAGGTTCCTACGTGTGCACAGCCTTCCCCCAGATTCCATTCCTTAGGACTCTGCACCCATCCCATCCCACTTTCTCAGGACAGAAACCACGAGGCAGAGTTGTACCTTGCCTTAGAGTGTCCGTCTCCTGGAGACCGTCAGTAGGATCCAGTGCCTGCTTTGTAATTTAGTAGCTTTGTGACCCGAGGCAATTTATTAAGTTTCAGTTCCCTTGCAGGTAAAGTGGAGATATTTTTGTTTACTACCACACAGAGTGGCCGTGTGGCTCACATAACATGATCTGAGTAAAGTGCTTTGCATAGTGCCTGGCACACTCCAGTGATCAATAAACGTTAGTCAGGGTCATTATTGTGCTATGCCCCTTCCTTTCTGCTATTGCCCCTCCCATCCCCGGATCTTCGATCGGGCCATGGGTTCTACTTCCCGGTGTCTCCTGTCTCCATCCCTTCCTGTCCAGCCCCTGGGGCCCTGCCCTCCCTGAGATCTCAGCAGCCGTGGCTGGGCTGGCTTTTGGTGGTTTTGTGAGTGCTCTCAGTCTGCAGGGAGAGACAGGCTCCAAAACACAGGTCCCAGCACAGTGCCGCCCTGTTGGAAGCTCTTGGCACCTGCGCCTTAGATTCCTTAACATAACTTAAAATGCCCTTCACGAAAGTACTTCTCTTCACCTGTCCAGGTTTGTTGCCCATCTGCCTCCCCATTTCTACCCAAATCCTACTCAGCAGCTGCTCACAATAATGATTCTCAGTTTTGCACATCAGAAAAAGTTGTGGAAATTGTTCTGAATATTTTTTGTGTACGTGTGTGTGTGTGCGCGCGCACGCGCAGGGCGGGGTTGCTTGGGTAATTTATAAAGTACAGGCATTTATATAAAGCTCCACAATGGCTGAGTGTGGTGTCTCATGCATGTAATTCCAGCATTTTGGGAGGCCAAGTGAGGAGGATTGCCTGAGTCCAGGAGATTGAAATTGTCAGCCTCAGCAACATAACAAGACCCTGTCTCTACAAAAACAAAAAAACAACAACATAAAGAAAAATAGCTGCTCCTGGTGGTCCTAGCTTCTGTACTCCTAGGTACTGTAGCTAGCGCCAGTTGTCTAAGCTACTCTGGAGGCTGGTTGGAGGCTGCAGGGGTGATGATTGTGCCACTGCACTTCAGCCTGGGTGCCAGCATGACATCCATCTCCAAATGAATAAGTAAAGCAAGTTCTACAGGTGGGCCTGATTTGCATCTTGAGTTCTAGAGCACAACCTTCCCAGACACACCCTGCCTTCCTCACACTGCCCGCATATCTGTCTACACTCAGTCCCAGCAAACGCAAACGGATGGGCTCACAGTGGGGATGCAAACAAAGATGAGGCGACTGAGTGAGTGAATCAGGAAAGGATGTTTTCATTTTATTGAGTGAATTAGACTAAGTCAAACCCTCCCTTAGAGTGTAAAGTAGAAGATAAATAATGTACTGGTGTGTGTTTGTGTGTGTGTGTGTGTGTGGTGTGGTATGTGGTATATGTGGTGTGTGGTGTGGTATGTGATTGTGTAGTGTGTAGTGTATGATGTGTGTGTGGTGGTGTATGTGGTATGTGGTATGTAGTGTGTGCTATGTGATGTATGTGGTGTGTGGTGAGGTATGAGTGTGTATGTGGTGTGTAGTGTGTGGTGTGTGATGTGTCTGTGATGCGTGTGTGGTGTGGTGGTGTATGTGGTGTGTGTGGTGTGTAGTGTGTGCTATGTGATGTATGTGGTGTGTGGTGGGGTATGAATGTGTATGTGGTGTGTAGTGTGTGGTGTGTGATGTGTGTGGTGTTTGGTGGTGTATGTGGTATGTGTGTCATGTGGTATGTGGTGTGTGTGTCATGTGTAGTGCGTAGTGGGGTATGTGGTGTGAGTGTGGTGTGTAGTGTGTGGTGTGTGATGTGTGTGTGGTATGTGGTGCGTGTATTTTGTGTGTTGTGGTATATGGTGCATGTGTGTTGTGTGTTGTGTATCTGTGTGTGCTGTGTGGTATGTGTGGTGTGTGGTGTGTGTGTGGCTGGGTGTATGCTGTGGTATGTGGTGTGTGCTGTGGTATGTGGTGTGTGTGCGTGCATGTGTTTGTATGTGTGTGTGTGTATATTGTGTGTGTGTAAGAGAGATCAACAGGGGTCCCAGGCAAGGGGGATGAGTGGGCTGTTGGCAGAGGAAGAAGCGCAGCCCAGCAAAGGTGGAGCCTCGCTTTCCATAAGCAGCTTGGGTCCCCAGGCGCCCCTGCGCGATGTGGGAGTGGGAGAGACTGAGTGGGCGCAAGGGTCTCGCCACCTGGGTGTGTGAACGAGTGCAGAAATACAAACAGCTCCGAGCCAGAGGATCCTTAGTCCATCAATTCTTTGCAGAAGAAAAGTCTGATGGATTGAAATTGTCACACAAGAACGCTGTGAACAATAGCAGGGAGATACTGTTTCTCTCCAGCCCAGCTGTGGTGAGTTACTTCTTAATGGCAAGGTAGGGAGACACACACCACGGACAATGCTGAGGGTGACAGGAGATGCCTGTGCCAGTTATTTATTATGGGAGAGGAAGGTGTTCCTTCTACTTTTTTTCCTTCCATCACCCCCTTCTTTTCTGTGATAAGTGGGGGCTGAGCTGTTTGTGTTATGCAGAGGCTGACAAAATGAGGCGATCAGATTGGAAATCAAAGCTCTCACCATGGCTGGCAGTGTGCGGGGACTTCGCAGCCACCTCCCATGGCGGGGGCAGGAGGAGGGGGAGGAAGCAGCTGCTGTCATTTCTCCCCTAGCAGTTGTTTTTGGTTTTACTTTTATTTCTCCCAAGAGGAGAGGAGCTGGAGAGGGCAGCCAAACTAGCACAAGAAAGAAAAGGAGAAAGAGGGCAAGAATGGAAATGCGGAAGGAGAAAGAGCCCTACCAGGAGGCAAAGGGAGAGGGAAGCGAGAAGGAGGGAAGAAGCCTCCAGAACGTGCCTTTTTCCGATTTGTGCTGGCTGCGACCTTGCAGCCTGTTTCTCTGCCAGCTGCCCCTCCTTTGCTGTGAGAGGTGTTTTCTGTGACCCGCAAAGCGTGGTTTAATTTACAGGGTGAGTTGGAAATGATTCAAGCATCTGCTCCTTTCAAATGTTGGGAAACTGAGGCACAGCACATTAAGAACTATTTAACTTGCTTCTTTCGGGCCTTATTGTCAGTCTTTTTTCTTGAGAGTTCCAGAAACTATTTCCATCTCCAGCTTTCAGGATGAATAACTTATTCAGGCCTTTGCTTTTCTGGTGCGTTCTCCCAAAACTCCTCCTATTTCAAACTGCCCCCCAAAGTCCCTGAGCCTGAGTCTTATGGGTTGACTCTGCCCTCTGGTGGATCGAAAGGTGGTGAATGAGGCAGAAAAGGGAGCTCGTTCCAGAAAAACATACCTTGGCAGGCTTCCCAGGAAAGTCTTTGGTTAAAGCAACCCGAACCCAAAATGAATACAGCTCAATATGCTGTGATGTATTAATATCCTGATAAGCGAGTCAGAATGTGTTTCCAAATAGACCTATTACATAAGTGGCAATAAATACTAACCCATCTCTCACCTTGCTGCGGTGAGCGCATAGAGAGGGATCTGCAGTGTGGGATTCCAGGCAGTCTTGGCGATGCTGACCTTCTGACGGATGGGGAGGCCTGAGCCCTCTATAACACAGGTCCCCTGTGACATCCACATCACACAATCGTGCCCTTTGCCCACCTTTTTAATGACTTTCTATTTTGTTTTACAACCAGCAATCTGCTGCATGTGCTGGTCAACAGTATCTATCTTTTCTGCTGTGGCTTGCTGCCTCGGATGCTTTTATGGGCATTGATTCCCTCCACTGCTTCCCCAAAGAGGTTCTTTTCCTTGAGCCAGAGCGGCATTCCGGCGGATTACAGTGTCTGCCACTCTGCTCTCCGATTTATTGCCATCCTGGGCTTTAGTCTCCCTACATTCACAGCCAAGCCTCATTCATTTTGTTTTCTGGGGCGAGCAAATTGAAGAAGTTGCTATTAATAGGAGAAAGAGTGTCATGCCGGCAGACTTAGTAGTGTCTAACGTTATAGCCTGCAAGTCCCAGAGCCAAGCTCTTGTCTTAGATCCACCCTTCCCCATCCAAGGGACTGAACCAGGTGGGATGCTGGCCTGGGCATTGGCTCTCTGAAAGATTTACACTTTTCTGGCTTTTGTCGACAAAGGATATTCTCATATTTGGGCACTCTCATCCATATGTCCTCTCCTTTTCCCTGTGACCATCAGTTTACATTTGGCAGAAGGCTGTCTGGGGTTGTAGATGAAGTCTGAGGGCAGATGGCTGGGGACAGGACGCTGGAGAGGAGAAGCACATGGCAGTGGTATAGGATGGTTTGCTTCTCAGCTTTCCCAGACACTAAAGTATATGAATCCAATTAAAGTTGTTCTGTGAGTGTGTTTTTTTTTTTACATTGATAAACATGTTTGCTAATCATTTATCACAAATTAAATAGTAGAGCAATTTCTAAACAATGTCCTACAGATAATGAATGTCTTTTGAATATGCATACACAATGTTACATCTCAACTGTTGCTAGTCCTGTTTACTCTCTCAGCTGTAGAATTTAGAGGCTGCCTGGGGACTGTAGAGA
Source organism: Homo sapiens (assembly GCF_000001405.40). Classification (NCBI taxonomy): domain Eukaryota; kingdom Metazoa; phylum Chordata; class Mammalia; order Primates; family Hominidae; genus Homo; species Homo sapiens. The sequence continues at coordinate 132,128,433 of NC_000011.10, forward strand.
GCAGGACATCAGATGTTGCCTCTCCAGGGACCATCCTCAGATCTTTGTGGACTGGCCCCAGGCTGTCCAGATGTATATCTCCTTCATGCAGAAACAGGAGCCTCAAAGAATCTTCCAGTGGGTTATAGTTGTGGGTGTAGGAGTTCACCCAACCAACTTAACTTGCCAGGTGATCACACAGGTACAAGAGGCTGATAAGGGGCTGGGCATGGTGGCTCACACCTGTAATCCCAGCACTTTGGGAGGCTGAGGCAGGTGGATCACGAGGTCAGGAGATCAAGACCATCCTGGCTAACACGGTGAAACCCCGTCTCTACTAAAAAAAAAATAATAAAAAATAAAAAAATAAAATAAAATTAGCCGAGTGCGGTGGCGGGCACCTGTAGTCCCCGCTACTCAGGAGGCTGAGGCAGGAGAATGGCATGAATCCGGGAGGCAGAGTTTGCAGTGAGCTGAGATTGCACCACTTCACTCCAGCCTGGGCGATAGAGCGAGACACCATCTCAAAAAAAAAAAAAAAAAAAAAAAAAAAAAAGAGGCTGGTAAGGTCAGAAATCACTATCGACAGTGTAGAAATTTTTCTTTGGGATGGGTTGGTGTCACAAGTCCCAGCAGGTTATTGAGTGAACAATTCTCTTTAGAAAGTGCCGCTGGAAAAGTGTAGTTTGCAAAAGATGTGTGTTTGTGTGTGTGTGTTGGTAGGGTGGATAGGGTGGGGTCTATTGGTCATATATTCTAGAAGAGGAATTTGGAGGTGGCTGTATAGGGACTTGGTATCCAAAACTGTTTGCATTTCTGGAAGAGCAATGTTGTATAGTGCATACAGCTGTGTACGTATTGTTACTATTGATGCTCTAAGTGATAGTTTAGAACCAACTTAGGGGATAGTTTTCCTGTGTCTCACACATATATTGATTCAGAGTCTCTGGCACTATCCTCAGTAAGGTAACAAAGGGAAGCAAACAGATCCCAGGAGCCCTGAGTTGAGGTCTTGCTGTTCCCAATCAGCCGATGTATCAGAACTCTGGGTAACTTGACCCAGTAGCTTAGGCCCTGCATTCCCATTCTGGCTTTGAAGACAGGAGAAATGTATTTTAAGACAGAATTCCTAAAGACAGACCTCAGGTGGGTTTTTCATGCCTACCTAGAAGTAAGGTTAGCTTCAGTTAATCTACAGCTTCCTGTGGGCTCTACCTCAAAGTCATGGAAGGGAAGACTTCTTAGGAAATAAAAACTGATTTTTGTCATTATTTTTCTTCAGTGCACACACAGAATATCTGTCCTCCAACACCAGTCATTTCAAAATGGGGCTCCTAGGACTGTATTAGAAAGACCAAGAAGAGCATACAGTACAGGAGGTACCAAATGGATACAGCCTCAACATTCTGAGCTTTGCCAGAAATGTCTGTCTGTCTTCTCCCACTGTTTCCTCAATTCTCTTCCCCTTTTTCATCTTCACCTACCTCCATTTTCTTGAGTTTTCTTGTGCAGTTTTGGTCAGGCTTTTTATTGAGAACAACCTCAACTCCTGCCAATGACTTTACAGCCTTCCTCTTTCTCTCTGGATGTTCTTAACAGGTTTGGATGAAGCTGAAATGTAAATGTATCTGATTCTTAATTAGAAGAATTCAATTCCAGAGTCTGTTAGGACTTTGGGAGTAGGAGATTTGTTTTCACAGTAAATATTCTCAGAAGGAGAAGGGAACCTAGTCTGATATTCCCAGAGGTGACCAGTAATAGGAAATCATCTTGACAGATGAAACCACTCGTATCTAGAAATCAGATGAGTAGCGGGATGAGGGAAAGACAGTGAAGCCTCGGAAGTGGGAGTTGGTTCAGCTTTGTTAGGGAGATGCAAGGAGATACCACACCAGTCAGAGAAAGTCATAAGATCAAGAGGTATGGAATGTGGCTCTCAAGTGGAAAAAAAAAGGAAGGTACCGCATTTTCCATTCTCTGCCTTGTTTTTTTAATTCCCGTGATAATTACAATGAGAGGAGCAATCATGTTGCTAATTTTACTTCATGCGTTTAAGTTCTAATTAATACTATCTGGTTCTTCTGCGTTCTGCTGAGGTGAAATACAGCATGCTCCTTTGCACTTACACCTTTCTTTCTCTCAAGAATTTGCATAGGAAGTGAAGGCATGTTTGCATGTATCGTATTTTAGTAATTGGCATCCCTGCCTTCACAGTTCTACACCACTTTCTAGTCTAATCTCCTGGACCTTTCCTCTCTCCATTCACCTTGGCAAAAGTGGAACAGCTAGGGGTTTCAAACAGCCCTGCCCCTCAGAGAATAGGGAAGTCTGATGGAGTTGCCGGCAGCAGACCTAAGCCGCCAGCAGGCTCTTCATGGATCCCCACAGAGCAAGATGGGAGATTTCTCACGGTGAGAACTGCACGGCTGAGGCCGCATAGACATTACCATTGTCCTGTACAGAAAAGGAAACCGAGGCCCAGGGTGATGAAGTGACTTGCCCACGATCACACATTTCATAGCCTCAGATCTGGGATTTGAGATGTGTCTCTGCCTCCAACTTTCTTATGATGATGCTGTGAGATATGAATTATATGAGAAAGGGCTTTGCATGCTGTCATGTGCAAGGAAAGTTTGAGCTATTATTTTTCTGGTTAATTAACAAAAACATTGTCATGAAATGTCTGCTGCATTCTCCGTTCTCATTTTGAAAGCTTTTGTGGAGCACAAAATGTTGCTTTGTGACTTCTAGTGGCATAGCTCACATGTGCTATAGATGCACGCGTGTTATGCTTCTGGCAGCCCGGTGTGAGTAACCATGGAAAACAGTTGGAGAGGTGCCAGTGTTGGGGCTGAGTGTGGGGCCAGCTATTGTCTCAGAGACACCTGGTTTAGGACAGATGCCTGCTGCAGTGTGCCTTCACTTCAAGCAACTGATATTTACTGACTGCCTGTGATAATGAACTAGGTACCATGGAAGGCACAATAGGTTGCAAGAGGATTATGGAAAGAAAGATAAAGAAAATACACAGGCCCTGCCTTCAGAATTGCCATATGGGCTGGCAAAGGTTATGATGGAACCCTACGAAAGTGCAGCCTTGTTGGGTCAGAGGGAGCCTTGTGAAGGAAGGGGTGTGTGGGCGAGTAAGTAGGGAGGGGTGCTGTAGACAGAGGGGCAGTGTGGGAAATGGGTTGGGGCATGGGAGAGCATGCCACACTAAGGAAGCTGCAGGATCCCAGACCTCAAGGTCCTGGCATGTTCTTCTGAACTCTTTGAGCTTCATCCTGAAGGCAGTGGGAACCACTGAAGGCTCTTGAACAAGTGATTCTCAAACAGATTTGTTAGAAAGGTCCCTGCGGCAAAAAGAGTGACTGGACTGAAGAGGGTTGCGTGTGGGACCAAAAGAGCAGGTGGAAGAGGCCCCCCGCTCCCACTGCCTGGTGTTCAGAAGATGGTCCATTGAAGCTTAGGAAATGATTTGAGCTTGTGGTTGGAGGTTCAAAATTAGAGAGAATGCATGCAGGGAAATAACTAGCTCTTCTACAGCCTGGCTAGAGTCCCTTCCTACAGAGACCAGTTAATAGAGAGCATCATCAAAGGCACCAAGAGTTTCCGTAAAGGACTTAGATAATTATTTGCCCAGTGTTGGTTGAAGGAAATTACTTTGGAATGAACCAGCTGATGCAGTTCAAGTGCCCGAGGATACATTCCTCTGCCTGACGTTTTATACCTGTGCGACCACTGCCCCGCCCCCATCTGCTCCCCCAATCCCCGTCAGGATCCTGCCTGCTCCTTCCACCAGGGTGGGAACTACAGCAGAGTGAAGGAAAACAGCCCTCTCCTAACGGCTTCCTTTGTTTGGTTCAGACTTGGTCATTGTACTTTGAGAGTTAAAATTGGGTCTATTTCTTTCTGTATCCGTCCGGTGTTTGTCATTCAATTGCCTGTGCAGGTTCTCTGCTTTATTTCATTTAAGTAGCTGTTATCTTCTTTGTATCATAAGCTCCTAAAATATAGAGTAAGGAATATGTTTTGTTCTGGAGAGTGAACACTGCATCTTCACAGGCATATGAGCTCAATAAATAAATGTGTAATGTTGAACATAGTGATGTAGCCATGTATTTGGTTACTTGGAAAATAATAGGGAAGGGAGGGAACGATAGCATCCGCACTCAGAAGGTTTGTAAACATTAACACCTCCATGCTCCTGCGGAGTCCTTGATACTCTTCCCCTCAATACTTACATGGACCCTCATTACAATAAGAACAGGGTGGGGTAGAGACCATTTTTCCCCATTGACATATATGAAAACTGAGTCACAGAAAGACTACGGACTCAGGCTTGTCGCAACACAATGGAAAAAGAGAGAAGCACCCCACTGGACTCCATGGAAATCAAGCTACTAGGCATGGTTGCTGCCTCTCTCAAATATGAACAAGCAAGCTGAGGTGATCGCAGGTAAAATATATGAATGCATGGCGGCTTCCAGATGGCAGAAATCTTGTTAAAATCTGAGTAACACCCAGTGCATTGTCAAGCTTTCAAAATGTTCATTGCAAAATCTTACAATCCACTCACCCCAGAAAAGACTATTACTAATTTTGGGTCAAAGAATCAGGAGATGCTCGCTGTCATCCAAAATCTTTCTTGAAGTAAGTAGCTAAGTAGCCTTAGGCTTATGAAAGAAAGAGCTGCACAGACTTAACCTCTGTAGGTTCCTTATTGATAAATTATCTCCCATGTCTCTCCCAGCACCATATTTATACTCATTTGTAAAGTTCTCAGCAGAAACTTCACTTCTACAAGCCCTTCCCTGACCCATTAGACTAGGCTGGGTTCCTCCACACACGTCTACTTTCTGCACAACACCCATAATTTCCTATCATAAGAAACAGCACACTTCTGCATTATAATCCTGTCTTTCTGTGCCTCTCTGCATGAGTCTGTCTTGTTTGCCTCTGCATTGAATTCCTTAAGAGCTTAACACAATACATGGCACATAGGAGGTGCTCAATGAACATTTGGCAAATAAATGGGCATATAATCCCATCCTAATGCACTTCAGTTCATCCACATCTTTGGAGATAACTGCCTGAAGTGAAGTTTAAGGGGTAAGTTAGAAGCACAGGTCGGGGGATGGCTGTGAGTTGAAAGGTTCCCCGGGGGACCTAAAGAATGGGCCACAGAGACCCCTGACACACAGCCCTCCCTGCCAGCCCTGTTTAGGTGGATTCCAGCACCTTAAGAGCATGTCTGTTTATATGTCTGATGGTGAGAACGAGGCCTAACGTATTTGGGAAAGGCAACTCCCAGGAAGAGGACGTTTCCATGCTTCTGTTTCTGGCAGTGATGGACTTCCCTGCCCCCATTATCTCTTCACCCTGGCTTACTTCTTTATTGCTTCCAAATATGATTTTTCTCCTGCCATTCGGCTCTGCTTATCTGCTTTGCTGCTGATGGGAGCATACTTCCCAGCCTGGCATTTGAGGGCAGCTACAGCTGACTCTAGTCTTTCTTCCTCGGTGTTCTCTCTCTGCTCTCATCAGACCAAACCTTTAAACATCTGCCCCAGAGCCACACCCAAATCTTTATTCTTTGTTTGTTTAATTAATTAATTAATTTTAAACAGTCTCACTCTGTAGCTGGGACTATAGGCACATGCCACCCTGCCCAGCCATTTTTTTTCTTTTTTTGTAAACAGGGTCTCACCATGTTGCCCTGGCTTGTCTTGAACTCCTAGGCTCCAGCCATCCTCCCACCTTAGCTTCTCAAAATGCTGGGATTACAGGCGTGAGCCACCGTGCCTGCCCCATACCCGTATCTTTGGATACCTTTTTCTTCCTAGGGGGAACACCTTCTCACCTCTTTTCTGTTTATTCAGCTGATCTTTTGTTTGTTTGGTTGGCTTTTATTTATTTATTTTTTTATTTCAGTAGGTTAGTGGGGAACAGATGGCATTTGGTTACGTGAATAAGTTCTTCAGTGGTAATTTCTGAGCTTTTGGTGCACCTTCACTCGAGCAGTGTACAGTGTACCCAAGGTGTTGTCTTTTATCCGTTGCCACCCCTGACCTTTTTCCCTGAGGCCCCAAAAAACAATGTATCATTCTTATGCCTTTGAGTCCTCATGGCTTGGCTCCTATATATGAGTCATATAGGAATATATATGACTCATATGACATTTGGTTTTTCATTCCCGAGTTACTTCACTTAGAATAATAGTCTCCAGTTCCATCCAGTTTGCTGCAATTGCCATTATTTTGTTCCTTTTTATGGCCGAGTAGTATTCCATGGTATATATATATATATATATATATATATATATATATATATATATATATATATATATCTCACATTTTCTTTATCTATTCATTGATTGACAGGCATTTGGGCTGGTTCCATATTTTTGTAATTACAGATTGTGCTGCTATATACATGCGTGTGCAAGTATCTTTTTCGTATTATATAATGACTTCTTTTCCTCCTGGTAGATACCTAGTAGTGAGTAGATCTACTTTTAGTTCTTTAAGGAATCTCCACACTGTTTTCCATAGTGGTTGTATTTTTATTATTTTATTATATCCTTTATTAGTTTACTGTCCACATGCTCCTGCCACCCACTGAACTCCCCAAATCCTCCTCCCCTCCCCACAGAATGTCCCTCGTTAGTACCTAAGCCTGGCTGGATTGTGTCCCCTCACCCCTGTGTCAGTGTCCCAGGAGACAGAAATGTTCTTGGCACTCCAAGGTCTCTTAGGCCAGGGCCAGAAGGGCCCCCACTCCCGGCTTCTGGCTGCAGGCTCTACCTTGCCCCGTGTCCTCTCTCCCAGGGGCAGGGCTCACCTGTGGTTGCCTGCTCCCAGTGCCTGACTACAGACCACCCTCCATCTTTCTAGCACCTTCCTTTCCTTGCAGCCTCCCAAATATCTCACACTCCCTCTCCAGAAGAGTTCCTTCTGATCACAAAGCATTTGTGAGATTTACACATAAGATTGCCTTTGTTCCAGTTCTCTAGAGGCAGATTCTGGGATACGGATTTGTGTGGTCATGACTTATTAGGGAAGTGGGCCTAGGAGAACAGGCAGAAGGTGTAAGGGAAGCCAGGCAGGACAGGGCAAGAAGCCAAGTGGAGGCTCGATTTTAGGCAAAGACCCACCAGGGTGACCAGGCCCTTTTACAACTCCCACACAGGCCACACAGGCTACTGCTAGGGGCCACCCTGGGGGACGCAAACCCTAGGCACTTGTGGCTGTCTGTGGAGGTGGGGGTGCAAACAGAGTCTCAGGCTGGGCTGTCAGAAGCAGAAGCACCCAGAACCCAGGGAGCACACAGAAATGATGGAAGGGGCCGAGGGGCCTGGGCTGAAGGCTGACTTCCTGCTTTGTCCTGCACAGGGAGAGAGAGACAGGGCAGTGGCTGTGCAAATGATGAGGCCCCCATCGAGGTGAGGGAGGGCTCTGGAATGACAACAGGCCCCAGCAAAGGTAGTGTCCTCCCACTGGGAGCTTTCCTCTTTCTGGGGATGCATCTTGTTCCCCAAGGTGCCACGTCACCTAGGTTAACTATCTGGAGAGATCCAGTTACCTTTTCTGCACTTAATTACTCACATTTTCTTGTTTTAGTGAGTGTTGTCTTTCCAGACCCTGGGGACCCCTTCCTCTCAGCCTCCTCACAGTCCACTAGAGAGAGGAGAGGCTTCTGTGGGCTCTACAGGATAGGGACAGAGAAGGATGAGCCTCCAGCCCCTGCAGTGTGTATTGCATGTTGGTCCTGCTCTCCTGTCCCACCTGTGTCTCACCTCCGTAGATGGTAGAAATGGAGCTCAGAAGCCAGCAGCCTCTCTCCTTGGAGGATGCCAGTCCACTCACCTACTGTGCCTCACTCTCACCTAGGCCCCAGGCAGTCATGTGGGCACTGTGTTACCACCAAAGGTGAGAGGATGTGTTGCCAAGGTCACTTAGTGAGAGAACAGACAAGGCCCACCTCGAACCCAGGTGTCCCCTTTGTCCCTCTGGAGTTCTAGTTGTATTTGACCTTTCTTCCTGTGAACTGTGGGGTTTGGATACAGCAGAGACTGTCTCTTTGGTTGTGAACCAGATTCCTTCTTTCCAGCCACTCCCTCCCACCACACATGGCCACACATGTACATCATATGTGTACATGGTCCCTGGGGCAAAGATCAGGTGGACAGGCAGTCTGCCTGCTGCCCAGTTCGCACACATGGGTGCCAGGCTTCACACACACTAACTGGAAGGGAAATGGCAGCTGCATGTGGTCTGGGGTATGATTTTGGTCTCCTAAGCTGTGATATTTTTTTTTCCTCTTCAAGTCATGTTCAAGTTCTAAGTATGGATGGTGCTTTAGGGTGATAGGAGTGTGCTAGAGGCAGGATCCAGGTCGGATTCTGGGGTTTGCTGGTTAAAGTGTGTCTTGACAAAGAATTGGAGGTGGAACTAGCCCCAGAGATGAAGCCAGGAGTGACACACATGCTGGCTTCCCCAGAGGCCAGTGCATCTCCTTCATAGTCGCACTAGGCCTTGGGCATGGGAGGAGCAAGGTAATTCCAGCCCCTTTTCTAGTGTGACTCCATGTGGCTAATCTATACTGTTCTTCCTAGTTTGCCTGAATACATCCTGGTTTAATCAGTGTAATCGCAAAAAGTGTCTGATTTGAACAATAATCAGTGTAACAATCAGTTTAATCAGTGTAATTGCAAAAAAAAGTGTCGATTTGGACAACTGCCAGGCTGGCCTAACTTGTCCAGGGACTGAATGAAGCCCCATTTCTTCATCCAGTGTGTCCCATAGTATGGGGTGACACACACTGGCCAGTGAGGGCAGGACTGGAGACAAAGCAAAGATGGAGGAGAGCCTGCAGATGGATTTGTTTCAGGGACTCCTGTTTCTTCTTCGCAGCTCCTTCCCTGCCAAGGAGGGCTGTCCCCTGGAGAAGAAAGAGACAAGCTCAAGTGTGCTACCATCTATAACCATCAGTGATTCTTTGAGCTGGCCTTTGCAGAGTTCTTCATTTTGGTTCCCTGCCTGCTCTTTGTCTTCAGGATAAAATGCAGACTCTTTCTTTCACGAGGGCTTATTGCACAACGAACCTGTAATAGTCAGGGATCCTACAGGGAAAAGATGGCATCCTCAAACTGGGTAATTTGAGCAGAGTTTAATAAAGTGGATATTTATGAAGGTGCAGCCAAGGTGTAGGAAAACTGTAAGGGACAGTCAGGACCCTGGGGCCACGAACAGGAAGGCACTGTTAACACTTTTAGGCCTGAAGGGATAAGGGGAAGAGGTCATGGCTGCCACCAGACTTTGATGGAGGGATATAGACAGCTGGTGGATGGACCCTGCTTCCTCCCCAACCCCGACTCCTGCCACTGCTTCCCAGTGGCAGAACAACAGGAGGCCAGAGGGCAGGGAGCCTGTCCACGCGATCCGTGCTGGTCGGCCTGCACTGGGTGGTGGACTTGCGGACACACAGAGAGCAACGTGCTAGCTTGCTGGCTTTGTCCCTGCTAAATTTTCTCTTCTACCCATGCCTTCTATTCCATAAGCTCCCCGTTTCCATCCTTCCACAAACTCGCCAGTATTTTCCCCAGCTCCTTTGTGCTTTGCTCATGCTCCTCCTACTGCTGGACATGCTGCACCTTACTCCTCCTTGCTGTTTACCAAGCTCTTTCCAACCTTGGCAGCCGCCTCAACACTTACCAAGATCCAAATTGCCCTGAAAGCAAGCACGAGTCATGTGTGAGGGTTCTTGGAGTAGAGAAAAAAATTGTATCTACTTCCTGCCTTCCCAGAGTTCCACATATGACAAAAAGATAAAGCATGGACATCCTGCTTCCAGTACACACCAAGATAAAGTATGTCTGGAAAACACTCATGGGGGAACAGCAAAATTTTGCAGAGAAAAGCTTGCCGGTATATGAATTAATATTTAAGCTTGACCTTGGTGTGGCATAGGAATTTGTCTAACAAACAATAAGGAAGGGCATTCCAAATAAAGCAGGAAGTCACAGAATTCCCAATGTGAACAGAATGTACAGGAAACAGTGAAAAGTGGTCCGGTGCACCTAATGAATGTCATGTTCGAAGCAGTGTGGGGTGGGAGTGTGTATTAGTCTGGGTTTTCCTTTTCAACAGAATCTATCTATCTATCTATCTATCTATCTATCTATCTATCTATCTATCTATCTATCTATTCTAATCTATCGAGAGACTTATAAGAATTGGCTCATGTCTGTAGTGTAAGTTTCAGTCTCAGTCCAAAGGCCTGAGACAAAGGAGCTGATGCCCAAGGACAGGAGAGGAATGTCCCAGCTCAAGCTGGAAGAGTGAAGTGCCCTTCCTCCACTCTTTCATTCTGTCCAGACCCTCAGTGTATTAGATGGTGCCCTCCCACATTGGGGAGGGTGGGTCTTATTTATGAAGCCTGCTGATCATCTCTTCTAGAAACACCTCACAGATACACCCAGAAATAACGTGCTACCAGCTGTCTGGCATCCCATAGTTCAGTCAAATTGACACAGAGAATTAATCATCACCGAAAATGAGGTGGAACTTTGTAGGGATCACTCACTGAAGTCCAAGCTCCAATGGCAGATGGAGTCCAGCGTGAATTCCCACTGAACTTTCGGCACTTCTGGGCTCTTTCCTTTATGAATGGTTGGTCTCCATGACAGGATTCCAGAGACCACTCTTCTGTGTTTGGACTGTTTTGAACATGCTAGGGAAAGAAAAGGAAAGAAAAACATCCAGGTTACCTAGCTTTGGTCACCTAGGGGAAAAAGGCTCCACTGTCTGTGGCTCTATGAGATGATGAAGATGCCCCACCTTGCCCAGGTTACCTTTTGCTAGAGTTTAGAATTTAGAGTTCTTGGCTACATGTGTGTAACAGAGTTATTGAATCAAAAAAATGGCTTGTGGGAGCCGTGACTTACAAACAAGATATGACCTATTGAGCAAGCCCATTCTTGCTTCAGCATTTAAATTAGTGTTGGGCTTTTGTTGTAGGTACAAATCAAAGTGTTGTGCCATTCATTTCAGAAAAGTCACGGCCCACCAAACTCAACAGAGTTTGTTTTGAGAGGATACTACTGTATTTGACAGGGACAGGAAGGACAGGTGGTAGGTGTGCTTATGGAGAATTTTCTGGAGGTGCACAGAGCAAAGGCTTCTTGATTTATCCCTAGGACATTACAGAAGTGGAGGGGGACTGCCTCCTTGCACGATTCTCACACACAGTGACCAGGTGTTGGGGGAGATGTGTGCATTTGTATTTGTGAGTGCAGGTTGGTGGGGACATGCAGAGTAATTATACTCACACACTGGGCCTTTATTGGATGCAGGCCTCATGGTCTTTTATCTCTCGGGAGTTTGTGAAAGATGGGAGATTTTAATCAAATAATTAATCAGTGGACAGATATTTATTGTGTGCCTACGTTGTACTCTACACAATGTTCTGTAGAGACACAAGTGAAAATAAGACATGATCCTTGCTTTTCAAGAACTTAAAATCAATCAAGTCAGCAATGTTACATCCCTAAGATGAGAAAGCAGTACATGTTATAGACTGTACAATAGGTTTATTTGTTGAATTTTTACAATAAACAAAAGAATGTATTTACATGCATGTTTCCATTTAATCTTCTCATTAACCCCATGCAAGAAGAGAGGTTATTTCTACTGCAGGTGATTTAAATGAAACCCAGTGGAGTGAGATAACCTCTCTGAGGCCTGAGGGGCATCAGGAACAGAGCTGGGACATTCCTTGTAGCAGTCAGACTTCAGACCCTATTCTCTTTGCTCTCCCGGAGCCTCTCTCTGACTACAACTACCTCCTAGCGGTGTGGGACTCACAGTGCAGTGTGTGTGCTGCTGCTTTTGGTTTTGTTTGTTTCCTTTTTCCTCCCCCTAATCCTTTCACCTGTATCATAAGTGTGCTGTCTGCTTCTACCTAGGCATGATGAGCCCTCTTACTTTCATAGCTAGGAAAGATTCCATGGCCTACCTCCGTTTTCTTATGTCATGCAAAAATGGTAATAGTTGGGAGACGTAAGAACAGTGTGCAATGTGAGTCTAAGTCTAGTATTTTTGTCTCTCTATGACCCAGATCAATTTTGTAAACTTCCACACAAGTTTAGAGTCTAAAAGAAATCCAGTAGGGTCAAAATTAGCAGCCTCAGTAGTGACGCTTTCTCTTACAATAAAGGAGTAAGGTGCTAGCTGATATCTGAATGTTCAGTGTCTTCGTGGGGAAGTATCCTGTTTTGTTAATTTCTTAGTTTCCCCCAGAGAACACTTTCTCACAAGCGCAGATGTGGAAGATGTACACGCCAACCCCATGGCAGCGTGTGTGGGTATTTCTGAGCCATTTGCGTCGTGATGTTCCCCTATGATGCTTGAGGGGAGGGGCAGGGCACAAGCCGAATGCTCAGAGGCACCAAACTTAGGGGCAGCTGGAGCATTTCTGTGTGATAAGAGGCAATTGTGACCAGGTGCTGCGAAGGGCGAAAGCACTTATTTTGCTGTGGCTTCAAGCATTGCTTGAGATGCGCTGCCTTTCAGACACAGTTAAAGGGCCATTTGATAGAAGGAACGGTTGGACCGCACACTGTCTGCATCCATTATTGCCCTCAGATCTTCAGGCAGGTGTGTTTAAGAAAGGCCAAGCCTGGATGTTTCTCTCTTTTTTCAATAATCTATCTCCTTATTGCAACACTCTCTTTGCCCATCTTTAGAAGATTCCAAGCAGACACTTTTGCTTCTTTTTTTCTTCCAATTCCCAGGTTCTCTCTCTCTTTCTCTCTCTCTTTCTGTCTCTCTCTCTCTCCCTCTCTCTCCCCCCTACCCCTCTCTCTCTATCTCTCTTTCTCTTTTCTCATCCTAAATCCAAAAGTAGCTTCAGGACCTGAGTCCATACTTTCATGGTTCTATTTCTGCGGTGCACATCTTGGGCTTGCTTAATCATTTGTTTTTGCTTTTCCTCTATGTGTAAATGCAGCATGTGTAATAAAACAACTATTCATCAGAGAGATATTCAGGACACAGAGGGTTGCATTTTTAGAGCATTGGAACAATAGGTGCAGCTGCAGAAAATTACAGGTATGGCAGTGTTCTTTCTCTACCATACTCGAGCTCCCATGCATGAGTGAGCATGTGCACATGTGGCTGGATCCTCTTTTGGCCAAATACACCCTGAATATTGACACAGGTGGGGCACCCTCAATAATCCCTGCTCAAACAGTATAGGCCTATTCTCTAAAAGAAGACACTTATCCAAAAAAGGAACATGGTGCAGACAGACACACACAGACTAAGAAGGGGACTGTGGCTCGGTACTGAAATGGAAAACACATGCCTTTTCCAGGCTTTATTTCTTTTTGTCTGGATTCTTCCAGGATGCTGAGTATGCTAGGCCATGGGCTGTCCACGGGGGCCACACACAGGAGGGGAAGGCCGCAGGAGGGATGCTGATGGGAAAACCATTCACAGAGACACAGAAGGCTAATGGCCACTGCCAGAGGGCTGCAGTGCGGGGCAACTGGAGGGCAACATTGAAGCTGGAGGACAGAAGGGAGCTGGAGTTGCAGGGCCCAGTCCAGAATCCTCAAGGGAACCTCTGTCCCTCTATTCTTCATATATGTGGCAGGATGGGCAGAGAGGATGCCAGCGGTGGGAGGGCGGTATATCTGGAGGTTGTGGACGAAAGGGGAGAGGCTTTGCAGGTCTGATCTGGGAACATCCCGCCCTTTTGATCGCCCATCTCCCACCTCTTGTTGGCCTATGTTACATTGACTTGTGACTATTCCTCCATATCTGATGAGCGGCCATCTCCAGTTCAGCTCACCTGGATGAGTCAGGGACAGTGGAGTTTGAAGCCTTACTCACTCTGACTTAATCACCAGTTAACCACCATCCTGAGAGAGGTGAGATACCGTACCGTGTTTCAGGAGCAGTTTTGTAGAAGGACTATGTCAAGGGCTGTCTCTGCAAAGAGAGGACTCGTTGTCTGAATGTCCCACCTCCAGAGCCTTCTCTGTGGCTGAGAGAGCAATTATGCTCATTTTCACTTTTCTTTTTTTAACCGAGGAGCGATGTGTCCTCTGCATTGTTGAGGAGACTGGATCAATGAGACAGATAGATGGGGGCAGGTGTGAGGAGGTGACAGAGTTGGCTGCCGAGGTACCTTTGTGATCCATCTCTGCAGAAGCCGGCATTCATTCCGTGGGGATTCAGCAAGACTGATACCCAGCAGTGACAGTTTGGACATCTAAACATGACCTTGGATGTGTTCAGAACCGCAGCTGGAACTGTGCCAACTCCTCAGAGTAGTACATCACAGGAGCCGCAGAACCATGCTGGAAATTGGCTGCGTTCTGAGTGCTAGTGCATCTGCAGACGAACCTCTCTGGCCCTGTAGTGCGGTGCAGTGTTGGGGGACGGCTTCCGTTTCTGTCAATTTTCAATAATTAGATGCTCACAAGGAAGCCCAGGACAGTCCTCTCGTGTTCATCGGGAGGTTGTGAGATGCCCTCGTTGTGGGCATCAAAAATAATTATTCAAGCAGTTTAGTGTTTGTCAGTCAGCGTTTCCTGCACCATGGCCACTCACCTGGTACTTGTCAGATTTCAGCTGCTGGGGAAGAAAATAAAGGACTCTGCTTCTGGTTTCCCTGAACATATGGGTTACAGGAAAGTTCTCTCCTGTAACGTATCAGAAAACTGTTTCATACCAGGGTCCTTTCCTAGTGCCTATTCACTCTGCAACTCTCATTTTTGCCAGGAAACACACGTCTAGGTTAGAGGTTCTCAGGGAGCTCTCCAGACCAGCATCAGCAGCATTTGGAATTTTGTCAGAAATGCAGCCTCCCAGGCCCTGCCTGGGCCTACTGAATCAGAAACCCATGGAGTAAGGTCCCAGGAATCTCTTTTTTATCAGGTCTTTCAGGTGATTCTGATGCACAGTGAATTTGAGAAGAACTGATTTAGATGTTCTTTTGGGAGCACCTATAAGAACACTAAATTTGGAAAACAAAACAAAAACTGGCATGAATCCTGCTTCTACAGTTTAATATCAGCATGGTTTCAGTCAATATGGCTAATGTTTTTTAGCCTCAGCTAATTTTGTCTGTAAATTGGCAATAAGTGAACCCAACCAAGTTTGTGAGATGATAAAATAGTACACATAGTGGGCTCATGTAGTCAATTAACATTGACCATGAATGTGAATTCATCCAGTCCCTGCTTGGACCCAAGTGAAGGTCAGAGCAGTGGCCACCCTTCAGATTATTAATATAAGCTATCCTAGATACATTACTAGCAAAGCAAGCTGCAAAGTGTGTTTTTGTTCTTGAGAGATTTCAAACTTATGTCGTTCCAAATTCATGTTTCAGACAAGGCAGTACCAGATGGCAGTCATGGGGTCTGCAAGGAGCATAAGGGAAGGTACACCCTTAGGTGTAGTAAGAGAGGTGCACCCTCTATCGACTGTAGTTTTCTCCTTCTTGCTCACCCTCAGAGTCCATTCTGGATATTGTCATCAAAGCCACAAGAAAGGCTTGGATCAGTTCAAACTTCATGTGCATTCAGGTTACCTGGACATCTTATTAAAATGCAGATTCAAATTTCTTATCTCTGAGAGGAGACCTGAGTTTCTGCATTTCTGATGAGCTCCCACCCAAGTGATGCTGATGTTGGTGGTTTGCCAGCCACACTTTTGTGTAGTGTGGTGCTAGCTCAGTGCTTCTTAAACCCTAATGTGCACAAAACTCATGTCTAGATATGAACTTCTAGATGTGACTCAAGGAATGACCAGGGGCCATCAGCTTTGGCATTACCTGGGAGCTTGCTAAAAATGCAGAATCCAAGGCCCTACCTCAGACCTACTGAATCAGCATCTGTACTTCAGCGAAATCCCCAGGGGGCTCATGTGCACCGTAAAGCTTGAGAAACATGTGGAGCTGGCTTCACAACTTTGTTTATTTCCATAGAAATCTGTGGTTGGTTTAAGGCTGTGTTCTCACCACCTTGAAATCCTTATTCATGCTTGAGCAAAATATTCTGTGTTCTTATTTTGCACTGGGCCCCATAAATGATATAAGTTGTCCTAGACACACTGCTCCATATTAGTGGTTTTGAAACATTAGTGTGTGTATGACCCAACTGAGATGTTGTTATAAATTCCCAAATATTCTGAATCAGTAGACTGGGGGTGAGACTAAGAATCTGTAATAAACCTCTCCTGTGATTCTAATATAAGTAGTCCATGAGCACTTTGAAAGGTAGTCCCCAGATCTTCTCCAAGCTAGGCCTTCACTCATTTCCATGCTGTATCAGGATGGTGCCAGAGAGAGCCCACCTCTCATCTGCATTGCCAGAAAATGCAATGAGCTGCAAAAAACTTGTTGGACACCTGTGCCAAGGTGTTTCTTTTTGGGCAGTATTTCCCACAAGAACTCTCAGCAAACTATCCCTGTGCACCTAAGTGATCCTTACATAATGTTGAGACATTTACATAAGCAAAGCAGAAAGGATGCACAGTACAGGATGTCTCATGGGGACAGGGGGTCTCCTGAAGAAGCAGGTGTGTATAGTAGCACTTGTTAGAATTTTTATGGTCACAAACCATTTTGAGAATCCAATAGAAGCCATCACCCATCCTCAATGAAAAATTCACCTTTGCACATTATGAGTCTCACATAGTACCAGGAATTAGAAGACTTGACTGAGAGGTCTGACTTCTATACTTCTAGCTCTCATTCCTTGGACAAGTCATCAGGCTATTCAGAACCCTAGTGTCCTGATCTTTAAAGCAGAGAATGGGTAAGAGTGTCAACCTCATAAATTTGTTGCAAAACATCAAAGGAGACATTGAGCTGTAAAAGTGCTTTGTACACTGCAAAATAATGTATACATTTGAGACATCATTATACATCCTATGCTACATTGTTATTTCCAGCATTATAGTCAGGATCAGGACACTGCTTGTAAATTTAGCCTAAGGCCATGGAACAGACTTGCTGTAGTAAGAGAGGGAAATGAATACAGACAGAAAGACATGATGAGGACTTGGCGAGAGTTGCTGGGAAATTTAAAAGTGTAGAAAAGAGAAGGGAGATTCCACAATTCAAGGACTCCAGATGCAAAAATAAAAGAAAGAAAATCTATTTTTATATGTGCAGACAGTTTTGAGATTTTGGAAAGTGGCTTTAGTCTAGCAGTTAACCGAACATTTCTGCCCCTGGGTATAATGAAGATGAATAGCAATAGTGGTGGTCTGTATTTAGTTTTGACTGCAGAAGCCTTCTGTGGGAATTTGCTATTCTGAGATGAGAGGAATGATGTTTAGTAGTTAAAAGCTGGGTCTCTGATCTAACACATAATTATTGTGTGACTTGGAGAACTAGTTTAGTTTAGTTTCTCTGCTCTTCTAGGCTTTTTCCAATAAAAGATTCTTCATAGGGTTATTATAAGTATTGAATGACTTAGTGCACCCTAAACAGCTAGACATAACTATGAAGGATTATCATCACCCAAATCCTTGAGCAAAGGGAGAACTGGTAGTATTCGAAGTATCCAGCCATCCTGGGCATGCAAGGTACCTCTAGGTTATAACTGAGATCGTATTTGAAGTGGTTCTGTGCTCAAGTGGTTTGAGAAGCTCCGAGCAACATTCTGAGGCTGTAATCCCATAAGACCTTTGCTGTGTTCCAGAAAAGTCCACCCCTGACAAATCAAAGGAAATGTATGTGTTGGGGGAAGGGAGAAAGACAAGATATTCTAGCCTTGCCATGAGGACCTCCCTCTGATGGCTGCTGTCGTCTCTCAGTCCCTTGACGTACCTGTCTGGTCTTCCCTTCAGGTGCACTATTGACAACCGGGTCACCCGGGTGGCCTGGCTAAACCGCAGCACCATCCTCTATGCTGGGAATGACAAGTGGTGCCTGGATCCTCGCGTGGTCCTTCTGAGCAACACCCAAACGCAGTACAGCATCGAGATCCAGAACGTGGATGTGTATGACGAGGGCCCTTACACCTGCTCGGTGCAGACAGACAACCACCCAAAGACCTCTAGGGTCCACCTCATTGTGCAAGGTAGGTGGGCGGGGCTTGGCGGGGAGATCTGGCTGGCCAGCCTGGAAAGCCTTCAGGTAAAGGTTTGTTCTCTGATCCTCAACAGAGATGAGTTATCCTTATTCTACGCATCTGGGGTCCAGGGCACATTTCTGGTTGTCATTTTGCAGTTAGAAGCTAAATTTTCCAGTCATTTTCATTGAGTGGAACTAGGAATTGTTTTTTTCATTTTTGTTCCAATAATATATTTTCTCAGGAAATTATCTTGTAATTATTGCTCTTCTTGGCTTTTTTCTCCCCTAAGTTTTAGTTATTTTTGTTTGTTTGTTTTTTGTTTTGTTTTGTTTTGTTTTTTAGATTTCATCCAATTCCAAGACTGTGTTATGTTTAAAACCAGACTTTTAATGCACTTTTGGAAGTACAGGTATGCCATGTCCCCCTCCAGCCTTGAACGAAAGCAGAGCCAACCAGGATGCACTGGGCACTGCCCTCAGCTGCATCCTTCACAAGCACCTGCTTGTTTCCAGCTCACTTGCGCCTCCTCTCCTCTCCCAGCCAGGGGTTTTGGATGCCATTTCTCCCATATAATACTGGTGTCTGATTCTCCCTGTTTTGATTCCATCCCAACTCTCCTGGCCTTCTTCTCCTCCCCTGACTCCTAGTTCATGAGGCCTTGTATGTTTGTGTGTGTGTGTGTGTGTGTGTGTGTGTGTGTGTGTGTGAGAGAGAGAGAGAGAGAGAGAGAGAATATGTGTGTTGGTTATGCTCTCTTAGACCCTGGGAATGGAGCTCACCTCTTCCCACAAGGCAGAACCAGTCCTGGGGCATTCAGACAACACTTAACCCGGTTGAAGGATTCCTAGTTAGTGAGCAAGAGCTGGCATCACACTTGGCCACTTTCTGGCTGTGAGACCTTAATCAAGTTATTACCGTGTCTCAGGGTTCTCTTTCTGTAAAGGGGGTCAACGTGAGGATTGAACTGTAAACGTACTGACATAGAAAACACGTAGAAGAGGGCGTGGCACATACAAGTGCTATTTCAGTGTTAGCTATGGAGCTTTCTTTTCTCTTTTTTAGGACTTTTGTAATTTTTAAAATTTTTGAGCATCTTTTACAGTGGGTCAAATATCTTATTTTGTGATGTCAGCAGTATAGCCCCTGAGCAGCGGCATGCCAGATCCAGTGCTGGAGCCCTTTCCCAGGCTGATCCCGAGGCCCTTTCAACCAGGGACGTGTAGCTCCAGGGTGACAAACTCCTCTCCTAGGGGCTCCTTCCACCAGTCCCCTTGTCGGTGTGTTCAAGAAAAGGGTAAAGAACTATGGGATGATTGGTTAGAGACAGAATAGGAAGGAAGGCAGCTTGAGAAGGAAGAACTGAAGTGAGCCGGAAGAAGGAAGGGGAGGCCTGCTGTTTGACAGTAGGGGAAGGCGGAACTTGGGTCGTGATCAGCACTGTTGAGTGAGGCAGGGTGAGCAGGACTGAGAGGAGGACACATGAGAACAAGGTGATGCTGGACCTGGCTGTGGGCAGAACGTATGCCAGGGGACATGGGAATCCTTGATGCTGTGGCCCAAGTTTGGTCATGCCAAGTTTTTATTATATTTTGCTTACTCTTTCTTCCCCAAAGGAAATTACAATGGCTGTTTAAAAAATGATTCTATAAATGAATACTTTTTGAACTGATGCATGCAAACAGCAATTTTAAAGAAAATAGAATTGCATAGAAGGTATCAGAGTGTATTACAAAGAGTGGAGTAGGTATTGCCATGTGAGATTTTTGTTTCAGTTTGTGTACATTTTTTAATGTAAAATACATTTTTTATTATGGATAGGGAGGCCAAAAATGCTTGAGAATCTCCACTCTGTGGGCAGGGCTGGTGAATGCCCTGGTGCCACCATCTGCATACTCTACCAGGTGGTGGTTTGGAAGCTATTGCTCAGCCCCCCTCCTGTCCTGCCCCAACCCCTGCACACTTAGTGTTGAGAAAAGAATGCCTAGCATTGACAATGAGAGACTGGGAACTAGGAACTATTAGAGATATTTGCTTTAGGAAGCAGGGCCTCATGGAACTGGAAAGTGGAAGGAATTGTGAAAAGTGCTAATGTCTCCTTGAAAACTGGATCATATTTTTGTCATTTTCTTTCTTCAGCCACCCCCACTCACACACACCCCCACACCCCTGCCCTGAACACCTCGCAGAATGCCTGATACAAAGTGAACATTTAATAAATGCTTATTGAAGCAAATGGCTAGAATTAGAGCCAGGTGATCTTATATGGGCTCCAAGAGAGACGGCTGGGTGTTTTTGGGGGTGAGATGATGGGAGGGGGTGAGAGGATGGAGTCTACATCAATCTTCACTCACATCCAAGCTAATGGAAAATGTCTAATCCCTTGCTAGGTGTTTACATCTGTGACTTAGCTAGGTGCCCTCTCGCATGACACACCACCTCAAGTATTGGAATCTCATCTTGGGCTAATTTTCGAATGCTGATGGGTGTATTGATCTGGAAACAAGCTGGGTTAAAAAAGGCATTGGTCTTTTACACAGACTCAGCCCAAGCTAATCCGCTGTCGATATGCCTGGACTGAGTATTATCGACACTTTAATGAATAGAGGACCATAGTTTTTTCAGAGCCAAACTGACCCCCTCTTCAAAGCGATCAGACAAACTAAATAGAGCCAGATTCTTGTGTTTCTGTATTGGAAAGAGGATGCACCACCATCCTGGATTACAAAAAAAAAAAAAAAGGGAAAGAAATATATTTATCTTGGGATCGTTTATTATACCAAACATAAACCCTAATTCCCCTAGCAGAAGCTGACTCTCTGGATTTGAAGTTGCTATTCAGCCCTGAGCTTCTGGAATAAAAGTTGGGCATATTAGGTTTTCAAAATGGTATTATGATCCTTTAAAAAAAGAAATAAAAACAGCAACAACAAAAAGGAACTAAATTGATATTCTGCCCATGAGTATGTGTATTTATGTATATGTAGTCACCTTCATATCTAAATAAATCCACACAGAAGGAAGGTAGTGGCATCTCACAGCATTGCACAAGCTGCTTCAGGTCTGGGGTATGTCTTTCCCCTTACTGTCAAATATCCCATCTACCCCCTAGTTCTCTGTACTGGATTTTCTTCCCCTGTGGTTCTGATCCAATATGGTTATTTCTTGCAGACAGCCGTGAGGCCAAGGCGACCACATGGAGCAAGTCTCTGGGGCAAGCTAGGAGCAAAGGGCATCCTGGGGGAGGAGGGTGACCCTGGAGCCAGTGTGGGAGGGAGATGGAGGGGGAAGGCGGCAGAAAGGAGGAGACAAGAGAACTGAGCCAAGTAGCTACTTGCCAGGGTGGCTATTTTAAATTAAATTTAAATTAGCTACAACCAAACAACATTTAAAATTTACTTCTTCAGTCACACTAGCCACACTGCAGTGCTTCCATAGTCATGCAAGACTACTGTTCCCTTGTGTTCATTTTGCATTACTATAAAGGAATGCCTGAGGCTGGTAATTCACACACATAAAAAAGAGGTTTATTTGGCTCATGGTTCTGCAGCCTGTACAAGCACAGCACCAACATTTGCATCTGGAGAGGGCCTCAGAATGCTTCTATTCGTGGCATGGCGTGAAGGGGACCCAGTATATGCAGAATTGCATGGTGAGAGAAAAAGCCAGAGACAGCAGGGACGGTGCCAGGCTCTTTTTTACCACCAGCTTTCGAGAAAGCTAATAGAGCAAGAACTCACTTGCCCCACCCCCTGCATTTATCTATTTATGCTCCATCCCCATGGCCAGACATCTCCCATTAGGCCCCCACCTCCAATTTTGGAATCAACTTTCCACATAAGATCTACGGGAACAAATACCCAAACTACTGCACTCCTGTGTTGGACAGTGCAGAGAGAGAACATTTGTGTGAACTTCCATTGTAAAAAGCTTTATTGGATAGTGCTATAAGGGGTTACCATTATGGATCAGCAGGTGTTAAAGCTAGAATGGCTTTCCATGGCTTGAAGGGCTAGGTATATTGTGGAAAGGAGAGTGGAATTTTGGAAAGAGAATGGAAATTTTAAATAGATGGTGCTCTTTTAAAAACAAGAGAGAATTGTTGAAAAAGATGGAGTAATGGATTTCCTAGGTTAGCTTCAATTGTTTAAAAAGATGGAGTAATGGAGTTCCTAGGTTAGCTTAGACAGAGAAGAGTCTGGAGTCCAAGGATGTACCTGCAGGAGAGTAGGCAGAGTTCGAGGGTTGGTTAAGTGTGAGCATGGGGGTGATGACTCCACCAGGACACTGAGATTTCTACCTGTGAGCTCAGGGGACATGAATACTAACATGTCTAAAGATCACATGGCAAAACTGATTCATCAGCAGAGGGGAATGAGTTCAGATACCTGGATTTCTTGACTTTGAGATGCCTTGAATACTTCCTTCAAATGTGAAATGTAAGAAATACCACCCGTGGATTTGCATGTCCTGAACATAATCTTTTTGTCCAGAATAGGGGAGATTCATCTAAAATTTATTAACATTTAGGTCTAATGATTTCCATCTCTTTGACCTTAGGGTTTTTTGCCTAATAAACATAATTAATAAGTGGTTCTCTCTGGAGTCTAGCAGAATATTTTATTCCTTTCACCCTCTTAATCCTGCTACCAAACCGAGCATATTGTACATCTGAAAAAGCCATACTACTGTCTCCATTGTTCCTTTGGACAAGGTTACATCTTGGAAAACAGAGTGGATAAAACATTCAGTGGGAATGAATTGTTTGGCAAGTTAAGGACAGCTTGAGAAGACGTCTAAAAGGCCCCGTCTGTGTTTCTAAGAACCCATGAATGGTGGTAGAGCAAAAGTGTGCCATGGTTGTGTGCAGAGTGTTAAGAAAGGTCCTCCTTATCCAAGTATGGAAAACTGACTTCTCCATTTTGACTGGTGTACCTGCAGGAATTCACTCTCACTTAGAGACACATTTGTATGACAGAGAACAGTAGAATACAGTGCTTATAAAAACAGGGATATTAGTGTAATAAAAAATGTTAAAAAAGCTTTTAGCCTCTTTGTCAGTTTTCCAGGCCCTAGCTAGGTTTCTCTTTTGTCACTGGAGTATCTAATCATCCCCTCCCTTTTGTTTGGTAAAATGAGTTTTCCTATTTCTTGCTGGGCAGAATTAATCTGAAAATCCCTGCTATTGTTTGATAGTTAATTACCTGCCTTTGGAGTCAAACAGCTCCGAAGCTCAGGTAAAGAAGGGAAACACAAATGTCTATGGAATAGGGCAGGAATGAGGGAAAGAAGCCAGGACATTCTGTTCACTTCGTGTGTTAAAGTAATTCCAGAGAGAAAGGGACTAGACTAGGGAGACACCCAGCCCAGGCAGTGACTTGCAAATAATGGAAGTATGGCCACATCAGCCCCTAATTTACCTTTGATTGTCTCCCTATTTCTGACTCTCTCTCTTACCCACTTGATATATACAACCGTGTTTCTTTCCAATCCTGAATAATTAGTTGACCTTGTCAAGCAAAAGCTCATTATTATGATTCAGAGAACAGGAACAATAACTTTTAATTTCTAGGTAGCTACACCCTAGAGACCCCTCCCCACTCTGAATCTGAACTGAAGGTAATTTGAAACACAAAATATCAAAGGAAATAATGTGACCTAATCCTTACTTTGAAAGCAAAGCTTTCTGCCTCTCCAGACATGTCACCCAGAAAGCACCATGCCCTTCTGGCAGGACAAGGCTCCCGGAGAGCTCTGCAGATCTTTGCACCAACACTTCCCATTCAAGCGAGTCAATGGTAGAGGAAAACATCATGATCCAATTCGAAATAGACTGAAGTCACCTTCTGAGAACATCTGTGTTCTCTAGATGTCAGTAGCCCTGTGTGACAGATAGTGGGGGCATACTGATCATCCCAAACTGCTTTCCAATGACCTCTCTTTTTCCTGTCCCATTCAAGAAATAGATGAAAATGTATATTTGGTCTGGTCATAAGACTGTGTGTCTAAATTTGATAGAACTTTGAAAAAGTCAGGAAATTAAATTCCACTATAAAATTGGAGCTCTCCTCAAAGCACCCCGGAGAATGACAAGGAAGTAGGGCATTTTACCTGCAATTGATGTACACTATCTAGACAGCATGCAGATGAGGCAACTCTGTTCTACCTGGTGAGTTTTAAAATTTCTTGAAGCAGTTGCTGACAACGGAGGGACAAAAATTGACAGAAAGGCTAGAGCACATTTCAGTAAACTCACCTGAGGTATCGTCTGTCTGCTAAGCCAAGTAGGGCAAAATGTAAAGACTAAAGTAATCTCAGAAAAATGCCAGAGGAAAAGTTATATTCATTGAATAATGGCATTTTCTTTTCCTTTTGGTATGGCTGGGAAGGGGTCCTCATGTTCTCTACAGAGTTTGGAAAACTTGGCGTCTTTTGCAGAAGAGTGGATAAAAATAGGGTCCCCTGTTCTAGCCTTTCACACCCACTCATAGAGAATGGAGCAGAAAGTTTAGATGACCCTTATGGCTTTACAGCAAGCACTTACAGAAGTCAGGCAACATCTCTCCAGGTAAGCAGTTAGGGCTCCCATGGGAAAGTCTGTAAGCAGCCACTGAGTTCTTACCCCTTAGGTGCTTTTCCACAGGGAGTCTTGGCTGCTTCTGAGCGGCCTCAGAGTCTAACACCATAGGATTGAGAAACATGGCTCTGATTCCTTCTGGATCTTGATTCTTTCTGCAGCTTCCAAGTGAGAAATGTCATTTATTTTGGGGAAAGGACAAACACCAGATCCTGAATAATCAGCTTTTTCAAGATGTATGCCTTTAGACTCCCATTCCCATATGAGAGTGCTGATTTATTCAAGCTGCACTTGAAGAAAATCTTCTTAATTAAGGGTTGGATGAGGTCTCTTTATGGTCTCATGACCCAACACTACAGATCTGTCTAATCCTATAATATATCCAAAATTTTCCTCATTACCGTATTCCTAATGGTTTCAGAAGGTCACCCATACAGAGTGTGTGATACAGCAATATCAAGAGCAGCTGACTTGGATGCCATCACTGTTAGGAGAAGATTCTTAGACACTCAAAAGACCCAAAGATTCTGGTTGTTCCTCTCTTCTTAATAAAATTAAAATGCGTAGCTTCTTAGGACATAGGGAGTAGTTGATGAGAAAGGTTTCCGTCCATCTGTTGTCAGATCGAAGACACTCTACTGACCCTGTTGAATTCCATTTAACAGTATTTTGAAGCCAGGTCCTGGGGACACAAAGATTCAGACAGAGCTCCTGCCCTGTCCAGCAGAGGAGACCACTATACTAACAAATATCTGTCTTATAAGGTAACAGGGATTAGGATGTTTGAGGGTATAAATGCTATGAATACATTGAAATGGAGTAATTGAATTTACCTGCAAGATTAGACAAAACTACAAAGTTATATTTCATGAGGGTCTTCAATGGGCAGTAGAGTTTTTTAGGGGATCTGAGAGGAAATGGCATCCCAAACAGGATCAATCATGTGTGCAAAGCTTGGAAGGCTGAACGTGTATGTTGTGTTGGACGAAGAGTGAGGACGCTAATATGGTCACAGGGCAGAGTTCCTGGGGTGAAATCACTCAATATATGGCTAGAAAGGTAGGCTGCATCTCAGTTTCAGGTGGAACCAGATAGGCTTCCAATAGGCTTATTTTTTTCTGGTTGTCCTGCTAGAATGCTACTTTCTTTCACAAGGAAGTGCACATTAGATTGTTTTGACAATGGACAAATACTCAAAAGATTATCAGTGGAAAAGAACATGACAAACACCTAAGTCAATAAATCTTGGGTAGAAAGGAGATATATTGGAAGGAAAGAATACATCCAATCCCAACTGGTTCTATGCTTCTTGCATGGTTAAGACACAAAGGGGAAAGATTGCCAAAGACTTTTCTACCAATACGTCAATTTTCAAAATCTCTCCAATGTATGTCTTACATTTGAATTTGTAATAATGATTCTTCTTCCATAGTATAGTAAGGTGCATCTCTTTGTGTCTTAGCAAATAGAGGGTGTGGTACTGGGTTTTGTGCTGTCATGGTGATGATCATGGCAGAGAGGGTGAGGATGCTGCCGAGGATGAATGACAGCTGCAAGAAGCAGTCCCCAGCCCTCAGGTCCTCAGCAGCCTCCTACCTGAGAGTCCTCATACAAATGAGAAGACTTCCTGTTTCTGATATCTCCAGGCTAATTTAGGCTTTGAGGTGTCACCACTTGGAGTGTATGTTAAGACATGTTCCTGTTGAATGTCGCCTGCAGTAAATAATTGTCTAACATTGGTATGAAATCTAATTGGCTTCCGCTAGAGCTTGGCTCAGCAGAGGAATTCACTCCTGGAGTTTTTGGAGCACCACACTTTCTTCATTTCATGTTATTTGAGAAAGAATTTATTGATGCAAAATCAGGGCAGTTTAATTTGGTGGCATGTTTTCTTTATGTCTCAATTATATATTCATGTCTTTGTGGTAAACTCAGCTGGTGGGGGGATTAAGAATTCAAAATAGAGGATTTTCACTTGGCAAGTAGTGCTTTCTACTGTGATTAATTGGGAGTCTGCACAATGAACCCGGTGTTGGCTCCGTTGGGGATTTAATAGCTTAGTAGAAAGAAGTAAATTTCAGGATTTAAGAGTTTTGGGTT
The DNA here is from genome assembly GCF_000001405.40 of Homo sapiens. Taxonomy (NCBI): domain Eukaryota; kingdom Metazoa; phylum Chordata; class Mammalia; order Primates; family Hominidae; genus Homo; species Homo sapiens. The sequence goes on from NC_000011.10 coordinate 132,155,183, forward strand.
ACAGTCTGAATTTTGATAATTACCTGGAAAAATGATCTCCTTGTTTTAGTTATTCCAGATTAGATATTCCCAATTAGATACCTTTTATAGAAGTGTTTTTGTGTCCCATAATTCGATTTGGAGAAGGGTGTCAAGTAGGTGCAGGGAAGCAGAAGAGCACCCCTCATTGTTGTGATCATCCAACAGCCCTAAAGACTTCCAGGTGCTTACATCCATTTGTCTTTTTCTGTCTTCTTTCTATGGATGCAATCCTCTAGATGGGGAATGCACACATGTCCTGCCGCTGATGTGGGTCCCTGTTCCCAGAAACCGGTCTGGGTCGCATCCCGTTTCTCCAGCCTCAGCCGCCTCCGCGGAGCTCTATTGCTCCTGGCTTTCTGGCCTTCTGACCTGGTGCTCTTCCTCAGCTCTCTTGCCACCATCTCCTGTGTTCTCACAGTTTTGTTTGGGCATGTTTTATGGTGTTCTTATCGTCCTAAAACCTGGATTTCACAGAGGGGACCTGTGTGCTAACACTGTTCCTCATTCTGAGGGCTAGGCTGGCCAAGCCATTTCTTCCTACTCTGAGAAAGAAAGATGAGAAATTTTGATTATTTTCCCTTTCACACATAAACCATCATGTGTCAAGTCCTGAAATTGAGGTTGGAATGGATACAAAGATGGATGAGATGGGTCCCTACAATGGGGATGTGCAAAGGAGTGGGGTGCAGGTAGGGTGTGTAAGGGCAGCAGCTCTCACAGCCACTGGAGAGTCCCTGGGCTGAGAGCGATGGCTGCAAGCTTGGGAGCCAGGCTTTGCTGTTGCAGAAGGCCAAGAAAATAATAAAGTCTTTTGAAATTGAGTAATGTGGCGTTTCAGCTCCCGACTGTTAGAATGAAAATAGCGATTCTGCCACACCCACTTTGCACCCCTCACCCCTCATTTCTGCACTTGTAGCCTGAGTGATCTTTTCAAACCAAATCTGGAGGTTCCTCAAAGACTTCTCTTTAGCCCAAGAGAGCCAATTCCTTATGAAGGAGTTGATAGTCCTGGAGGCCAGGCTCCAGGGGACCTCTGCTCCTGGTTCATGCCATGTCCTGCCTCACTATTTTCATTCTAGTGTATTTTTTCTTGTTATTTCTGGTCATAGGCCCTTTGAACGTTCCCTTCCCTCTTCCTGGAATTCTCTTTTGCTTTTCACCCAGTCGGTCCTATTTATCCTTCAGACTTTGACTCAAATGCCATTTCCATAGAGAACTTTCCCAGACCTGCTAACCACTGCCACTCCCACCTCTGCCAGGAGCTAGAGCCTTGCCCTTCTTCCTGCTTTTTGCCACAGTTAAAATGTGGCATTTGTCTGTGTGATTGGTTGATTATGTCATTTTTTCTGAGGTCAGGGGGCCCGTATGCTTGTGCATTCTATCCCCAGTGCCTGGAATTTAATAGAGCTCAGGGACTATTTGTTGGATAATCTATCTGTAAAGTTTCTTTTTTATTGTATTATAATTATTAAACAAAATGATTCATTTTTTTTTCATTACTAGTTGTAGTAGGCTGAATAATGTCCAAACAAAGATCAGATTCTAATCCCTGGAACCCAAAAATATACTTTGCATGGTAGAGTCTTTACAGATGAGATTAGTTTAAAGATTTGAGATAGGGAAATTGTCCTGGGCCCTAAATGCAATCACATAAATCTTTACAAAAGGGAGGCAGAGGAAGATTTGATAGGAACACACACAGAGGAGAAGGCAGTGTAAAGACGGGAGCAGAGGGATATGAAGATGCTGACCCTCAGGGTTACAGTGATGTGGCCACAAGCCAAAGAATGCCCATAGCCAGCGGAAGCTGGGAGCACCAAAGACCAGATATCTTTTGAGAGCCTCTGGAGGAATCACAGCCTTCCTGATACCCTGATTTCAGCCTAGTGAGAGTCATTTTTGGACGTCTCACCTCCAGAATCATCAAAGAATCAATTTCTCTTGTTTGTTAAGCCACTAAATATATGGAAATGTGTTATAGAAAAAGGAAACAAATACACTGACCTTCAATGTTTTGAATCCTTAATGGATGGAAATAGGAAAAACAAAAATTGATATTTGAAATCTGCCCCAAATTTAGTCTTTGTCACTGTGAGAGATGAAGTAACACTCATCTTTTTCATTATTTCTTTTTAAAAAAAATCTCTTTGGAGATGCACCCTTGTCATGTAAATGCAATGAGGCATCAGCTTTTTGTCCTTGGGGTATCTACAGGAGCAGATGGAGTCATCCACATTTCAAAACTAAGATGATACTTTTTGATGTTGAAAATTTCTGTCCCAGGGGCCCTAGGGTATGGAAGCAGGGAGGGAAAGACACCTCTGCCAAATATGGTTTTAATGAGAGGAAACCATTGATGTCGCCTAGCATTAAGCTGTGAGATTTGGTTTGTGAATGTGGGACCAGAGTTGAAGATTAAAATCGCTAAACATTCTCTTGTTAACTGGGAGAGGGACCTCGTATTTGTGTTTTTTCTCCACTATGTGTCTCATAGGCATCTCAAACTGAAAATGTAAAACATAGATCTCTTGAATTCTAGCCTTCTTTCCTGACCATCCTCTGACTCCAACCCTAAACCTGCTCCTCCTGGAGTCTTGCCATCTGGTAAATGGCAATTGCATTCTTCTAGTGGCTCATGTGAAAGCTGCAGTCCGTCTTCACTGTTTTCCTTTTCCCGTCCTCTTCCTCAATCCTGAGCACGTCCTGCTAGATTTTCTGAATTCGGAGGTTTATCCAGTCCTGCCTCTTCTGCCCTCTCCCAAGCTGCTGTTACCTTTGTCTGGAGTGTTCCACAGCTTTCTACCTAACTGGCCTGCTTTTTTTGTTCTTATTCCCTATCGTCTGTTCTCCATGCTCAGCGAAAGCATTTCTGTGCAGGCTTCGTTGTTCCTGATTTAGTCGCTTCCTGGCTCACCTAAGGTCTTTAACATCCCTACTGTGGCCTAAAAGGTCTTCCTTGGTCCGGCCACCAGTGTCTCCCTGGCTTCACCTCCACACACACTCCCTTTTCCTTACCCTGTCTCCACTACTTCCTGATATGCCTGTGATACACCAAGGTGGCCTCCTGGCTTCCAGGCCTTAAAGCTCCCTCTGCTGGTGCCCATGCCAGGTGTCCTTGGGGCTCTCTTCTTAGATCTCTGTTCAAGGTCACCTTAAGGCAGAGGCCTTCTTCACCACCTGCATAAAATAGAGCTTCCAACCCCACATCATCACACCCTAGCACCTTTCTTGCCTTGTTTGTTCTTTATAAAGTAACTCACCTATTGGCATAATGGATATTTCCGTGTTGGAGAGTGGTAGCCTGTTTCAACCCCTCTAGAACATGTGTGCCATGATGGTGGGGCTTGATCTGGCATGTTCATTGTTGTTTCCCAAGTGCCTAGAACAGGGTCTGGTGCATAGTAGGCACTCTGTAAGCATTTGTCAAATAAATGAATGAATGAAAACAAAGGCCTACCGTTAAGTGGACTTGATCATATTTTCTCAGTGTTTGCTCTCTCTTTGGTCAGGCGTGAGAGCATGAACTTCTCTGTTACTTCTATCAAAATGTTTTGGTCCCTCTAGTCTCAGACCAGGTGACATTCAGCTGAGTTTTGCAGTGTGCATTTTCTTAGCAAGGTAAAGAATTGAACCAGATTGAAGGAACAAATCACACAGCAGGAAGGACTCTGAGAGACCAAAGATGAGTCACTCCAGGTCACTGCCTGGAAAGAAAACAGGAATGATAGAGGCGCACCACAGCCTGGATAGCAGGAGAGGGCCAGATCTCTGCCACCCCCAGGGTGTGGGTTTCACTGTGGAGGGGATGGGGAATTATAGGAAGGGTTGAACAGGGAAATTAAATTAGTTGTATTTCAGAAAGATCTCTGGCATCAGAATGAAGGGTGGATTGGAGGGGAGTTTTGCAGCAGGGAGACTGAGAGAGAATGAAAACAAGGCTGAGATTGTATTATCCTGTGTTCCTGACCAGGAGACCCCCCTCTCTCCTTGAGGGGCTGGACAAACAGGGCTTTAGAGCAGCCGATCCATGGCCAGAGGGCACATATACAGGAAGAGTGGAAGGGGTCCCGTGGCCACATGGTTCCAGTTTTCCTGGATGATCCTATTCCTAAGAGACGCGTTTATTCTCCATGTGTGGTTGCTAAGGGAGTAAGTCAATGGAATTTAAAGTTGACACCTTTGTAAAAGTTTCAAGTTTATATATTTACAAATAAGGGAAAAAATGTGCCAGACTTTGTTTCTGTTTGGAATTCTGGGAATATCGCCTTTGGATTATGGACCTGAAATCATGTCACCAACAGGAGATGCAGTTTGTGTGAACAAAGGGTAAAGCTTGAAATAAGATAGGATAAGACAGGATAAAGAACCAGGAGAGCTTTTTAAATAGGAGAAGCTATTTGAAAGCAGAAAGGAGAACAGGTTCAGAGGATACCAAAACCGGAGTTATCACAGAATGTTTGTCTGACCACTCATTCCTGCTGCCTGCCTTGGAATCTCTGGAGGAACTTCCCAGAAAAAAAAGAAGAGTGGAGACCACTCCACAGACCCACCGAACCTGAAGAGCCTAGGTGCAGGCGTGGGTGTGGGGGTAGAACTGGGAATCACAGGCTGGAGCCCAGCGAGCTAAGGCCCGAGGCAGCTGAAGGTCAAATTGGGAACATTTCTTACATCAAATCCTAAATGAGGTTCATGCTGATTAGTAGGAACTGTGTCAAATAGGTGAGCAGGCCTGTTCTGGGTTTCTAATTACGGTGTGGCTTTCATCTCCCTGAGCTTGTTGCTGCACTGTTGTTCAAATGAAAAATGGGAAACAGACATGAAAAAGAGCTGCTCCCCTAAGTGGGTCAGTGCAGGCTTCTTCCACCTTCTCCCACCTTGTTTTTCTAAAGAGTTACCTGGCTTTGTTCCCTCACTGATACTCACTGAGGCATGGCAGCCATTCCTTTGCCCTCTTTGGACAGGGCAGCATGCTGCCCATTTGGGACTGGCAGTAGAATAGTCAAGAAATTCTTTTTACCTTTTTCTGGCATTCATATGGCAAATGAATTTTTCGTGCAAAAAAGCTTCCTGTGATTGAGTCGGTCTGGTAGCACAGGTGACAGCTAATGCACCAGGAAGTGCCCTCAAGGGTCAGCCTTGGCCACAGCACTGCATGAAGCTCACGGTCTGGTGGGGAAGGGGAGCTGAAGCAGGCCCTTCACCCCTCTCCTACCAACACATGAAATGCCTGCCTCATCTTTCAGCCCAGGACCTGGTTGAAGAAAGATGCATATATAGCAATCATCTTTTCTTCCTTCCTTCACCCATCAAATATTCCATGAACATCTACTATGAGCCAGGCATCACGCTACACTCACGGTAGAGCACGAATGCCCTAGTTACCCCCAAAGAAATAATATGTGGGCGGGTGACTGGAGAAGTCAGTAACTCCTTTTAACATAGGGAGAGAGCTGGGCTGAATACCAGGGGCTATGCCAGCAGCCAGGGGAGGCCCCTGAAGAAGCCCAGGGACTTTGGACATGAAGTTTTGCCCAGCTGAGAGCTGAGGAGGATTAGCTGGGTAGCATCAGGAAGGTGAAACCTTCTGGACAAAAAATGACAAGTGCAGGATGGGGCACCGCTGAGGGCAGGGTCCCTGTAGAGAAGGAAAAAGCATCCCCCGCAGGCAGTGAGAGAAGGAGGAGGGTGAGAGGAGAGACCCGAGAGGGGAGCCACGGCAGATGGCCCAGGGCCTGGAAAGCCCTGCCGGTGACTTCGGGATATTTCTTAAGGGCAGAAGGAGCCAAGTTAGGGGAGAGCAGACCCAATTCAGGAGAATTCCTCACTTGGTTTCAGTTTTGACAAGAGGGTATCTGGGAGCAATGCAGAGACCAAAGGACCTCCATGGTTCACAGCTTTGTGGGATCCCCCCTTCCTTCTTGCCTGGCCAGGGCTCCTCAGCGGAGGTGAGGAGGAGTTGAGCTCCTGGTTTCATACTATTTGTGCTCCTCCAGTGAGGCTTCATTTGTCCATGGATTCTCCCCCACTGGAGTGAGTGCAGCACCCTGTTTAGAAGATCGGCAGAATCAGCAGATGGACACCCTTCTTCCTTTCCATAGACAGTTCTCTTCTTTGCTATTTTCCACCTAGCTCTTGGAGGCTGTTTCTCATTTGGTCTTTCGAGCAGCTTTTTTTTTTTTTTTTTTTTTTTTTCCCCACAAAATGTTCTTTTTGTCATCTTCTGCCTGTCACCGTTTTTCATCCTTTTTTTCCTGTTCTTTTTCATGGTGTCCTATTTCACTCTCTTAGGCACGCTCTATCTGATACTCCCGTTCTCTCACGCATCGCCAACCCCGTTTTTCATGTTGACCTTCGATTCCGGGCACTGTGCACCCGGGCTCATGCGTCCTCCAATTTCACATTTCCCACAGTCTTCCTCCCCCCAACTTTCTTTGCTTCCTCTCCTCTTCCCCTGGCGCCCCCTTGCCAGTTGCCATCCCTCTGTTTCACCCAGTGTCCGCTTTCTTCCCCGTGCGCAGCCCTGTGCACCCAGACTGCGATTCCCTCCTCCCGCAGCTGCGCCATCCCCGGACCCTTCCTGCTGGGCTGCTTCTCCACGGAAGGTCCCCATGGGTTTCGCCTCCAACACTCAGAGCCCACATGGCCGTTGTAGAGAGGATAAGATAATCAGATGCACCTTTTTAATTATTTATTTTTCATTTCACTTAATAAGCACATCTTGAAATTGAGCTGCAGTTTCACTCGTAATAGATCATTTCCCTTAGGGAACCCACATCCAACCCCGGTTGAAATTCTCTCCGTGCGCAGTGCAGGGAAGGAAGACACTAGGTTTCAGGTGTCTTTCTTGAGATCCAAACATGTTACGTCCTAATGTAAAGTGCGTGGGTCTGGGAGTGTGTGTTTGTGAGAGGAGTGTGTAAGTGTGCATACTTTGTCCCTTCTGTAATGTGCTTGGGTATAGTAGGGTATTTGTGTTTTGGGGGGAGTGTGTATGTGGGGGAAGATGTGTATGTGTTTGTGTGTTTATGGGGAGTGTGTATGTGAGTGTGTTTATGTTTGTGTAGGGAGTGTGTATGTAAGTGCTTGTGTATGTGTGAAGAGCGTGTATGTGGGTGGAGTGTTGATGTGATTGTGTGTGTGTTTGTGGGGCATGTGGGGGGGACTGCGTGAGTGTGTGTATGTGTTTGTGGGTCATGTGTGTATTTGTGGGACATGTGTTAATGTATGTTTTTGTGTAGAGCATGTGTGTGAGTGCTTGTGTATGTTTGTGTGGGAAGTGTGGATGGGGGGAGTGTGGATGTGTGAGTGTGTGTGTTTGTGGGGGGAGTGTGGATGTGAGTGCTTCTGTGCGTGAGGAGTGTGGATGTGATCGTGTGTGTGTGTGTGTTTGTGGGGCATGTGTGGGGGACATGTGTGAGTGTGTGTATGTGTGTGGGGCATGTGTGTGTTTGTGGGGCTTGTGTGAGTGTGTGTGTGTTTGTGTAGGGAATGTGTATGTGATCTTGTGTGTGTGTGTTTGTGGAGCATGTGTGAGTGTGTGTATGTGTTTGTGTGGGACATGTGTGTGTTTGTGGGACCTGTGTGTGTGTGTGTGTTTGTATAGGGAGTGTGTATGTGATCTTGTGTGTGTGTTTGTGGAGCATGTGTGAGTGCTTGGTGGGGGAGGAGGTTTCTATCTGTCTATGAGTGATAGGCGTGATGGACATGTAACACTTAGCCCAAGTGAATGTGAAGACCACAGAGGGAAAAGGGAAGAGCAGCTACTCAAAGGGGCTGATGATTTACCTAACTCTCCCCTGGTCCACCCCAAGAGAAGGATCGGTTGTGAAAGTTCCAATTACTAGAAGTGTGATGGCCACTCCACCAGCCACCTGGAGCCCAGTGGAAGGAGCGTCTGCAGAGAGGCCCTGCCTGCCATTTGTTCTGGCCCAGCCACGGGCAAGCATCTCAGGAAAAAGGGATTTCCTGGAACAGTGCAGCAGCAACAGGACTGAATTGTGGGTTGAGTCCCGAGGATCTCCTCTGGCTCCTCTAGGCCCAGAGGCCTCTTCTGCTCCAGGCTGGGGTCCTTTCCTAGGGCACAATGACTCGGGTGCCCCTAGCTAGTCTAGTCATGGAAGATTGTAAATATAGCTTCTCATGTCGTCGAACTTTTAGAGGCAACTGTAGGAAAACAGTAGCAGGCAGGTTTCATCATGCAATGATAATGCTATTTTTATGTATAGCTTATTGAAACCTGATTATGTGGCAGCCAAGAACTAGATGAAGCTCATTATGCACACTGTGTCATTTAATGTTCAAACAGCCCTGTGCGATAGATGCTGTCATTTCCCTTCCTTTAGAAATGAGGAGACCAACTAACCCAAGGAAGGTTGCACATTGGTAAGTGGCAGAGCCAGAGTTTGAATTCAGAAAGTCTGACTCTTCACAGCCTCCCTCAAACACTAAGCTTCCCCTTATGAGCAAAGGATCAGGTTAACCTGACTCAAAGGACTGTATCCCAATTGCCAGCACAGGCATGGGCTCAAGTTGTTGTAGAGACAGAAGCCTCCTTGGAGGCCACCTAGCCAGTGATTCTCAGCTCTGCTGCGCATTGAGATACTTGGGGTATTGTTAGGCAATACCAACGTTGAGGTCCTCCTCAGAAATTCTGACTCAGTTTACTGGGGGTAAGCCCATGGTGTCTTTGTTTTTTTTTTTATTTTTACTCCTGGATGTTTCTGTTGTTTACCCATGTTGAGAACCACTGTCCTAATTTACAGATGGGAAAACATGAAACTGAAGAGGTTAGCTGGCTTATCCAAGGTCATGCCGCTGGTTAAGCACAGTAGCAAGGACTAACCCAGATCTCCCATCTCTCTTCCAGGGCGCTTTCTCTTGCCCCTTGATGAAAGACAAATCTTTCCTTATGTGTGTGAGGGAACAAAATACAATATGGTGGGTAAGAGTTTGGACTGAGACACCAAATGGGTTGGAAAAATCGCTGTGTAATCTTGGGTTTTATGTGTTCTCTGGCTTTGTTTGTTGTTGTTGTTGTTGTTGTTTTCCATCTGTAAAATGAGGAAATAATAAATCCTGTCTGGCGGGATTCTTGTTAGGTGATAACATGAGATGATACCATTAAAAAGTGCCATAATCTAGCTCAGCATATGGTCATTGTTTTTGCTGTGTGGAAAGGACCATCCATTAGACATCAGCCTCACTGGGCATTCTCATGAGCTCAGATGGCAATAGTCAGTAACATCAACTTTGCGTTTTCAAAAGTAGCACACAATTAAAGAATACATTTCTTTATTTGACTATGAACTCATTAAGGATGATGTGTGCTATGTAAATGCACTCTGCACAAGTTGACGTCACCTGTGGAACCTCGGTGACGATGGCTGATGGAATGTCTGGCCATTGGTTTGGCTGAGGTAGAACCAGCATCTAAATCTACTGTTGCCATGTTGTCCTTCTAACTTGTTGTCACAAATGGGGACACTTGCTGTTCTTCCACAAGTTCTTCTCAATCTCATCACTAAGACAGATGTGAAGACATTCATAATGCTGATCACGGGTACATCTCTGACCCTGTGAACTCCCGAGGCCTGTTTTCCATGGGATGATTTACATCAGGAGACACGATTGTCTCCATCACTGGTTTCAATACCATCCAACAAAGATGCCATGGAGATTGGAGCTTACTCCCTAAGGACATTGTCTCTCAGCTCATGCAAACGCTACTCTTCCTGAGTTTCCCCTTGCCTCCCTGGACTCTGTCTAGACGGCTGTTTTATTCTCAGCTCCCCCTCCCCTGTTGGCCTACACATAGTCTTCTGTTCTTCTCACTTAGGCTACATGCTGTCCAGTGACCCACCCAGGCCTGGGGCTTTACCTGCAGTGCTTTCACCCATGATAGTGATATCTTTATATCCAACACCGGCAAAGCTATGTTTGTGGGAACCTAATGGAATCTCCTCTCAAAAGTGGCACAATGTATTCAAAATTAAACAAATCATCTTGCCCCACCTCCCTTACCACCCCAAATTCCTCTTGCTTCTGTATCAGCAGTCTTGGAGTGGTAAAACCCAATTCTCAAGATAGATAGAGGACTAGAGATCGTCCTTGATTTATTTCTTTCTGTAGCACTCCTCATTCAGTCATCTGTTCCTATAGATGCCCGTCACTCACGATTCCCCATCTTTGCTGTCATGGCCTTGCTTCAGCCATTTATCCCATTTACCTAACTTATTGCCTTCCTACAGCCTGTGTCCTCCACTGTGCATCCTGTGTCACATGGTCACAGTAAAATAAGAGCAAACATTTATTGGGTCCTTTCCATGTGACAGGTACTAGGCTTAACTTACAGAATCTCATTTAAATCTCCCAACAATCTTAGGTAGTAGATATGAGTGTGATATGAACAATTTTAGGTGAGGAAACTGAGGCTCAGGGGGGGTTTAGTCTTGCTGAAGATCATCCAAATAAAAGATGGGGCTTGAACCCTTATCTACTATTGGAAGAAGCCCGACTGTGGGGCTGTTCCATCCCTAAGAGGCTGAGCTCTCTCTGCTTTCTCAAAAGCATCCCTCTGCTAAGTGCTGCTTCTTGCAGAGGTCTTCTTCTTTTATTTCTTTTTGGGCTCTCCTGTTTCCTTGGAAATGTTGATTTCATTGCATTTTCCTAATATTTCATGCTTTAATTTAATTTATTTGATACTACTGTACAGTGCCTTGAGCACCTCAGAGGAAGTGAGAGTTTTATAAATAAAATAATTATTACAGCTTGCTCTGATGGCAGCCCCTGAGCTATTTAGTAGATATATCAATTACTCTCAGTGTTGAAAATTTTCACCTAAAGCTCTTTATGGCCCAAGTTTTCCTTGGCTTTTAATGCTCTATCCTGCTTGTTGTAGTTTTGACACAATCATGTAGCACTTTTCTTTACTATCCCCATCAGAAGTGAACAGACAGCAGCTCAGCAAAAGTGCCATATAATGTATTCTAGAGAACATGACCTAGTTTTCTTAACCTTTTTGAATCACTTAGTTCCAGGTGTCATTTACTAGACCTATAATGTCAGTTTTGCAATGAGTCAACCCGCCTTGCCCACCTCATGGTCTCTATTAGTGAGACCTCATTATCTATTAGTCTGTTGCAGAAACCTCACCCACGATAATCTAGAGATGGGTATGAATTAACCACAACACTGTTTGGCACCCAGGATTTCAGGATTCTAAACTACAAGGCTTATGCAGACAAAATGTTTGTCAAAATCTTGAAAGGAAGTGAAGCCCCAACACATGGAGGAGGGTGAGTGGATTAGAGAGTGCAGTGTAGAGAACTCTCTAATGAAATTCAGTTTTCCTGCAGCTCAGAATGCTATGCAATCCACATAGTAATTAGAGAGAACTGAGGTAATTTTGCATTCCTGGACCCAGTATTCTCAAGATGCATTAATCAGTCAGTGGCAATTTGCATTCCTACTAAGTGCAAGCCACTGTTCAATATGCTGCTTTTGCTAAATTAGCACATTCCTCCACAGTTCCTCCTTTCACGATGAGTGAGTCTGGCACATGTCATAAGATTCCACCTCTCAGGAATACACCTGAATGTGGCACTGACCATCATTCCTAGCATTATGGCTACTTTCTGGATCCTGCCTGCCTCACAATCTCATAGCACTTCACTAGCAAGAGATGTGAGAGGACCGTTGTCATCTGTTTAGTGTTTTAGAGGCATGTTGAAGAATTCAGAGGATAAACCAATGGTCAAGCTAAGATTTCTCCCTGGACATCTCCCACTCATGCAGTTAGACCTGACTTTCCTCCTCTCACTTCCATCATGGCATATTTTTTTATTCTACTTAAAAAAGATACACTTTATTCTATCCTATTTTACTCTGTTCTATCTTATTCATTCATTCAATAAAAATGAGCTTAGCGCTTGCTGTATGCCAGTTATATGACTGGCATGTACAATGATGAGCAAAATTGACATTGTTCTTTATTTTTTGGAGTTTGAGTTCTTCTCTTCCTTTTGTTTTTAAACATTTTTTATTTGTTTTGTAGAGATGGGATCTTGTTAGGTTGCCCAGGCTGGTCTTCAACTCCTCAAGTGATTCTCCTGTCTCAGCTTCCTGAGGTGCTGGGATTACAGGTGTGAGCCACCATGCCAAGTCTTCTCTTCCTCTCATCTTGACTTGCCTCCCTCTCAAAATTCTACTCTTTGTAATCTGTAGTTGTATTAAGGATTTCTAAAGAAGTTTCCTCATTAACCAGAAACAATACACTGTGCTGTCTCCATTTTGTGTTTTTTAGCAAACAAATGGGAGTAGCCAATCTGTCCATTATAAATGAGTTCATTCCCATTCAAGCAATGGCTGTCATGTATCTTGCCTGAGGCTTCTTATGTTATGAGCAACATATTGGCTTCAGTTGTCTGTACTTTTTCCTAGCTGCACAGAGATCCTTAGATGAAGGGAAGGCACAATAACTCAAAATAATGTATTGTATTATACATAGTAGTCATTCATAGTTCCAATGACAGGAAACACAATGAGCTTGTTCAAGGTGGATATGTGTAACCCTCTCACCAGGCCAGGTAGAGGTTGTTAGATGTCTAACAACTATTCTTCCCCCTAGCCAAATACGAATCTGAAACAAACTATGACCCAGATATCCAGACCAGAAAGAAACAGATAGGATGAAGCCTGTTTTGCCCACAACGGGAAGAATCACTTCCGATGAAAAACGACTAACTGGAAATACTTCAAATTGCTGTAGAGAGTGCAGTGTGGAGAACTATCTAATGAAATTCCGTTTTCCTGCAGCTCAAAAATGTTTTGCGATCCACATAGGAATCAGAGGACCCAGGTAATTTTGCATTCCTGGACCCAGTATTCACAAGATACATTAATCAGTTGGTGGCAATTGGCATTCCTACTAAGTGCAAGCCACTGTTCAAGATACTGCTTGTACTAAATATGTCTATTGCACTGCACTTCATCTGATGATGGGTGAGGCCCAAGCAACTCATCAGATACTACCTCTCAGAAATACATCTAAAGAGGGCAAATCCTAGGCCCATTCTTTTCCTCTCATTTCTCCAAATAGCTTGTGAGCCCAGTTGACCTTGCCTGGATCAGGACAATCCTGGGTTGCTGGTTAAAGGTTGACTTGGTCCATTTGCCTCTACTCTATGAGGTATCTCATATCACTTTCATTGTAATTCTGTGGTAGCCCTTTAATAAAAATGGCCAGCAAGCCCACAAGATAACAGAATAGGAATCAATGAGACCTGCAATTGTCTGCATGCCAGATTCTCCTGTCAGCCTGGCCTCCAATCCATCCTGCCAACTCAACCTCCTCTGGGACTGAGACGTTTGAAAACAGTGCAGCAGCCTCATCTCCTGGGCAGTGTTTTTCTCCATCATTTGCTTTATTAAATATTGATTTTCTGTTGCATTATTAAACCTTAAGTCCAGAGCATAAATTCTGGGCTGATACTTTAATCTGACTCTTCTCATTTTTTTGGCTTTTAGAACTGATTTTCAGGCCAGCTCTCCTGGGGAATCTTTAAGTCAACTTAGGGCCAGAGACAAACCTGCCTGTAGGAAAGGGAGGAGCCCGGAGTTGAGAAGGAGCTTGCCTTGCCAGTGCACTATAAATAAGGCTGTGGCTCTGTCAAGCAGATCTTCACTTTACACATGTCTTAGACACAGAGGCTTATGCTCCCTGGGATTCAGGTTGTAGTGCAAGGAAGGACTTTTAGATTCCCACCACCAAAACTATCGAGTAGGCAAATGGTATGCAGAACTGATTTTAGAGCTCTCTAGATATTATCAAACTCATTATCCATCCACCCCCTCCTTCTTTTGGTTTCTAATATTCCTAGGATTTGAGTCAAAGGTTATAATCACACAGGCATTTGGATTTCCACTCACTTTGGGCCTCTGGTTCATTCTTGTTTTCTCTTACTGTCTCTTCTCTCTAAGGGCCAATGGTTGAGTAATCAGCTGTAGCCATCCATTATAGGATGGAGCCATCACACACTTTATGAAAGTCTTTCTGAGAGAGGCAGGCATTCTCAACCAGTCATATTAGCCAGAGTGATATCTAGGTTTAATTTTTTTACTTTTTTTTTTTTTTTTTTTTTTTTTTTTTTTTGGAGATGGAGTCTCACTCTGTCACCCAGGCTGGAGTGCAGTGGCGGGATCTCAGCTCACTGCAACTTCTGCCTCCTGGGTTCAATCAATTCTCCTGCCTCAGCCTCCTGTGTAGCTGGGACTACAGGTGCCCACCTCCACGCCTGGCTAAGTTTTTGTGTTTTTAGTAGAGATGGAGTTTCACTGTGTTAGCCAGGATGGTCTTGATCCCTGAGCTCATGATCTGCCCTCCTTGGCCTCCCAAAGTGCTGGGATTACAGGCGTGAACCACTGTGCCGGGCCAATTTTTTACTTCTTGAATACTTCTTAGACTGGCAGTATCATTGACTGAGGCTAGGGTTGGTGATTTTAAAGATAAGAAGCAGAATACTGACAGACAAGCATGAGAAAAGAAATGCAAGTCAACATGTATGGAGCTTCTCTGGCAGGACTGGGGTATGTTGCTGTCTACATGGATGTTTGCAGAGAGCTGTGCCTATCTCCCTGTCTGACTTCTGTTCATCCCATCTTTCTATTCAGTTCACCCCATCTTTCTCCTCAGTTATCCCACCTTTGTCTTTTAGGTCCTGCATCTCCAGAAATCTAGTGTTAGGAAGTTATTCCAGGACCTAGCAGAGCCTCTGTTTAGGAAAAGAGTGAATTTGATTCGCTCTTCACTCTGGGATGGAGAGGGAACACAGGTAGCTCATGGGGCTACAGAAACCAGCAACTACAAACCTTCAGATGCTGTGAGCCAAGTGCTGACTGAGCCGGGATAGCCACATCAGGTGCTGTTGAAAATGATTCTTGGGGAATATTTGATAGAAACAATGTGAAGATCAGGGTGGAAGAAACTGTGTCCTTCATTTTCACCAATACTCTTCATGTCACCAATAACCATAGGCCTCTAAAGAATAATACATGTTCTCTTTAAGGTCATGGGGATTCCAGATCATAGATCTTCCTCCAATTCCATTTCCAAAGCCTGAATTCCCTCTACAATAGGTATACAGCTAGGGAGTATCTACCATTTATTTGAACACTGTCAGTGATGAGCAACTAACTACCTATTCATCTAGGTCTTACTTCCTTTAGAAAAGCTCTATTAGATCCACATATACACCTCTCTCCCTCTAATATCTACCTCTTGGTTACTTCTTTATAACCACATAGGATAAGCTGAATCTTTTGTAATGATAAAAAAAGTCCTTGGCATTTAATTAAGAGCTATGAATTTTGAATCTTACTGTCTATGTAAATGTCTACAAGTTATAGGTCAAAATGGCTGAATATTGGCAGTTGCATATGTTTCAATCTAATATTTAATTTCTCAGAGCTCCAGCTTTCTCATTTATAAAGAACTTGAATATAACCACTCATCAGTTTATTGTGAGGGGGAATTGAAATTAGGTGGGATACCTAGCATTGGAAAGCATTCAATTTAAAAAAAATAAATAAATTTAACAACTATTTACTAAACGCTTATTCTGTGTCAGGCACCGTGGCAAGTGTTGGGAATAGGAAAATGAGTGATAAATGGTCCTTGACCTCATGATGGGGATTGCGGTATTTGAGGATGCCTATTGTAGTCCTTAAGTCTTCCCTTCTTCTGCTAACTAAATAGAGCAAGTATCACCTGCATTTGTCTTTGTACTCAGCTCATTAAATTGTAGTTATCTCTTCACCCAAAAGTTATACATTTTGGGGTGCAAGAATCGTTCACTAAATGTCACATGTTTTTCTCCATAAATTCTGGTTGTTGGACCTGTTTGTAGTTCTTCATCTTTCCTTGTCTGAAAGATTCTGGTGTCTTCACTTATCTCTTCAGATGTTAGCTGACTTTTCCCCAGGGCAGCACAAGCTCACCGAGGTCAAACAAGCATGAGCATGCTGACTTCCATTCAGTCACCTCTGCACGTCCTGCCGCTGATCCTTTATCTCCTGTCTTAATCTGCCCAAGCTGCTATGACAAAGTACCATAGACTGGGTTGCTTATTAAGAACAGAAATTTATTTCTTACAATTCAGGAAGCTAACAAGTCCGAGATCAAGGTTCTGGCAGATTTGGTGTCTGGCGTGGGCTCACTTCCTGGCTCATTGATGACGACACCTTTTTGTTGTGTTCTCACATGGTGAGAGTGGTGAGGGGTCTCTTTCTAGCCTTTTTTATAACGACACTAATCCGATTCATCAAAGCTTTGCCCTCATAACTTAATCACCTCGCAAGGCTCCACCCTCAAAAACCATCATCTTAGAGTTTAGGATGTCGATATATGACTTTTGGAGAGACATTAACATTCATTCCATTGCTTTGTCCTTTCACACACTTGGAATGCCTCTATTTTCTCTTTGATTCTTCACTATTTCTGCATATTCAATTTTTGTAATGATTAAAAACTCATCTGAATTGCAGGAATTCATTGGAATAGTTCAAGAAGATTTATTGGATAGATAGATCAGAATTTATGGAAACAAATGCAGGAAAAACAGATGAGCCCTGTCTGCAGGGGATACCTCTGACTGCTACTCTCTGCCCCTCTCTTGTTGGGACTGTGTAGTCTCCTTATTCATGCTTCTTTCTGCAAATCTCCTATGGTGGTCTCTTCAATCTCTTACTTGGGGTTTCTCTAATCCCCACTAACTTCATTTCCCATGTGGCCTTGGCCTATATTGGTGCTCATTCAGACAGCTTGATAGACCACAGTCAACTGACTCCACATTGGTGCCTTAAATTCCACATAGCAGAACAACAAGTCAGACTGCCTTCATTTGAGTTAAGTGACCAAAATGAGTTAAGTGAGTTAAGTTTGGACCACTCTTGGTCCAAACAGCTATTGTTGAGATGAACATAGAGATCATATGATACATGATGCGATTTATGTCTATTCAGTGTTCTGCTAATTCAGAAACTTGGTAAAAATACATTATTACCAATTGACAGATCTCATACAGAGATGTTTGATAATGTCCACATAGTCAAAACCAACGATGGTCTGCTTGAACCTTCTCTGCCTCCTGTCTAGTTCTTCTCATCTACCTCACTCATTTTCTGGACATATCCATTGCCAAGGAGATGTCTCTGCCCAAGAAATGGTCTGAAAATGTGTTCAGAACCTACAAGCCTTCTCTTTAAAGGACAGGATGTGGGGGAAATGCATTCAGTGGCTGGAAATCACCCTCACTTGAAATGCTTTGGCCTGTGAAAGAAGGAGACTATTACAATCTACTGAAATGTCAATAATTAAAAGCCAAAAAAGTTATTGGAAAGGCTCGCCATGATTCATGCCAACTCCCATTCTCCCCAGCATGTAGCCTCACAAGATATATAATTTTCCATTTGTGTATAGTGGAGAGTTCCAGGTCACATAGGAATATTGAAAATGGGTGTAGGACCCAGGGTCTTCAGGCTATTTCTGTCTCAAGTTATTTTGATTTTCCCTTTTGATGCTGTCAGAAACTCTGGACATGATCATTTGTGCTGGAAAAAGCACAACTTCTGCCCTTTGTTTCGATCGCTTTTGCCATGTGTGATTGGTGAATTTGATTGCTGGCCACAGAAAATTGCATTTGTGTCGGGAGCATTCTGAACAGATCAATGTAGGAGGAAACCAGGCAGGATCAATTGTAATACCAAAGGACCAGTATAAAAAGTCATGCAACTCACATGTCATCCTATAGCTCTCAATGTCTAAACATCACATGGATTTTTGGCCACAATTCATTAATTAAACCTCACAATATGCAGTGAGGTCAAGTAATGTTTGATGCTAGACATCTAGAAGAGTGGGAAATAACACCATGTCAATCCAACTGTCTTTATGCAGAGAATCTGCAAAAAGTGAGACAACATGTAATAATACAAATAATTATTATAGTCACTCCATATATTTTCCAGGGGCTGGCTATGTCCTCTATACACATTTCTAATTTTAACTTCAAGAGAAGTTAAATCTATCATTTCTATTTTATGACTAATAAATCAAACCCAGAAGGGTTAAATAATCTGTGATTGTCCATGAGTGTGCAGCGAAGTGGGGTCTCCGGAATTCTGTTCTGACTGGCTCTGAACGTCATGCTTTTAACCGTCTCTATTTATTGTCTTTGTGTTTTTAAACCACAGTGCTATATACCATTAGGAATAAGCATTATCATTGCTGCCACTATTCTTGTTAGTTTACTAATACTGCCAGATGTGTAGTAAACTAAGTATTTCCTCTTCTCCACAAAGGGATGCTAGGGTTCTAGGGAGGCAGTTATTCATGTGATTACATCTGTAATATTTGTATGCATCCAGCTTGATCAAGCAGTTTCCCTGTCTATTATGAAAACCAGCTTGTGGAGGAAGTAGGGCAAGTATCATTCATTCCATGTTCCAAGTGAAGAGAGTGAGGCTCACAGATTGTGACTTGTGCCCAGGAATGGAGAGTGGAGCTAGGACGAGAAGTCAGGCCTCCCAGCTGCAGAGATACTGTTGCTTCCACTCTCTTGTTCTTCTGTAACAGGTAGCAGTTGTTTTTGAAGATATCACAGCCTAAATGGAATTAACTTTCTTCTTAAAAGTTGGACTGTCTCCAGCCTCCCACTTTCTTAAAAATGTGAAAAACAAACAAAAACCAGTTCAGAACACTTTAGCCAAAGAGTGTGTCCTAAATGAGTGTGTCCTACTCTCTTTAGGCTTGGACCATGTCTTATACACCTGTTTGGTCCTATCTGGTCCCTGATAGGCTGCCTTCAACGGAGGGAAGCAGTGGAAAAAGAGCTTAACTGACTGCTAGAAGACAAAATTTATGTCTTAATGATACTTAATGATTTAGTTTCAACACTGTTTATTAGCAAAAAATGTTTAGTGATGGCATCCTACATTCTAGGCCCTCACTGGGCACTGAGTAGCTGGGCAAACTTATACAGGACACTTAAGTTTTCTGGGCCTCAATTCTGTCATCTGCAAAATAGACTTATGAATGCCTTTTTCCCTACTGCAAAGAGTTATTGTAAGAATAAAATTAAATCATGGAAGTGAACTGCTTCTATAAACTAATGACCCCTGTACTTATGTGATGCATTATTTTAGGCTCTAAAAAAATCGTAAATGTATCAGCAAGTTAAGAATGTACCTTGCTACATGCCCCAGGGTAACAGAATCGATGCTAGTGCAGTGACTTCATGGACTCAGTATGCTGGGTGAGGAGCGGACTATGATGGGCATTGCTGTGTCGCCTCTTTCTCCCTCTTATGGAGGGGGCTGCCTTCAGCAGGGTGGAGCTGCTGCTCTTTGTGCAGCCATTCTCTTGGAACTGCTTTCTCTGAGTGGTGTGATTTTTGTAGCATTTTCTTCCTTTCCTTTCTCTTTCTGGCAATGGCTCTTTGAAATATTATTTTTGCTTCCTCGACGGCTGGGCTGTATAATTGATGGCCTCTCGGGGTTGCTGGAGTCGTGCATTTAAACCACGATCGCCTTGGATTCAACGCCTCAGAGTTCATTACTTTTTGAAATGCTTCACGTCTGTTTGTGTTCAGATTATTGTTGCTCTGGAGAGAGAGGTTATTGTCAGGCAGGAAGAGGAGTGTGGAGCAGAATTCATCATAATCACATGCTCTTCTCTTCTGGACGAATATTTCTGGGTAACAAGACTTCATATTTATCTGGCATGGCTGTTCTGAACCAGGGAACCCAGGACCTTCACTTTCCCCCTGCAGCCTGCTGGAGGGAGTTTAGCAGCATTCGGTCTTGGAATGTGGGAGGCTGCTGCTTTGCAAATAAAGTGGGTAATAAAAGTGCCCAGCGCTCATACTAGAGAATGATTTAGTGCAGAATGTGTACATGTAGGATTTTTAATTAAAGGTTTGGGGTGCACTTGGTTCTCAGCAATGGTGTTGGTGGAGGGAGCATGCTCTCTCCACTTGAGCTATGATCTTCTCTCAGTTCTGCAGTGGTCGTCCCATCCTTCCCAGCTCTTGTCTCTCTGTCACCTCATGGTCCACCCACACCATTATCACTCATGTATGTCCACACCCTGGCTCCTGCTCTCCACGCTGCACCAGCTCCATAAGCATTAGCACCCCAAATTTGGTAAACCCAAACAAGTTTGTGTAAATTTGGAATATACTAGAACCTAGTCTATATGGCAAATGAAGAATAACTCCTCTAGGTTTCCAGAAATGGAGATTCAGAGTTGTTGGGGAGGCTATAACTGAGAACTTTTAATTCAGATTCTGCCATTCTGTGCATTTTTATTCTCAGACTAAAAAAATCCTACCCACCCCCCTTTTTTTTTTCAGACAGAGTCTCGCTCAGTCGCCCAGGCTGGAGTGCAGTGGTGCAGTCTCGGCTCACTGCAAGCTCCACCTCCTGGGTTCACTTCATTCTCCTGCCTCAGCCTCCCGAGTAGCTGGGACTACAGGTGCCCGCCACCATGCCTGGGTATTAAATCCCACCTCATTCTTTAAGACTGAAATTATCCAACTTCTTGAGCAGCCACCCTTAGAAGTTCCCTACCCCCACCTCATTCTATCTCAGGAAAATTCTCGGGTTCCCCATTGAACTTCCAGAGCTCCTTATTTGTATCATGGCTGCAACATTCTTTACATTTTTTTTGTAATTCTCCATCTTATGTCTGTTCTCTTTTCTCTCACTGTATCTCTTGAAGACAGGAGCTAGATTTTTTGTTTGTTTGTTTTATTTCTGAATGACCACCATCTAGTGTGGTTCCAATATATGCTTGACACTAAAGAAAGGTTCATTGAATTAATCCATGAAAGAATTCTGTTTGATCAAGTCACATTTCGATTTTCCTGTTAGTTAAGTGTAACTGTATGTGGAAGAGAAGCAGTGTTGTGTGCGAGGGACACGCTGATTCATCTGTCCTTTGGAAATACACACAGCTCCTCATTCCAGAGGGACAGGTAGTCAGATACAGTTTGTTGGGTGGGGCTACTTATACAAGACCAGGTGGTAAAAAGTAGGCATTTCTAAAAGATGGGTTTGGTCAAGTTTGGTCAATTATGGATATAGAAGCAACTTTCCAGGAAAAAAAAAAAGAAAAAAAAAACCTGTTTGAGAAAGGTTTTTCATCTCAATAGCAGATGAAGTACTTATAAGTTGAAGGCAGTTTCTTTTCTTTTTGCAACATAGCAATTAGAAGATATTGTCACATCTTGTCATTTGAAAATTCTAAATTAGGTTATGCATGTAACAAAAATATATGCTGGTGTTTAACAAAAAATAAATATTTGAGGGACTATTTTCTGTACATTTCTCAATAGGACACCAAGTATAGATATCCTCTCAGATTATGCTTGACATGTGTTATTATATTCATATATTTCTTAGTATTCTGGGGGTGAGGAAGGATTTTAGCCTCTGTGAATCCTAGTTGAGTATACATGCCTAAAGTTTTTTTTTTTTTTTTTTTTTTTTAGACAGAGTCTCACTCTTGTCACCCAGTCTGGAGTGCAGTGGCACAATCTCGGCTCACTGCAACCTCTGCCTCCTCAGTTCAAGTGATTATCTTGCCTCAGCCTCCCAAGTAGCCGGGATTACAGGGGCCCACCACCACATCTGGCTAATTTTTGTATTTTTAATAGAGATGGGGTTTCACCATGTTGGCCAGGCTGGTCTCGAACTCCTAACCTCAGGTGATCCACCTGCCTTGGCCTCCCAAAGTGCCAAAGTGCTGGGGTTACAGGTGTGAGCCGTGCCGCCTGACATGCCTAAAGTTTTTATTGTTACTTTGTTACTCAAACTTCTCCTTGACACATTACAGGAGAATGCTGGATTGCATGGATTATAACAGTCTAAAGCTCAGCAAAGTGAAGGTGATTATCAGCATTTTAAATGCTGTGACATTTTGCTGCCAAAAAGTAATTGATTTATTAAAGACATTACAATACATGCATGATTCAACATAAGAAGTTCCTTTGAATTTGTTCAGTACCAAATCCTGTGGGAGACTATTTGCTTTCAGCACCACGGACAGAAACTCTTTTTCATTCAGATTCAGTTGGCCTTACACAAGTAAATATTATAGCTCAGCAGTGGCACTCCAATCCACTGGCCACAGTATGATCCAATAGCTTTAACATTCCAACTGATGGGTACTGGAATGTTAATACATTGTTTTCCACTTATTTTGCCACAAAGTGGAATAGGGGACACAAGTGGATGACTTTATAATGCATTATTATTACCTTCACTTTGCTAAAAATGAAGGTACTAATCCATAACAAATCAGATGAAATACATAACATTTTAGAAGATGACTGATTTTTTCCTAACAAGCAACTTCTTGGCAATGCTAGATTTCAAAACACTAAATAAGAAGCCATAACTGAGTTCAGTGATTCCACACCTGATCACTGAACCAAAGAGACTAATGAAATGCCTAAAGCTAATAAAAAATCTTGTTGTTGAAGGCAATGAAGCCCCAATGGGGCATGGGGTAAAATACTGAAGGATCAGGATCTTCATCTGTCGTATGACTATGACTAATGCACTCATCCTGACTGGGTAAACCTCTAGTTAATTCCCAATTGCTTCAGGCAATGGATCAAAACTTTTAAAATACAGGGACACAGTCTTAATCCAGAGTACTGTTTGCTTCCTTATTCACTGTTGATTATAAATGTTCCAACGCAATTTTATTTCTCCTCACTCACATGACAAAAGAAATGGAAAATTTTGATGGAGTAATTCAGGAGTTTTGCTGAATCGCTCACATGAAATTGGATTATAAAATATATAGCCACATTGATGCCCAAATTAAAAATATTTATAGAACACAAGCTGATAGACGTCTTAGATAACGTGAAGTCCAACCTGTCTCCTTACAGATAGGGAGGCTGGCTCCGCAGGATCTCATCTCTTGCCTTAGGTCACAGAGATAAACACATGGTTGGGAGGGGCTTATTGCTTGATGAAACAACAAAGAAGAGAAGGAAAGATAAACTTTAATAATATGTAAGTTATTTTGTTTCCATTTTTATTCAGAAAAGCTACAAGGCTTCCTTTTTACTCAACAAAATGCCATATAAGTAAACATAATTCCCACTTTGCCTTTCTGTCAGGAGGCTTAAAAAGAAATTTCCAGCCTAACCTAAAAATTTATATTGACATTTATGGTTTCCATAAGAGGTATTCTCTTTTTCCTTGGATTTTATTTTATGTGTTTACCCTTTTGTTTTGTGTTTTCATTATAAGATTCCTCAAATTTATTGGGGAAATGGTGAAATATAAATAATTATGAAAAGTTTGATAGACAGCCTTTTCAAATGTAAAGTAATCATATATAAAATATGACCTGGACAATTGACGCCTTGTGTATTTTTTGGGATCAACTTGGCTGTGAATCATTTGCTCGTCTTAAAAATTGGGGATGGGGGAAGAATGTTCATCATTTATCTCCCAAGAATGCATGATGAAGGTAATTAAAAATGAAGTGAAAAAGAATAAGAATTTTATTAGTGTAGATATAGGTTATGTAAGAGAGGAAGTATTTTTATTCAGAACAAAAATGTTTGTAAAATATTAAATGAAAATGTAGGTTAATAGAATTTAGCATTTAACTTGTCAATTGTATTAATGAATTCAAAGCAAAGAAAAACTTGGGCGTTTCAGTTATTCA
Source organism: Homo sapiens (assembly GCF_000001405.40). Classification (NCBI taxonomy): domain Eukaryota; kingdom Metazoa; phylum Chordata; class Mammalia; order Primates; family Hominidae; genus Homo; species Homo sapiens. The sequence continues at coordinate 132,178,950 of NC_000011.10, forward strand.
GTTCAAACAATTACATTAATTAAGTAAGCGGGATTTACTTTTTTATTCCTGGTCTTATTTATTTTTCCGTTCATTTATTGAGTACCTGCTATGGTTTCAGGCACTCTATACTGTCTGGGTATTCAGAGATAAAAGAGAATTGCTCTTCTCAAAGAGTTTTCAGGAAACTCCACCCTCTGCTAAAATATAACACAATGAACTGCTGCAAGATGCTGGGGAAACAAAAAAGAGGATCAAAACCAAACCGGATCAAGGTGGAGTGGAGCTTGAGGAAGGCTCCTAGGAATGAGTCTAGATTTAAAGGGCTAAGATAAATTTGTTATGTAAAGATTGAGAGTCTGCCAATCCAAAGTACCCTAATGGATGCACAAGAGAAAATCCTAGGGAGAGAGGGGCAGGACACAGATCTTAATCTAGTTTACAGTGAATAATGGTTGAAAGATGGAAGTGGGTAGGCAAAGGCTCTGGTGTACGTGTGTGTGGAGAGAGAGACAGAGACAGAGAGAAAGTTTGGGTGCATTATGGTAAAAGATAAGATAGGAGAGCTATAAAATGGGGCAGTCCGGAAGGGCCTTGCCTTACACCTCCAGTTAAGGAGTTTACATCCTGTGAAATGAAAGAGAGTACTTCAAAATGTTATAAGCAGATGAGATTTGCATTTCCACAAAGATCCTTCCAAGTCATTTTGGAAGACGGTTTGAAGAGGGACGAAGCTGACCCACTCTATTATAGTAATTCAGGGGAACAGTGTGGATGGCCTAAATGTAGATAATTAGCCTTGATGATGCAGGAGATACCAAGTGGAATGTATCTTTACCAGCAGGGACTCATGGGGCTTGGCGACTGGTATGGGAAGAGGAAAACTTGAAGAAGAATGAGGAATTTCCTTGACTGGGGGGTAGCATAGCATAGCAGTTTAGCATGTGGACACTGGGAGCAGACTGCCTCTTCTAAAACCTCGCTGTTTGATCCTGGTATGCTTCTTAACATCTCAGTGCCTCCATTTCGTTATTAGAAAATAGTGTAACACTAACAATAGTAATGTTATTTTTCATACATTTTCAGAAAATTATTGGAAAATCATCACCGTTTCTTAAATCTCTTTAAAGGCCTATGGGAACCCCGTTTGAAAGCTTTTGAAATATACAAAAGGGATTGATTGTCTATGGAGAGAAAGTGATTCATTCAATATGGGACTTCACATTCACTTTGTATTGTGTATTCACAGTCTAATAAATTATTACATAATTTGTGAAAAGATGAAAGAGAAAAAGAACATCTTCAGAGAGGATGAAATAATCCAATAGAGAGATGTTGGAGATGATTAGTGAAGACATTCAGAAGGTAGAGAGAAACTGACAGTCATGTTAAGTCTAACATGACTTTCAAAGAAGCTACTAAACAGTGATGGATTATTATTAAAGGCAGAGATTAGCCAAGAAGTAAAGCAAGCAACTTCAAAGGAACAAGCAAAATGGGAAAAAAAGGCACTTCAATCCTTAAAAGAAAAGGACAAATGATAGAAATTTTTATACAACTGAATGGCTTCCCATAAGCAAGTAGCTCTGGTCTTCCCTCAAGTCTAGAACTGCAAACTCACAGGTTTTCAAGTCTAGAAAAGTAAAAACAAAAAACAAAACCAACCAACCAACCGAACAAAAAAACAAAAAACCCACAAACCCTCTCAAGCTCTCAGACTTTTCTATAACTTGTGTCCTGGGCAGCTGGGTTTAAATTCCATCAATCTAAGGACCTGAGTTTCCAAACACTATAAGTCTAATATGATTACCACCAGAGTTGGTGGTTCAGCTCACCACCTCCACTCCACCCAGCCTTAGAGAATGAAGAACTAAAACCCGGTGAGGCTCTCCCATCAGATTTTCTTTCCATTGTATTCGCTACTACCAGCCCCAGGCCAACATAGGCCCCTTCCTGGAAGAAGCTTCAGGAAAAAAAAATGGGGAGAAGATAAAAGAAGAAAGAAGTGATCAATTTAGTTCATCATCATGTATGTAAAGTCAATAAATTTAGGCTATGTATTTAACTTAAGGATCTCAGAATAAGTTATACAAGTAAGACAAGTGATTGTGCTCAGGACACAAGCAATTGCCTATTGCCAAATCTCATGGCATTTTTTCAGTACTCTTTCTGTCATAATTGATGCAGTTGCTACCACTGTCCTTACTGATGATACTTTCTTTACCAACTTTTCATGAAACTACTCCCTCTTGACTTTCACCCAACTCTCACCACTCCATCTCAGTTTCTTTTCTTTATCCACCTTAATCCTTCTCATGAGTCATACCTGTTGGCTTTCCTCTGGGTTCCACATTTGAATCTTCCTTTTATGTTTTTCCTAGGTGATGCTACTCCATCATGGCATCAGCATGAAGATTATGATTTAGGCAGTCATCCTGCTGTGTTCTGCCTCATTTCTTTTCTAAATTCCCAAAGGATTACAAGTTGTCTATTGAGATTCTTAGCTTTTATGTCCTGCAGACAACTTGAGCTCAGTGTATTCCAAACTGTTTTTATTATCCTTGGTACCTAACCAGGTTTTTGGTTTCAATCAATGGGGATTGATTCAGGTTGACTTAACAGAAACAAGGAGTTGACTAAAAATATGTTGTATAACTCATGGAATTGACAGAGGTTTGATTCAAAAATGGGAAGGGGGTCAATACATAGAAAAATTACAATGCAGGAAGTCCTGCCAGGGCATTGCATCCACTACAGCTTAATAGTGGCACTGATGTTGGCACTATTGAAACACTGGCATTTGATGCCTCTTCTGTTCCTTCTGATACCTCTGAATGCTGGACATCCCAACAGGAGTGAATTCTAACTGTCTCTGTATCTTTGCATTTTTAACTATGTATGCAAATTCCTTGACCAGAGCATCCAGTAGACAGAGACCAGGTGACATTCCTATGCTGCACCTATTAGAGTACTATAAGGCAAGTCTGAAATCTTATCAGATTTCAAAATGGAGTCACACTATCTAGTTTATTATTATTATTATTATTATTATTATTATTATTATTTTAATCTAGGAAGGGTGTTCCGATTCTGGGTAGTAGCTTAAAGGAATGGCAAAAACCCACTCCATATTTCATGAGGAAACCTTATCTTCAACCGTTATTTCCCATGTTAACTAATGCCACCAACATATATCAGTCAAGCTAGAAACCTCCATCATTTGCTAGTTTTTCTTTCACTTCTTTTTAACACACCTGTTTTGTTAGTAGTGTTTATTTAAGTTCCTAACCTTACAATTCTATCTACCAAATATTCCTTTCCCTTGTTTTCTATTCTGCTCTTTCCACTCTTATAGAAGCCCTAGGTCATGACTGGAGAGGACTTTCATATTTTTAAACAGTGATGTACTAGCTAAGGTTGCATGCTCCAGTGTCTGATCACCTGCATTTGTATCAAACTGCAGATCATGCTCACTCATTGTGCAACCCTGGGCATATTATTTAATCTCTCTACGTGTCATGTATAAAATCAGGGGAATAATAATAATACCTGCCACACAGGGTCTCTGCAAGAACAAATTGAGGCTGTAGGTGTAAAGCATTGTGTATGCCCACAAGCAATGTGCACACAATGATGGTAAGGTGACACTAAAACTGGAAAGTAATAATGAGGGGTGAGGTGGTGAAAACAGTAATGATGGCAGTAGTAATCTGGTAGCTATCTCTAATACGTACTCTCTTGAGGATGCAGTCTGCATTGCTGCCAGCATTATCTTTCCAAGCAAATCTGCTTCGAATCCTTGGATGGTCCTCATTTCCTATGGAATAAAATCCAAAGTCTTTAACAAAGCATATAAACTTCTCTAAAATGGGGCCCCAAGTTATCCTTTTACCATCAAATTCTACCACTGACCTTATAGTACAGGAACACAGACCACCTCATTTTCCAACATTTTAAAGATTTTACTTACAGGTTTCACATATGCTTTCTGCTTCCTAGAACACTCTCCTTTGCTGCCTTGGAATTCACATTTTCTGTAAGGCCCAAACACATGGTGCCTTTCTTTGCATTTTCCTCCCTGATACCCTCCCTGTGTTCCTGTCACACTCTATATTTGCATCTCACACGGTGCTGTACAGTCCTCATTGCATATATTGTCAACTTCTACACCTGCTGGCACACCCTTGAACTTAATGTTCCTATCTTACCCACTCCCATCTCTGTTACATAAGACCAGCACATAGTAGTTGCTCAGGGAATGGTTATTCTATGACTGTAATAATCAACACATTTGTAATGACTCTTCAAGGACCCAGAAACCTGGAGAGGCATGCCCACCAACTTGTCCCAGATTAGTTAACCATACCCCACTGGCCACATTTGGCAGTGACCAAACAGGCTCAGCATTTGAGGGCCTGGACTCTTGATCTCTGCTTTCATCGTTTCCACTTTGTGCTTGGCACCAGGCACCATGGAGAAACTTTAGCATGATACCGGGAAGACACAGTCGGTCATTTTTTTCTGAAGGAATTTTCATGCCACCATAAACTCTAAATTAGCAGGCATCATAGTTATGAGACTCTGGAGCCAAATTTGCAATCACCATTAAGACAAAGAGGCAAAGGACTGTGCATGTCCCAGCAAGGTATTCTAAAACAGAAATCGCTACTCCCTTTGACAACACAAGTGTCATCTGAAAAATCTCCATGTTCTTTGAAAGCACCAGACAAGTATATCTTCTCTAGGTCTACCTGGTCATAGAAACTTTAGACTCACCAACTCCAAAAAGTAAAGTGTGGAACTTGGTGTAAAGTGCTTCCATTCCTGTTTCTGGAACTTAATATTCAATACAAATTTAGGCCATCACTAGATTTTTCAAATGACACCTGTGTTGTTAAAGGCAGTAGCGATTTCTGTTTTAGAATACCTTGCTGGGACATGCACAGTCCTTTGGCTCTTTGTCTTAATGGTGATTGCAAATTTGGCTCCAGAGTCTCATAACTATGATGCCTGCTAATCTAGAGTTTCTGGTGGCATGAAAAAATCCTTCAGAAAAAAGGACCGACCGTGTCTTCCCAGTATAGTGTTAAAGCTTCTCTATGGTGCCTGGTGCCAAGCACAAACTGGAAACGATGAAAGTGGAGCTGAAGATTTTGTATTTCAAACATTTTACTACCGTTTTTGAGAGCCTCTTTTGAAAGCAGTGAGTTTACGGGGGTGTCCGTAGATCTTCCTGTTCCATATGCTGTGTTTACCCACAGAAGAGGGAACTTTCCCTGACACTTCTGCCTCCTCACCAAGGCAGAGAAAAGAGGTCCTCTCTTTGCTCCTTTGCTCTGTTCTCCCGGGCTGAGGCTGGGGATCCAGTTGATCCAGACAGTTACTGGCTGCCTCCCAAGCAAGTTCCTCTCTCAGCTCATCCTCTTTGTGCTTCCTTGGCACAGCTGTGGGGGGCAGTGCACTGCCCCAGTTCCTACATCTCACACCCATGTGAGTGCTGCTGTTTCTTTTAAGACTTTTCTACTGACTACTGTATAAATGGATCAGATTGGCTTAAGGTGGAGAGCTGCTTCTTTTTTCTTGAGGCAGGACACAGGAAATTCTTTCCTGCAGACCCCCACACTCCAGTCGTCCGGTCCTGGTAGTTAAAGGTGGTGAAACCCTCTCATTCACCTGAAGCCTGGCTCTTCCCTCAATGGTTCAGACCTGGAAGGAAAGACCAGAGAAAGACTAGGATTTGGGCCACAAAGCTTCAAAACTGCATTTTTTCTTTTAAATGTAAATTTAGATTATTTGTAATTACACAAGATGAATTTGATGAACAATGAGCTACACAAATTTTTTGGGAAAAATAATATTCATTTCTAGGCAGTTGACCTTCAGTCAGATCCACACAGCGTCATGAACGTACCATGTCATTGTGAACCTATGCTACGGCTTCATGGCGTCAGAGGTGCCAATTCAGAAACGGTGTGGCTGGGCCTTCTGCTTTCAGCTTACCTTTTTTTGTTGTTCTAATTTTTCTTGATTTGGATTAATACTGTACTCTGCCACAGCACGCTGGATTATTTTGCTGCGATTGTTTATAAGGAGTGGCATCCTTATGAGGGTATTTGATCTGTTATTATCCCACTTTCTCTTGAAATTGTCGTATCTAGGCTCAGTGCTATAGAAATAGAACTTTAAAAGTGAAAAACAAAACAAAAAATCTCACTGCTGGAAGACATTTCACACTGAAACATCTCTTTCTGTGTCTTGCTTTCTATCACTGTCACTCTCACTCCCCCCATATGTGTGCACATGTACATACATGTGAATGTGTATGTCTGTGTGTGTACACACAAGCGAATATCCAAACAGACATTTATGCACACATTTTCTTGAGATATCAAGGCTTTTATGTTCCCCATAATGTGTGCCTCTTCTCTCACTTTTCTTTCTTAAGGGAGGAAATTTTCTTCCATCAGAATATCACTCTGAGATAAGCCCTGCATTTATAATGCACACAAAGACTTTTTCCAGTACTTGTCTAATGAGAAGCGATGCCCAAAATTAGAGCTTGATGCCTTCCAATTATCCTATTGCACATGATTTTGTTATACCACAAATAGTTATTTTCTTCCTTCCCCAACAGCTACATAAATGGGTCGTGGTAATCCACTCCAAAACAAATGGCTCAGTATTGCTAACTTTGCTGCATATAACGCAAATCTCTCCATTAATAAAGAAAAAGAGTGTCTGGTCATTTCATAATAATTTTAATATAATTATTTTTAAAAGATATGTTGGTTTAAAAGATATGGAGGAGGGTTGGAAGTTAGTTCTCAAGAGCATAGCTTTCATGAAAACTGGGAGAGAGCCCAGGATGGAGTAGGAAGGGGGCTGCAGGGCTGGGTGGCATCCATTACTTTCACTTTATTTTTGGGCTCGGATTCTTTAACGTTGACCCTGCTTTGTGCTCAGGCAAATAATGGGTCAAGGCACTTCAAAGCAGACAGCTGCTCTGGACTTGATTCATCCTAATCAGAAATAACTGCCGCCCTTGCCTATTCATCGCTTTCCCACCCTAGAAATGGGGGATTACGGGAAGAATGAAGTCAAATCTAAAGAGTTCTGCCTTAGATAGTTAAGAGGATGATTGAAATCAATAAATCCCAGGCTTTCGGGAAGCCCACTTGATTCCAAGTTTGCTAAAGACGGAAAGAAAGAACTCCAACAGGAGCCTCTGGTGACCAGAACTCCACCACTGAGCCACTGCGGTGGCTCTCTCATCACTGGGACTTCCCAGCAGGAGCCTAAGTATTACTCGATTCCACCTCATTATGGTACTCTCCCCATGAGGAGTGTAAGTCACAATGACAGGACAACAAAATGGTTGGGAGACACAGCCACCAAGGGAAGCAGGCAGTGGATGGCCAGCCCCTATGAATACACTAGCTTGCCTCTTTCCAGCAGCCCAAATCTCCTTGGAGGGAATCCCAGCCAGTCTTGGATCTCTAACGCAGCCTTCTCTTTTTAGTTTGACTGGTATCCCAGCTCCCCGAGGAACCTGCAGGCCACTTGAAATTCATGATGACAGCAGCAGATAAAGACTCCATCTTATCATCCACGTGGCCACTGCTTTAGACAGCCTGCTTTTTAAATTTTTATTTTTTAATGTTTTGTTTTGTTTTGAAATGTTCGGGCTTTCAGGTCATGGCATTGCAGCCATTCCTCCTATTTTTTTTCTTTAACGATATGTAAATACTTTCATGGAGGTTGTCTTATTTGGTTCTCAGAAGGACACTATAAGACAAGGCAGTTATAATAATTTCAGTTTTATAAATGGAGCAAATGAACCCTAAGACATCAAACCACTGGCCCTCAAATGCACCAGGGATAGGACTCTTGCAGGTTTGCCCTTCTTCCAGTTCTCATCCCATTACCGCTTCCGAGCCCCCTGTGGGGATCCGGATGATTTCCTCAAACGCTAGGTGGCGCCCTGTGGAGTGCCCCCATGCTCACACTTTCAGAGGGGGTTTGTGGCAGCCATAGCTCTATGAATATGTCCATTCCCTTGACTCCGTGTCTAGGAGAACATTGTCTACATCTGAGTGCCAGGATCCACATCTGTTCAATTGAATAGACTCCACTGAATACATCAGAGAAGCAGGGCCAGACTGGCTACCCATGCCCTTTCTAATCTCACTGTTCAATTCCTTGGGGAAATATGCTACTTTGAGGATGTCTTCAGTGCCTTGCTTCTCTTTTCTTCATTTTCACTGGAAAGGAGGTTGCTCAGATGGCGTGTGTGTGTGTGTGTGTGTGTGTGTGTGTGTGCGTGTGCGTGTTTTAAGGATTGAATGCCCTGAAAAAACAAGATGAGACCTAGAAGTATGTTCAGCAACACCATATCTGGCTTCTCTATACTCCCCTTCATATTTTTCTTAGCTGTTCTGTTTTAGTTAGCACCAATATAGTGCTCCCCACCCACGTATCCCTTTAGGGTGAAACGCCTGCTCAGTGTGCTTGGGAAAGGCAGTATATTTTAGGCAGCCTGATAAAAGGCTCTAATAGCCCCAGATTAATGCATTCATTCCTAGCCAACTGAAGGATTCATTACAGTGCTCAGGCTGAGGCTCCTCTGACAAATTTGCCCTGGGTAATGAGCCATTCAGCAGCTAACTACCCTGTGCTGCTGGTGACCTCCAGAAGGGGCAGTGAGATGGAGCTGAGCAGACACAGGTGGAGTACAAAAGAAGGGAGAGATTTGAGGCATCTCTGGGCTTTGGGGAGCAGTTGTAAGAGCAAGAAGGTGCTTCTGAGACCACATCTGCCTCTGGAGCTATGACAGGAGCGTGATAGGGTATGTGGCGCCTCTGTACTTTCTGAGCCTAACAAGTGAGGTTCAGAGCAAGGCAATGTAAATCTCTGCTTTGAAAGTGAACATGGATTGGGTAACTAAAAAGAGAGTGATACGTAGGAGAAACTTCCAAAGAATTGCAATCTGTCCCTCTGACTAACATGTCTACGTGGAGACTTCCAAAATGGAAAATGAGACATAGCATAACAGAAAGCAAGAAAGCCTCCTAAAGATAAGCTAGCCCAGCAGCTCTGCAGAGTATGACTTTACCCTCCAGGGAACATTTGGCAATGACTTGAGACATCCTAGTTTGTCACAACTCTGTGCGTGCGTGTGTGTGTGTGTTTGTGTGTCAGGGAAGAAATTAGCATGAAGATGCTACTGGCATCTAGTGGGTATAGACCAGAGATTCTGCAAAACATCCTGCAATGCACAGGACAGCCCCACACAACAAAGAGTCATCCAGCCCCAAATGTCAGTAGTGCTGAGGTTGAGGAACCCGGACTAACCCAAACGCCTCCTTTTATAGGAGACAAAGCTGAAGACTTGAGAAAAGTGCCTGGCTGAGGGGCCAGAAACCTGTGTCTTGTCTCCCTCCAGGCCATGCAAGGCTTGCTTTTGAATGCTGTCCTGGACAGTACTTTCAGAAATGAAGAGGTTCCTTCTCCTCCCAGACTCCAGGGCACCCTTCCCAGCTCACATCTTCAGAAAGGAAAATTCCACTGCCTGCCTTAATGAACTTACGCCGGTCTCTAAACACTTTAGTCTAGGAATATCTCTTCTGGGGGTTAGCTTATTATCTTTATTATGCATTTTAGAGGTGGATGTTACTGCAGATAAAAATAGGAATTCCCAGAGGAACCAGCACCAGCATCATGATATGCTGTATGTGCAATGTTGTTGCAAACAGTTCCCCATGAGGGTGAGATGGAGACCCCTGCATATACACATAACTGTATCTCACAATTATTAAATATTGATTCATCTCAGCAGGGGCCTGTGTCTGATTTAAAATAAAGGCAAGTGCATTAACTGATGCTAATCTAATCTAGACCTATAGCACTGCACCCTGGGCTGTCTCCACTGACCCTGGTTCTCTGATTGACAGTGTGCATGGGAGCCATTTCCTCTGCCAACCATTTTGACTCTAGAAATGCGCACACATGAGTTTATATCTGGAGTTATAGGATATGTGGGATGTGAGCATAAGAGCTTAATAAGAAAGAAAGGAGGCCTACATGATGATGAATAGCAATTACAGGGAATTAGATTAGTATCAGCATCTGGAGTAATTGTAAACATTTTCTGGTGCTGATGTTTGATAGTGTTGGGAAGGGGGGCAGGTGGTGGATGATAGAAAGGAAGAGAGGCCAAAGATAAGAACAAATATGCAAGTCTATAGTGTGTGCTTAATGGAACTGAGATTTGTTTCTCTGTGTGTCTTTTTAAGCCTCTAGATAGATCATGAAAAATACAGCCAGCTGGGAAAGAAATAGCCCAAATGTAATTTAAAGGACAGCTTTTTAACCAATACTTCAACTTGGAGACACCTGTCCTATGTTCCTTAAAGATGCTCAGCTCAGGGGAGGAGTATTAAAGTTGCTGATTTATCTTCAGGAGCACAGACCTATTTTTAATTTATTGCCCAGTGACAGGTTTCTTGTTTAGCTTTTCTGTGTTACTCAACACAACCTTCTCAGTAAAGAAGAGCTGCCTGCAGGACATTGTTTTATTTCATGTTCCAGAGCCTTAGAAGAAGGAACCGAACTTGGACTTCTCCAAAGCATGTTGACACTCTCTCTAGCTTCATGGCAAGCAGCAAATTGTGCACCAGGAAATATAGTTGCCTTGCCCACTGATTCACGGCAGATACACACACACACACACACACACACACAGACACACACGATACTTGAGTGCCTTTTGGAGTGTGTGTGACAGCAATGGTTTAATCACTCCTGTGTCAATAGTTATGTCATAGAAACCTTTGCCAGAAATATGTCTTTTAGTACTGTAGAGCCACAAGAAAGAAAATGTGTGTGATTCGGTTTATGCATACAAATGAACAATCGTTTGTGGTGCTCCTACTATTCGCAAGAAACACTGTTCCATGCTGGGGGCCATAAAGGCGAAGCACACAAAAGAGATAAAAACATTATAGGTCCTGCCTTCTAGAATCTCATATTCTTGTGGGAATGATAGGTACATATACGAATAGTTGCTAAGACAAACTGTGATATACTCGATCAGAGTGGTTTGAACAAAGGGCAAAGAAGGAATAAATTAATTCTGGCCAGGGGAGTTCCTCTGTTCAACAAAATGATTTGAGCCCTTGTTGTGTGCTGGGAATTGTTGGTGGAAGGGACAGAGTGTGCACAATACAAGGTTTGGTTCTCATAGCTGTTACATTCCAATGAGAAGAGAGAGACATCAGACACTAAACAAATGAGAATTTCAGAGAGTGTCATGAGCCATACTAATAACCAAAGCATGGTAATGAGATAGGCCAGGAAGCTATGTGAGGTAGCATAGCAAGGAAGGGCACTGAGAAGGGGAAATTTGAAATGAGAACTAAATGATAAACAACTAAATATGTGACACTCTGGATAAAGAGCATTTCAGGAGAGGAAAGAAACTATAAAGGCCTGAAGGTTCTTAACCTTAGCATCTTTAAGAGATAGAAAGGGCCGGGTGTGGTGGCTCACACCTGTAATCCCAGCACTTTGGGAGGCCGAGGCAGGTGGATTGTGAGGTCAGGAGTTCAAGACCAGCCTGGCCAAGATGATGAAACCCCGTCTCTACTAAAACCTACAAAAATTAGCTGGCCGCGGTGGCAGGCTCCTATAATCCCAGCTACTCAGGAGGCTGAGGCAGGAGAATCACTTGAACCCAGGTGGCCCAGGTTGCATTTAGCCAAGATCATGCCACTTTACTCCAGCCTGGGTGACAGAGTGAGAATCCATCTTAAAAAAAAAAAAAAAAAAGAGACAGATAGCAGATCAGGGAACTGAGTGAATTCTGGGCAAAATAGTCCAAGGTAAAGTCAGAGACTTCCTTCAGGGGTTAGCTCTGTAGCATCTTAGAGACACAGGGACACAGGTATGGATTGTGAATTTAATTCTAAGTTCAGTCAAATGCCATTGGAGGTTTATAAGCAGGGGATGATATTATTTGTTTTTTTTTGTCATTTTGCTTTGTTTTAATTACTCTAGTCATGATGTACAGAGTGGAATGTCCGTGCAAACAGTAAAAACAGGAAGACCACAGATGTAGTAAGAGTAGAATAGACTTGGATAGTATTTACCAGAGGGGAAAAAACAGGTCAGTGTCCACAAAACTAAAAAGCATTGTTGCAGCCCCCTACCCCTGCACACTGCCCCTCTGGAATGCTTATGCTTGCGGCCACCACCCAACGAAGTGCTGTTGCTGGTGGTCTGGGAGCAGCTTAGCCACCCAACCCCACCACCATGCTAGAGTGCTTTCAAACCTCAGCTCCCTCTACAAAGTGCTGGTGCCAGTGATCTGGGAGCACCTCGCTCCCACCTTCCAGTGCAGCCAGTGCTCAACCTCAAGGAGACAGAGGACAAAGCCACAGACCAAGTTCCAGCCCAACAGGGTTAGAGCACACTGCCCAGGAGTGATCAGCTGAGCCTTGGCCCTCTGAACACCTCTGGAAATGAAGCCATTTGACTATACCCAGCTTGCATCGCAGTCAAGCCCTCAAGGGCTGTAAAGAACATAAAAACAAAAAGCCCTATCCAAAGACAGTAACTTCAAAGGATAGAGGAACATCAGCCTTCACATGAGAAAGAATAAGCACAAGAATTCTGACAACTTTGAAACCCAAAGTGTCTTCTTACCTCCAAATGATCACACTAGCTACCCAGCAATGGTTCTTAAGCAGATGGAAATGGCTGAAATGTCAGAAATAAAATTTCGGATCTGAGTGGCCTGGAAGATCAACAAGATACAAAAGAATGTTGAAACCCAATCCAAGGAAAAGAGTAAAATGATACAAGAGTTGAAAGATGACATGACCATTTTAGAAAGAACCAAACTGAACTGCTGGAAATTAAAAATTTACTATAAGAATTTTATAATACAATTGGAAGCATTAACAACAGAATAGATCAAGCTGAGGAAAGAATATCAGAGCTTGAAGATCACTCCTTTGAATAAATGCAGGCAAAAAAATTTTTTTAAAGAATTTTTAAAAATGAACAAAACCTTCAATAATATGGGATTCTGTAAAGAGACCAAACCTACAACTCATTGGCATTCCTGAAAGAGGAGAGAAAACAAGCAACTTGGAAAACGTATTTGAGGATATAGTCCAAAAAATTTTCCCAGTGTGGCTAGAGAGGTCAACATGCAAATTCAAGAAATTGAGAGAACCCCTGTGAGATACTATACAAGATGACCATCTGCAAGACACATAGTCATCAGACTCTCCAAGGTCAAAGTGAAAGAAAAAATATTAAAGGAAGCTAGAGAGAAGGGGCAGATCACTTACAAATAGAACCTCATCAGGCAAACAGTGAAACTTTCAGCAGAAAACAAACAAGCCAAAAGAAATTGGGAACCTATTCTGAGCATCCTAAAAGAAAAAAATTCCAACCCAGAATTTTGTAACTTGTGAAACTAAGCTTCATAAGCAAAGGAGAAATACAATCTTTTTCAGACAAGCAAACACTAAGGGAATTTGTTACCACCAGGCCTACTTCACAAGAGTTCCTAAAGGGAGTGGCAAACATGGAAAAGAAAGAATAGTACCTGCCATGCTTAAGTATGTAGCCCACTGACACTATAAAGCAACTATGCAATCAAGTATATGTAACAATCAGCTAACAACATAATGACAGGATACAATCCTCACATATCAATATTGACATTGAATATAAATGAGATAATCCCCCCACTTAAAAGGCATAGTGTGTAAGTTGTATTAAGAAGCAAGACCCAACAGTCTGCTGCCGTTGAGAGATATATCTCATGAGTAACAACACCCATAGGCTCAAAATAAAGGGATAGAGAAAGATGTATCAGTCAAACAGAAAATGAAAAAGAGTAGGGGTCGCCATTCTTATATCAGATAAAACAGATTTTAAACCAAAGTTGGTCAAAAAGGACAAAGAGAATCATTGCTTAATTATAAAGGGCTCAATTCAACAAGAAAACTTAACTATCTTAAATATGTACAAACCCAAAATCAGAACATCCAGATTCATAAAACAACTTCTTAGAGATCTACAAAGATATTTAGATAAACATGCAATAATAGTGGGAGACTGCAACACCCCACTGACAGCATTAGACAGATCATTGAGGCAGATATCTAACAAAGATACACTGACAAACATGACACTTGACCGGTTGAATTTAATTGACATCTACAGAACACTCCACAACAACAGAATGACAACAGAATATACTTTCTTCTTATCTGTATATGGCACATACTCTAAGATCAACCACACACTAAACCATAAAGCAAGTCGCAATAAATTCAAAAAAGTCAAAATCCACCAACCATACTCTCAGACCACAGTGCAATAAAAAAAGAAATTATTAACAAGAAGATCTCTGAAAACCATAAAATTGCATGGAAGTTAAACAACCTGCTCCTGGATGACTTTGGGGAAAAGAATGACATTAAAGTAAAAATAAAAAAATAAAAACAATTTTCGAAACTAACAAAAATGGAAAAAAAAATAGATCAGAATATTTGGGACATAGTTAAACAGTGTTAAAAGGAAAGTTTATAGTGCTAAAAACTTACATCAAGAAATTAGAAAGATCTCAAATTAACAACCAAATGTCATACCTAGAAGAACTAGTAAAACAAGAGCAAACCAAACGCCAAAGATAACAGAAGAAAAGAAATAACCAAAATCAAAACTTAACTGAACAAAATTGAGATGCGAAAATCCATACAAAAGATCAACAAAACTAAAAGTTAAGATTATTAAATAAGAGAGAAGATGCAAACACCATCAGAAATGACAAAGGTGACATTACAACCAACCCCATAGAAATACAAAAACTACTCAGAGACTATTAAAAACACTTCTATGCACACAAACTAAAAAACCTAGAAGAAATGGATAAATTTCTGGAAACCTACAGCCTCCCAAGATTGAACCAGGAAGAAATTAAAATCCTGAACAGACCAATAATGAGTTCCAAAATTTAATCCATAATAAAAAGCCTACTGACCAAACAAAGACCAGGACCAGATGGATTCACAGTCAAATTTTACCAGATGTACAAAGAGCTAATACCAGTCATACTGAAATTATTCCAAAAAATAAAGGAGGAGGGACTCCTCTCTAACTCATTCTATGAAGCCAGCATTATAAAGACACAATGAAACAAACAAACAACAACAACAACAACAACAAATCTTCAGGTTATTATCCATGATGAACATAGGTACAAAAATCCTCAGCAAAATACTAGCAAACCTAATCCAGCAACACATCAAAAAGTTAATTTACCATGATGAAGTAGGCTTTATTCCTGGGATGCAAGGGTGGTTCAACATGTACAAATCAACAAATGTGTTTCACTAAATAGAATTAAAAAAAACAAAATAACATGATCGTCTCAATAAATGCTGAAAAGGCTCTCAATAAAATTCAACATTCCTTCATGTTAAAAACCCCTCAACAAATTAGGCATCAAAGGAACATGCCTCAAAATGATAAGAGACATATATGACAAACCTACAGTCAACATAATACTGAACGGACAAAAGCTGGAACCATTCCCCTTGAGAAATTCAACAAGGCAATTATTACCACTCTCACCAGACCTATGTAACATAATACTGAAAGTCCTTGCCAGAGAAGTTGGGCAAGAGAAAGAAATAAAAGGCATCCAAATAGGAAGGTAGGAAGTCAAACTATCTCTCTTCACAGATGATGTTATTCTACACCTAGAAAACCCTGTAGGCTCTGCCAAAAGCCTCCTAGAACTGATAAACGACCACAGTAGAGTTTCAGGATACAAAATCAATGTACACAAATCAGTAGCATTTCTTCCTTTTTTTTTTTTTTTTTTTTTTTTCTGAGACAGGGTCTCACTCTGTCACCCAGGCTGCAGTGCAGTGGTGTAATCTCAGCTCACTGCAACCTCCACCTCCCAGTTTCAAGTGATTCTTGTACCTCAACCTCTTGAGTAGCTGGGATTACAGGCCTGTGCCACCACGCCTGGCTAGTTTTTGTTCTTTTAGTAGAGATGGGGTTTCACCATGTTGGCCAGGTTGGTCTCGAACTCCTAACCTCAAGTGATCTGTCTGCCTCGGCCTCCTAAAGTACTGGGATTACAAGTGTGAGCCACTGCACCTGACTGAAATCAATAGCATTTCTCTACACCAATAACTTCCAAGCTGAGAGGCAAATCAAAAACACAATCTCAATTACGATAGCCACAAAAAGAGTAAGATACCTAGGAATACGTCTAACCAAGAAGGTAAAAAATCTATACAATGAGAATTACAAAACACTGCTGAAAGAAATCAGAAAAGTCAAAAACAAATCGAAAAACATTTCATGCTCATGGATAAGAAGAATCAATATTGTTAAAATGGCCATACTTCCCAAACCAATTTACAGATTCAATGTAATTCCTATCAAACTACTAACATCATTTTTCACAAAATTAGAAAATAAAAACTGTACTAAAATCTATATAGAACCAAAAAAAAAAAAGACCCCATATAGCCAAAGCAATCCTAAGTGGAAAGAACAAAGCCAGAGGCATTATATTACTTGACTTCAAACTATACTACAAGGCTACAGTAACCAAAACAGCATGGTGATGTTACAAAAACAGACACGTAGACCAACAGAACAGGATAGAGGCCTCAGAAATAAAGTTTCATACCTACAATCATCTAACTGTTAATAAAGTTGACAATAACAAGCAATGGGAAAAGGACTCCCTATTCAATAGATGGTGCAAGATAACTGGCTAGCCTTATGCAGAAGATTGAAACTGGCCCCTTTCTTTTACCATATACAAAATTTAACTCAAGATGGATTATATGCTTAAATGTAAGACCTAAAACTATAAAAACCCTTGAAAACAAACCAAGAAAATATCCTCCTGGACATTGGCCTTGGCAAATAATTTAGGACTGAGTCCCCAAAAGCAATAGCAACAGAGCCCCAAATTGACAAGTGAGACCTAATTAAACTTCTGCACAGCAAAATAAACTGTCAACAGAGTAAACCGACAACCTATGGAATGGAAGAAAATATTCATCAACTATGCATCCATCAAAGGTCTAATGTCCAGAATCTATAACGAACTTAATTCAACAAGCAAAAAACAAATAACCCCATTAAAAAATAGGCGAAGGACATGAGCAGATATTTCTCAAAACAAGACATACATGTGGCTAAGAAATATATGGGAAAAAAAAGCTCATGATCGCTAATTGTTAGAGAAATGCAAATCAAACCACAATGAGATACCATCTCACACCAGTCAGAATGCTATTATTAAAAAGTCGAAAAGCAACAGATGTTGGCAAAATTGTAGAGAAAAGGGAACAGGTTTACTCTGTTTGTTGGAATGTAAATTAGTTCAGCCACTGTGGAAAGCAGTGTGGAGATTTTTCAAAGGACTTAGAACTACCTTTCAATGCAGCACTCTTGTTACTGGGTATATACCACAAGGAAAAGAAATTGTCCCACTAAAAAAAAAATACACTCATATGTTTATTGCGGCACTATTCACAATAGCAAAGACATGGAATCAGCCTATATGCCCATCAGTGGTGGACTGGATAGAGAAAATGTGGTACATATACACCATGGAATACTACACATCCGTAAAACAAATCAAATCATGTTCTTTCCAGTAGCATGGGTGGAGCTGCAGGCCATTATCCTAAGTGAACACCAAATACGGCATGTTCCCACTTATAAGTGGGAGCTACACATTGAATACACATAGACACAAAGAAGGAAACAATAGACTGTAGTGACTACTTGAGAGGGGGAGGATGGGAGAAAGATATGGGGTGAAAAACTACCTATTGGTTGCTATGGTCACTACCTGGGTGACTGGATCATTAATACACCAAATTTACCCATGTAAACTCACAATTTACCCAAGTAACAAACCTGCACATGTACTCCCTGAAGCTGACATAAAAGCCAAGAGAAAAAAAGAAAATAAAAAGCATCGAATCCAGTTTTTGGCCTGTGAGAGTGAAGCTCAAAGGGAGGTTAAGGCTGATGGCATGAATTTGGAAACCATGGGTATCTGATAGCAGTTAAGCCACAGATGGGATGGAAGGGAGTTTTAGTTAAAGAACAGGGCTGATGGTCATGAAATAGACCATGTCAGCATTTAGAGTTTGACATTAAGGAGGAGTAGCCAGTAAGGTAAGTAGAGAATAAGGACAGTGTGATAGCATCAAGCCAAAGATGGAAGGGTAGATCTGCTCAAGTACTGCTGAAAGATTAAATTATATTGAGGACAGGGAATTGGGCATTAGATTTGGTAAGATGTACCTCCTGGGATTTGGTTACACAGAGATTGGGGAAAATGATTCTATTAATAGTTGGATTGGTGAGTGCATATTTGTGTGTGTAATTCTATTTTTGATCTTTTAACATGTCCTGAGTACTATGTAAATAATCTAAATTACCATTTGTCATAACCACCCTATTAGGTATTGTTTTTTTTTTAATTTTGAAAGAGAGATGTTTATTGATTTTTAATTTTTTTATTATTTAAGTTCTAGGGTACATGTGCACAACGTGCAGGTTTGTTATATATGTATACATGTGCCATGTTGGTGTGCTGCACCCATTAACTCGTCATTGACATTAGGTATATCTCCTAATGCTATCCCTCCCCCCTCCCCCCACCCCACAACAGGCCCTGGTGTGTGATGTTCCCCTTCCTGTGTGCAAGTGTTCTCATTGTTCAATTCCCACCTACGAGTGAGAACATGCGGTGTTTGCTTTTTTGTCCTTGTGATAGTTTGCTGAGAATGATGGTTTCCAGCTTCATCCATGTCCCTACAAAGGACATGAACTCATCATTTTTTATGGCTGCATAGTATTCCATGGTGTATATGTGCCACATTTTCTTCATCCAGTCTATCATTGTTGGACATTTGGATTGGTTCCAAGTCTTTGCTATTGTGAGTAGTGCCACAGTAAACATACGTGTGCATGTGTCTTTATAGCAGCAAGATTTATATTCTTTTGGGTATATACCCAGTAACGGGATGGCTGGGTCAAATGATATTTCTAGTTCTAGATCCCTGAGGAATCGCCACCCTGACTTCCACAATGGTTGAACTAGTTTACGATCCCACCAACAGTGTAAAAGTATTGTTATTATTTGCATTTTGAAAACAGGACACTGAGAAATTAAATAACTTTCTGAAACATATGTCTGTTTATACATTTATTACTTATTTATTTGAGAGACAAGGTCTTTCCATGATGCCCTTGCTGGGGTGCAGTGGTGCAGTCTTGGCTCACTGCAGCCTCAACTTCCTGAGCTAAAGTGATCCAGCCTCCTGAGTAGCTGGATCTACAGGATCATGCCAGCATAAACAGCTAAGTTTTAAAAATTTTTTTGGAAAGATGGTGGTGTTGCTATGTTACCCAGGGTGATCTCAAATTCCTAAGCTCAAGCCATCCTCCCACCTCAGCCTCCCAATGTGCTGAGATTACAGGTGTGAGACACTGCACCTGCGCTTATAAATGTATTGAATACGACTAAACTGTATACTTAAAAGTGGCCAAAATGATAAATGATAGATACATTTTACCACAGTAAAAGCTTTGAAAAACTATGGCTAGTAGATAGTAGATTCAGGATTGGAGCCTGAGTCTACTTGGCTCCCGAGTCTGAGTTCTTGGCTATGGTCATATTCTGCAGATTTGCATAGAGCCCTTACTGAATATTAATCCATTCAGATAGAGAGCAATGTGTGATATTTATCAAGCATAATTAGAGAGAAGACTAGAAGATAAGTGGGGAAGGAGGAGTGCCTAATGTCTCAGGACATGTACTTTAAAATTTATTCTGTGGGTGGACAGAGTTGGCAAATTTTGAACTTTTGAATTCATTCACTCATTTAGTATCAGCCATCCAGCCAATATCTAATAAGGCCCTAATGGAAGACAAGGTGTGTTTAGCTAGGACTAAATGATCAGCAATGTTTCAGACATGTAGACCTGAAAAGCAAGCATCTTGTAAGACAAGATAAACATTATCAACCAAGGCAGGAAGTACGGAAAGTGGCAGTGAATTCTTTGGTAGAACAGTCACAGTCTAGGGTGGCTAGAGTGCTAAATGGGAGAGGGCCTTGAATGACAAAGCATGGGTTTTTAAATCATGTTATGTGGACAGCTATGATTAATGAAACATAAAAGATCATGAAACATCAGCAGGAGAAATCTAAGAAAGGCGTGACACCACAGGTAGGGATGTTTGGTGACTGCAAAGCATGGTACATAGAGTGTAGTTCACCTAATTCATATGGAGGAGGTTTATTACATGGTTAAAGATACAAAGGGTCTTAGGTTCTGAATTTTTGTTAGTTTTGAGGCACAACGTTTGCTTCTATATGCTTTTCTGTAATTGGACATATTTTGGATTGGGTGGTCAGGCTCTTTGATGTGCAGAGATAAATGAACGCTGTTCAGTGGCGTACATCTTTTACAGTTCTCAATAGCAAGAGAAGATGCTGGCATAAAACCCACACAATTGCATTTCTCATAGTAAGTGGTCAGGTGACCTCTTCCCCTCTGTATCCATAGATAGGGGAGAAATTCCTTCCTGAGTGATACCGGGGAGTAGATGGCCTTGTGTCAAGATTCACTGACATCCTGATGGGCCTGCTTTCTCCTGCTGGGAACTGGTGAGCGAGAAAGAAGAGTTATTGTCAAATTCCCAACTTGCCCTTTTTGATATAAAGTTCACTTGTAATTTTTTTTTTACTTGTGTTGCTAATGCATTTTGTTCTCCCAAGTGTGAGAGACCTAGCTTCCTCTGTAGCCTTTAATTAGTTTCTGAATGATGACATGTCTACTGAGAAGCAACTGGTTGCGTCCCTCCAATCTCGGGGGGAGATAAAGGAATCTAATAAAGACATTCGGTATTTCTAGGTGATGTGTTTGACAAGCTTTGTATTAACAAGAAGTCATGTTGAAACTTCTCTCTTTCCCCAACTGCACTGCCTCACTCGCTCCAGCACTGTGACATTTCACAGGGGGATTAACAGAGCTGCCACTCTCGCTGAGAACTTGTAGTTTAAAACAGACAGACCTGTGTCTCTACCCCTCATGCTAAAGGGGAAGGAGCTTCGCCTTGATCTATTCACCAGCCATAACCTTTATGAGGGATTTAGTGGCAATAAGGTCTTGGAACACAAAATCAACGGATAAGTTTCCTTTGACAGCAGTGGGACCACCTCCCAGGATTCAAGATTCAAGGTCGGATAATGAGATGTGTCTTCCTCGCAGCTGCCTAGTTATTCCCTAAGACGGTGGTCACAAGGAGTGTGGGAACAACTCAAGTTTTAATTCTGGCATGAGCAATATTGGGACTGTAGCACTAGAGAGAGGCTGAAACTCTTCTCAGGGCTAATGACCCTCCTTTGCTGAACTCAACTGTGCAGTTATTTGGAGAACAAGAGAAAAATCTCTGGAATTATTTGCACTTTACTGCAGTCATGGGGTGAGGTGTGGTGGGGACTTCACCACAGCCTTCTT
The DNA here is from genome assembly GCF_000001405.40 of Homo sapiens. Taxonomy (NCBI): domain Eukaryota; kingdom Metazoa; phylum Chordata; class Mammalia; order Primates; family Hominidae; genus Homo; species Homo sapiens. The sequence goes on from NC_000011.10 coordinate 132,200,523, forward strand.
ACTGCAGTCAGCATAATTCCCTGCTGCATACAGTTTTATAGCTTGTGTTTGAGTGCATAACTACCAGTGCTTTTAGGCAATTAAGAATTAAAGTGCCGATGACGCCATGAAGGCAGCTGAGAATGTAAGTGAGCTTGGCGCTGTTGGCAGCCAGCAGATTGACAGCTCAGAAATGCAGGTTTCTGCAGAGCTGAGAGCCGAGAGCGGCGACCACCTGGGGACAGGGGCTTAGTCTCTATCTGGTTGACCTCCATTTGACCTGAGTGAGGCAGCCTAGGAGAGAGGAATGATTATTACCTGAGTATCTCTTAAGGGCAAGAGGAGAACATTAGCAGAATCATGGCTCAGAGTCTAAGAGGTTACCATGACCTATACATACATACTTACATATTTGTTTACCTGTATGATATCAAGATGTAGAAATACAAACTTCATCCCAGGGTAGAGTAATGGCACAGACTATTATAGCAAAATGTTTTTTCTCTCTGTGAAGTGGGTTTCTGAACAGAAGCAAGGGCATCCAAGGGGCAGAGTTAGCTAACATCTTCCTGATTTTGCAGACAAATGACCCCTATTGAAAAGGTAGTGGGATTACAGAGGTTGAAGTCCTTAGAACTAGAACAGAAGTGTGTGTACCTAGAGTGTCCCTCTAATTGAGGCTGGAGCTGCCAGTGGCACCCTCTACCCATGAGTTTTCTAAGCCTAATGGAATGGGGTCTTGTTCCATTTCTATGAAGATCTTTTGGAGATTGTGGAAAAAGTCTGTCTAGGGGAGAGAAGCAACTAATGGAGTCTGGTATATGATAGAAGTGGCAGTCACCATTGCACAGCTTACAGTATCTGGTCACTTGAGTTTCATGAACATCAGCTGCATTCTTGCTTTGGGAAAGGAAAGTCACAGTAAGGTGCCAGATGCCAAAAGAGCGAAAGACACAGCTTAACGAGGCCTTGCGGTTGAGCCTCAAAGGATATGGCAAGGCTATGGCGGTTGGGAACTACAGGAATAGACAATTCCTGGTGAGAAGAAATTAGAAACAGTGATGTCAGAAATCTCTTGCCAGCCCCTGGCTCTGAGGAGAGGATGGATGTGAAGAAACCTTGCATGTCAGGAGATGTTGCTGAGCACTATAAATAAATCCTGGTCAGCACATCAGGGTTGGTTTTTACAGCAAACAATTATGCTGTTTACCACTAATTCATTGAACTCTGAATTATCTCAATCACAATAGCATTCATTTGCAGAGTGATTAGTAATTCACTAAGTGCTTTCAATTATACCTACATATTTTATTGGATCCCAAATCCCTGTAGGAAGAGCTTGGGTCTGAGAACAGCCACTTTCTAGCTCAGTGGCTTCGAGCACATCATTAGCAGGGTAAAACCTCAGATTCCTGGATGAAAAGGGAGAGTATATGGGAAGCCCTTATTAGGTCTTCAACAAATATTAGTTTTCTCCCATGAGGAATAATATTAAAAAGTCATATTTCCTCTGTTTTTACTTCTGTTCTCTTCCTCACGAAATTATGTAATGAATTAGATTAATTGATTCCTTTCTCATTGTGACGTTATTTCACGTTTTGAGGATCTTTTGCTTGTATACATTTTGGCTGTCAGTTTTCAGGGACACCTTATTAGAGAATCTGCAGTGTGTCTGACATTCTCCATGATGGTTTTGGGTTACTTGTGTAACCTCTCCAAGCTTCAGTTTCTCGACTACACGGTGGGGAATCATGCCTTAGGAGTTACGGTGAGGATTTACAAGGGAGCAGCAAATGTGGAACACCTGGCAAAGTGCTCGGAATAGAAGGTGTTTGGTGTTTCTTTTCTTCCCACCCCATCTATCCTCCCTTCGTGAACTGGTCCCTAAAGAGAGAGGCCTGGTGGTGAAGGGCAATAAAGCCAGTCATATAGCCCCAACCCAAAGCATGCACTGCCATACATGGAAAACACGCACAGCTGGGAAACAGATGGCCCTGTCTGGATGGCAGGTCCACATCATGATCACTGATACACCCCTTATGTTTCCATGTTAAAAAATTGATGAAGAGACACTTCTTAGTAATTTCTTAGATGTGACCCACATAATAGGGCACTTATGATTACAGGTAGTTGCTGTGAAATTCAATTTTTACCATTATGCCCCGAAGCCAAGAGGCATGGAATAAGGAAAGAATGGTATGGACTGCACTCTCTTATGTCTCCATCAGGAATGACTAAAACTCGGTCAAGAGGCAGAGCTCATAAAGACTTCCTTCCACATTTCAGTTGATCCTGAAAGGAACAAGTTCCAATCTTCAGAAGCACTGGTTTATGACTAATCCTGAAAAAATCACTAGGTTTTTTTCCTAGAGCTTCAGGGTTTTCTAGCCAACATGAATGGTTTTACTATGGAGGGCGAGAGAAGGAATGAGATGTAACAAATGACAAAAGGGTTCTGGTGAAGAGAATAATAATCCACTGAGGTTATGCCATTAAGGAGCTTTCTACATTTTCAAGCTCTCATTTGGAATTCTGATTGACTGTAATCTGACCCTTCCGTTCTTGAAAATGATGGCAGCAAGCGCATTGCTGACAAAAGAATGGGGTCCTGTTGCACAGCGCACCCTGGCCTGGGGCCTGAGTCCTCATTTAAAGATGCTGTTTATCCTCAAACCTTGAGCACATCAGCAGGGCGTGTGGTGCATCCCAATGTCCAAACCAAAACAGCCCCCTACTGCACTAAAAATCTCTATTTCTCTTCGTATTGGTCTCTACAGGTACACATTTTTAGTAACACTAAGAAAGGACATTTGATTAATGCTTTATGTATAAAAAGTGATTTCTTAACATTTTAATCTGATCCACAGAACATCTATTTTGAGGAGAAAAGATAGGTGTTGATATATAATGAATACAATCAGAGACTCTAATGATTGCCATGCACTTATACAGCTAGTAACTGTGGGGTGTGGGCTTAAAACCTCGGCTTCTGATATGAAGCTTAGGGTTCTTTTTTTATCAAAAGAGACCTTAGGGATCTTCATGTATATTCCCATGATTCCATGTGCGTTTGTTATTTTTCTAACCCATATTATTTCCATTTGAAAAAACACTGCGCGGTGGCACATGCCTGTAATCCCAGCACTTTGGGAGGCTGAGGCGGGCAGATCACGAGGTCAGGAGATCGAGACCATCCTGGCTAACACGGTGAAACCCTGTCTCTACTAAAAATAACACACACACAAAAATTAGCTGGGCTTGGTTTCAGGTGCCTGTAGTCCCAGCTACTCGGGAGGCTGAGGCAGGAGAATGGCATGAACCTGGGAGGTGGAGCTTGCAGTGAGCCTAGATCGCACCACTGCACTCCAGCCTGAGCAATAGAATGAGACTCCATCTCAAAAAACAAAAAACAGCAACAACAACAAAAAAAAAACACTGCAATTTTCAGCTGTATGTCCTTGAACAAGTTCCTTGACTCCTCTGAGTATCGGTATCCTCATCTGTAAAGTGTGGGAACTAATTAGGATGACCAATGCATCCCCATTTGCCTGAAATGCTTTTGGTTTCAGCAGTGAAAGTTTTATGTCTCAAGAAACTCTCCAATTCCAGGTAGACCTGGGCAGTTGGTTGCCTTAGAGAGAATATCTATTTGTGGGGTTCATACAGTGAAAAATAAAATAAAGGTAATATAGCCAAACACCTGTTATACAGCAGGTATTTAATAAATGGTAATTATCAACATCATTATGTTCACTTACAGTCCTTGGGGGCAATTTAAAGATCTTGAGGAAATTCAGTCATTTCAATTTGTTTGCATTTGCATACAGCCTTGAGAGAATACAGTAATTCATTCACTCAGAAAAATTGTTGAACACAAACGATGCCAGGCATTATGATATGTGATGACCATTTTCAATGAACGAGACACCAGTGGAGCTTACATTGTACTTAGGAGAGGCAGACAGTTGTGTAGCAAGCCAGGCAGGCTGGGGGTTCTCTTGTAGAAAGGGGGTTTGAGGAAGCCTTCTGTGAGGAGCTGAAATTGAAATAATTAGACAGAACCAATGTGAGTAGCAGGAGAAAGGCAAGTGTGAAGGATGGAGTCAAAGGTGGGCTTGAGGCATTTGAAGAGGACAGGTGGCCAGCAGGGTGAGGAAGGGAGAATGCTGTGGGAAGAGCATGGAGAGGGAGGCGGCATCCAGAGTGTGCAAGGCCTTTGAGACCAAAGAAGGAGTTTGCCTTCATGCTCCATGACAGATTCATCTCTCCGTTCAGTGTGGATGAGAGAAGGGAGGTCCTAACCAAGCACATTTGCCACAGCCTGAATCCCACCTGAACCACTCAACTGTGCCTAGGCTTCGCTTGGGTACACAGTGGCCCTTGGGAAAAGATGGATTTTTCTCAAAACCAACACCTGCTTGGTTGCATCTTTCCAAGCTTTCCAATCTGGGTTGGACATTCATGCACCAGGCTGTTCTCATAGGCCTTAGTGTCTCTGCACGTGGTCTGGAAGCCAGAAAGGTTAAGAGCACTCCAGATTTGTCCCATTAATTCTGTAAAGACAAAGGTCCCTAAAGAGGCCTTAGCAGTGAAGCAGCCCTTGCTGTGAGAACTGCCCGGAGGAGATGCGGGCATCTCCAGTCTTCAAGATAGAGGAGAGGCAGGAGGGGAACCCCCACTGCCAGCCAAGGAAGCCATCTGGGATCTGTAGATCTGCATGCGCCGTGCAGTTACCTGGTCCAAGTGGCTTATGTGCATTCTCAGCCCCACAGGACTGCACAGTGCTTCATAAAGCATCCTGATTTGGATTTAATAGGATATCCACTGTGTGCTAAAAACAGCAAATTGCTATTTATTAATGACATAATTATTAAAACTCAACACCTGGGCAGTGGAAGCTAAACCAAGAGTAGGGAAGTTCCTCAGAATACTGTTTTAATAATTATCTTATTTAATTATTTACACATTTGAATTAAAATTCAATAAGAGCCGGATTAAACATTAACCTAATGTATTAAACATGGAACTGTATCCAAACAGCATGGCTCCCTTGGCTTCTGTCTTTCTTCCTAAACATACCCTAACCACTCCTTGGTCTTTCGGTTTCTATAATTGGTATATTTTCTAGATTCAGCTCTCAGAAGCCAGGAGGCACCACATACATGCCTGTGGGTAAAAGCCAATGACCTTTTCAAAGGACTCTTCCACTCATAGCAGGTCTAATTTACTATTGGCACGTCAGTTCTTACCCCTCTGCTCTTTACCTTTCATGTGGATTCTCAAACTGGGATCTTGCCCAGACCTCCGATCCTCTGATTCCAACTGCTAACATAATAGTAATATTCTTCCTGGATGTCCCTCATCATCTCACCATCAGCAAGTCTAAGATAGAATTAATCACACTAATGTTCTCCCCAAAAGTAGTTCCCCCTAGAAGGTCTAGGGGTCTCCCTGTGCAGCCGTCCAGATGCTACTTAACAGAACGGCATTCCTGCTCGACCCCATCTCCCTGGTTGTCCTCCTAGCAACCATTTGTGCATTTTTCCTGGGCATGGCTCTCCAATCCATCCCTTGCTTTTCATCTTTTCAGAGCCAACAGTTTAATCCAGGCTTTGAACATCACTGTCGATTGATTTCTGTGACTCCAGTTTCTGTCTATTTTACTCCATCTGACACAATGTTAACAGATTCTTTTTCTTAAAATAAATTTTTAAAAAATTACGACATTTCTTTTAAAAAACTTCAAATGCTTGTCACTGCCTGTAGGATAGAGCTAAAACCTAGGCACTAGGCATTCACGCCCTTCCATCATCTGGCTGTCATTCACTTCATGATCTTGTATCCCATTTTTCATTGATTCTGTCAAAATTTATGGACTGTCCATTCTGTGTTGACACTGCATATATGTGTTTGCCAAGCACATACAATATTAAAACTCACTCATTGAGCACTTCACATTGCCAGAAACTGTTCTCAATGCATTTCATAACTTACTCCTATGTCTTTGAAACAGTCTTTATGAGGTTCAGACAGTTATTAGCTCCATTTTATAAATGTGGAGAGCAAGACACAGGCAGGTGAAGTAACTTGGCCAAGGTTGCCCAGTTAGAACATAGTAGAGCCGGATCTCAGCCCCTGCTCTGCGTTGCCTCTTGTAGTCAATAGACATTGTATTTCTTCAGTTTGTGGATTTCTGCCTTCCCATCTGTGCCCATGCAATTCTGTCCCATTTGAAACAGCTTCACTTTTTCTGCCTAGATACCTGTTTCTCATTTGTTGAGACCTAAAATAAACTCCAATTTGAGGTGAAGCCATCTCTGGAACTCTCTCTAGCTGTTATCCTCCCTCCTAGTAACTCATAGCACTTAAAGTTTGTACTGTTCATTCACATTCAATCATACACAATTTTCCAACATATTTTGCCTTGTTATTCAACTCTCTGGAATGTTTACATGCCCTGTTTCCTCAAACAGATTGTAAGTTCATAGAGGGCCAGGCAAATTGGTATATGTCTGCATGTCTTTCATATACCTAGCACACCATTGTGTAACAGTAGGTGTTCACAAAATGTTCATTGGATGACTTTTGGCCCAGCTTCTAAAGCAAGGGTCTCCAAACCTCAGGCCACATACCGATACTGCTCTGTGGCCTGTTAGGAACCAGGCCACACAGCAGGAGGTGAGCAGCTGGTGGGTGAGTGAGTGAAGCTTCTTTTGTATTTACAGCCACTCCCCATTGCTGGCAATACCGCCTGAGCTCTGCCTCCTGTCAGATCAGTGGCAGCATTAGGTAGGAGCACGAACCCTTATTGTGAACTGCCCATGCGAGGGATCTAGGTCGTGCACTCCTTGTGAAAATCTAATGCCTGATGATCTGTCACTATCTCCCATCACCCCCAGATGGGACCCCCTAGTTGCAGGAAAACAAGTTCAGGGTTTCCACTGATCCTACATTATGGTGAGTTGTATAATTATTTCATTATATGTTACAACATTACAATGTAATAATAATATAAATACAATGCATAATAAATGTAATGTGCTTGAATCATCCTGAAACCATTCCTTCCCGCATCCCCAGTTCATGGAAAAAATTATCTTCCATGAAACCTGTCCCTGGTGCCAACAAGGTTGGGGACTACTCCTCTAAAGTAGACTTCTTCCATTAACAGTTGTGCCTGGCCACAAAATGTCTTACTGATAGTGCTTGCCTTATGTTGTCTCCTTTGCCTAGGATATCTTTCCTCCTTTTCTCTCCAGATATGATTAATTTTTACTTACTCCTAGGGCTTAACTTAGGCATCACATATCTAAGAAGCCTCTTGTGGCATCCATGTCAAGGTTGGCTTAGATGTATATCCTCTGTGTCTCCATAACACGTGATTCACCATTCTGTGTCACCATACATTAGAATATTAGGCTTCTGCATCTATTTTGATATCTTGAGGCTGTGAACTCCTTGAGGAAAAGGATGGTATCTTATTTAGTTTATGTCTCTAATGCTTGGCACAATGCTGGCATATGGAAAGTGATCAATGAATATTGAAGAAGGAGTGAATGAATGAAAATAAGCAAAACAATCCTAGTATGTTTCTAACAGTCTGAGTGATGAGAAGTCAGATATAGAATGTATCCATGGAAACAATATAAAAATATAAGTAGCCCTATCTCACACTTGGTCAGAAGCTTCCTTATGAGGATGGCTTAGCTAAAACCACAGTGCACCCTAATCAATTCAAGTAGTCTTGAATACTGACAATGTACTAGAAGTTGCCACCTAGAAAATCATATTTTGACTCCCTTAGCATCTTAGGCATATGCCAATTTGTTTCTGATAATTGGGATTGCTCCCCTAGTCAAACCACCTCATCTCTATGCCATGAATGATCTGTCTTTCTCACTCACCCAAGGGCAATTTGCCTCCTTCAAACTGTATTCTTAGGCAGAATTTAAAGGACAGCAAGCACTTCTCAACTTCTACCTCATGAGTTGGATATTTTCCAATTATTAGTGGGGGGAGACAATTCTAGATGATTCTTCCAAGCATGAGGTGCGATTGTCTCATTTAATATACTTACTGCACTGACAGCTCTGGCCCAAACCACCTTCTGTCCTGCTTGGGGACTGTCCATTGTTCTCTAGTGTATGATTAGCAGATTACCTATCATGCAGGAAGCCAGGAAAATGAACTCACAGTAAGCCCTTCCAAAGCAAGAGTAATTCATTACCCGGCCTGATTTCCACTTAAAATGTACTTTAAGCACACTTCCAACTACAAACCCTAAATCACCCTGTGTTCACAAAGTCCATCATTTTTTATTTTATTGCATGGCATTGGCGTGACATAATCCCTTGCAGAGCATCTCGGAGTGCTTTACAGATCAATAAATTACTTACCTGCACAGTTGAAGCAACGTCTGCAAGGCCAGCACAGACATTCTGCAGGCAGCCTGTCCTCCAGGAAGCAAGCAAGGCTGTGTGGGTGCTAAGAGTGAGCAGGGACAGGGACCAGCAAACGTATGGGTTGGTGTTGGGGGGTGGGGGAAGGAGGTGGCTGGTGCATGAGATGGGAATGCTCTAGTTAAAACTCTGAATAAAACACATCAAAGTGTCTATTTTTGCAATGATCAATTTAAATGATTCCAGAACTAAGAGAATTTAGAAGCTTGTACCCTTCAGGCAGTCAGCAAATCAAATGCTCAGTCATTAACTCATCAGTTACCTTTCTGTCCTGGAAGGCTCCATGTAGCTTTTAAAATGATATAACCATAAATGGCATTGTTACATCTTAAAAGTCCCAGATTATAGAGCTAGCATTCTCTCTCCTCCAACCCTTGTCCATGTCCACTCTCCATTATTTCTGTCCCACCAAATGCTTATGGGAGTGCAATTGAGTGTGTATGTGTATGTGTGTGTGTGTGCATGCATATGCAGAGACACACACGCTGCCTATCTGAAGCTCAATGAGGATGGAAATCTAAAAATGATTAACTGTTGCTTACTCTGTGTAACATACCCTATTTAGGACAGCAAAAAACTAAAAAGTTAAATGAGGATCTTTTCAAATATCTTATATTAATGTAATTTATAGTATAAAAGGAAAGGTGGGAACATGTTACATAAAAGTTTACTTTAAATGCCGTATAGGAGACACTACAGTGCTGTGGAATCCCCAGGAAGGAGAGGTCACATCCTCTTCAGGTTCATCTGGACAGCCTTATTAAAGGGGTGGTAATTCTCTCAGGCCTTGAACAATTTTAATAGATGTGGATAGGCACAGAGAAGAGTGTAAGCACTGAAGTCAGCAACAAGGGCATGGGGATAAGGAGATAGCTCAGTGCAGCACAGATAAGTACAGCACACGCTTATTAATGATGAGCATTTCAATTGGGTGGATGCAGGACATACATGGAAGGTAACACTGGAGAAGGAGAGAAGGGGAAGAAGGCTAAGATATCTTTATAAACTCCCTTTTCATGAAGGAAAAGATCCAACACAACTAGGAATGAGTGAGTAATGGTTCAAGTAGAGGCAAGACCAGCATTAAAATTTGCAAACCCATCTGATTTTAGTGTGAGGGCCCCACTCTGACCTCGCAACAAGCAATAAAGTCATCGTGCAGCTTCCCTGGGCTCTCCGGCAGGCCCGATCACATTGTAAGCCAGGTGGATGGTGTGCTTTAGAATTGCACAGCATGGTGGCTCTGAGGAATAGTTATTCAAGGAAAGAATATAACATGAAGAAACAGAAGAGTGCTGGATGGAGGGGACACTTAACTTGCCAAGAACTAAGAAGTCAAAACCAGCATCAGGAGGGTTGAAAGAATATCTGCCAATGACCCAACTCTGAGGTTGGTATGGACACGTTGCACACAGGTTGGGAAGGTGGTTCCCTTGAATAACCATTATCACTCAATTCTGTAAATATTTGTTGAGCTCTTAGCGTGGATACAGATATAAGTAACACATTGTTCAGGTCATCAGAAAGCTCATGGCCTAGTGGGTGATGCTAAGCACATAACCATAGCATAGTGAAATAACTGTCTAGAATTGGAGTGTGGGAGCTCAGTAAATGACATCTTTACTCCATCCACTTGAATGTTAAAACACATAAGACAGATAAGTAGACACATGGAACCAAATATCACATGTTTACTAGTGGTAAAGCTGAGACTGGAGAATTAGGCTCAGATGTGCAGCAACAATGAGGTTCTACGACTGGACCCCGGAAAGAAACGCACACACATGCAATGGCTGGATGTTCCACAGGCCCTATCCAGTCCTTGTGGGTGCTGCTTCTGAAAATAAGCACATGGAGGAGCACAACATAATATAAGCTTCAGAAGGTTCCAAAATAGAAGACCAAAGGAAGTAGACATCCTGTCTCCAACTTTACCTATTAGAATGAACCCCTTCTCTCCCTAGGGGGAGTCATTTAGTGGAGAAAGAAGGTGGGGGAGAGAGAGAGAGAGATGTTATGGCTAACTGAGGCTTAATTTGATTCCCCACCAGGTGTGTAGAATGTGCTCTGGGCACATGGATGAAGAAGCAGCAGTCAATTTGAGATGTCCAAAAGGGCAGAGAAGTATAGAGGGTAGGGAAAGTTTCAACAAAGAAAGTGGCATTTGCTTTGGGCCTTAAGGATGGCTGCGCGTGCACTTTGATAGGCTGAGGCTGGTGAATTGCTTGAGCTCAGGAGTTTGAGACCAGTCTGGGCACATGGCAAAACCTTGTCTCTACAAGAATAAACATAAACATTAACAAGGAATGGCGGCACATGCCTGCAGTCCCAGCTACTTGGACTGAGGTGGGATTGTTTGAGCATGGGAGGTCAAGGCTTCAGTGAGCCATATTTGCACCACTGCACTCCAGCCTGGGTGACAAAGTGAAACCCTGTCTCAAAATAAAAATGAAAACGAGAATGGCTGGGAGTTGCCCAGGAAGGATAAAAGGAACAATATGAACCCAAATACTTTATGCCCAGACAGGGCATGATGGAGAACAAGGGAGTCAGCAGAGGTGGGATCACTGGGGATGGCCATGGAAAGGTGGGCTGATGCTTGATTCTGCATGGCCTCATGCCTAGAAGGAGTCAGGCTATGACCAGGTGGCCATGGGGAGCCACTGGAGCTGTTTAGACAGAGATGTGATATGATCAGAATTGCATTCTTTCAAGACATCGCTGAATGCAGTGTGGAGGATGGCTCGTGGATATGTGTTGGAGGTGGGTGGGGGTGAGTGGATACAGGAAGAGGGTGGAGGCTAGGAGAACAGCTATTCCAGTGTTGCAGTAGAATTTATTCCCATTCGGACTCCCTGACTTTGTGTTTAAATAGGAGGAAATCAAAGCTAAATTAAAGGTAAGACTTTTTTATGTTTAAGGTAATTCCTCTAATTTCTTATCGTTAACTTACTGTAGTCCATATATTTTACTCTCTGGACTGTTCTGCCAACTACCATGTTAAGACAACTAAGAAATGTTTCAGGAGGATTTTTATTTTCATTCTGTCTTGTTTCCACAGTATCTCCCAAAATTGTAGAGATTTCTTCAGATATCTCCATTAATGAAGGGAACAATATTAGCCTCACCTGCATAGCAACTGGTAGACCAGAGCCTACGGTTACTTGGAGACACATCTCTCCCAAAGGTAAGAGAACAGTTTGTTGCATTGCATCATGAGGATAAATGGGGGAATTTTGGGCCTTTGGTAGGAGGTTATGGGTGCTGATACCTACTCCAGAGGAGTCTACGTTTTTGGTGGCTTGATGGTAATCTACTCATGGCTCTGCAGAGAACGTTGATGTTCTCTGCAAAACAGCCATACCCTCTAAGATTTCAGAATTCATACCTCAGTATCTCTCCAGTCCCTTGGAAATTAATCTCTGTTGTCTCTGGGTGAAATGGTGGTAAGGTGTTCTGGGTGAACTTTACATGTTGTTTGATGATGGAACAAAGCTTTAGTGGCAATTGTTCAGCTGGTTGTTTTAAAATAGAGAAAACACATAATGATGGGTGAGAGCTTTAAATGGCCATATTCCTAAAAGGAGATTCTCCAAGTCTGTGCCTCTGCAGCCTTGCCAAAAATCTGGTCACGAGCTGTTTTTGTGGTTTTGTTGTTGTTTTACTCCGATTGATCCTAGAGAACAAATATAACTTAATATGTGACTAAATTGCAAAAATTTACTTTATCTGAATGCTCAGATGTTACGTAGACCAAAGTGTTGTTTTGTGCTTTCATGGATTGTACATTAAAACCTTTAGAATTTGAGACAAGATGTCATTTATTATTAAGCTAGCTTTTATTTGGGAACAAGAAAGATAAAAATATTTCATTCTTAAATATTTATTGAGTGCTTGTAATAGTCCAGCCTCTCTTCTAGGCACTGGGGGTTACAGCAATAAGCCAAAGCGGTGAAGTTTTCACACTCATGAACTCACATTCTCATGAGACAGATGACAAAAAAAAAAAGAGTATGCAATATAACAGGTGGTATTAAGGGTGAGAAAATAGAACAGGATGTGTTGACAGAATGACAAGAGCTTTCTTCAGAGAAGGGCTCTGAAAAGAAGATATTTGTGCAGAGACATGAACAGTGGTCCTTAATTGTGTTGCTTATTGCTGATTAATGTGAAATGTGTGTATGTGATTATGTATGTATATATGTGCCGGTGTGCACAGATGGATGAAGGTGTGTGATTGGCATGAAAGACGCATATTAGGGGGTGCTTTTGGTCTCAACTCCCATGGAAGGGAAAAGTGGGAAACAGAATTGGGCAGGTTAGAAGCTGGCTTGTGCAGTAGGACATCTCGGCTGAGCCTACGGGGAGCTCTGAAGCTAGGATTGCCCTTCAGAAGGTTCCCTTATTGAGGTGATGGAGCTGGTCCTCTACATCGGCACAGCAGTCCAAATGTAGGCTGATCCCCAAACAGGTGTGACTGTGGGCCAGGCATCTCTCTTCACATGAGACACAGGGGGCTGACCACCGAGGGCTATCCACCAGCAGCCGGTCCTTCTGTGAGGCATAAGTCCTCTGCTCCTGAAGGTGACTGTGCATGACAGTGTCCACTATACTTCAACATTTTAATAAATCAGAGTAAGACTATGAAGGGGCCCCAAGTACCAAATTCTAGACAGTGACAGTTGGCCCTAATGGATGTTCTCAGAGAAGGCGTGACATTTTCAGTTGTGTGTGGCCTGAATTCCTGGGAGCTGTCCTGGGCCACCATTCTTTTTTTTTTTTTTTTTTTTTTGAGACGGAGTCTCGCTCTGTCGCCCAGGCTGGAGTGCAGTGGCGGGATCTCGGCTCACTGCAAGCTCCGCCTCCCGGGTTCACGCCATTCTCCCGCCTCAGCCTCCCAAGTAGCTGGGACTACAGGCGCCCGCCACTACGCCCGGCTAATTTTTTGTATTTTTAGTAGAGACGGGGTTTCACCGTTTTAGCTGGGATGGTCTCGATCTCCTGACCTCGTGATCCGCCCGCCTCGGCCTCCCAAAGTGCTGGGATTACAGGCGTGAGCCACCGCGCCCGGCGGGCCACCATTCTTGACACTGTAACTGTGAACAAGGGGTCTTTGAAAGCTATTCATGTGTCTGCCAGTCTCTCCATTTGAAATGACCTCACATGTGGACTGGCCCAAAATCAGGGAGGAAGCTTCAGCTGTGCATGAGATCATTAGTGATGGAAAATGGCCCTGGGCCCTTCTGAAGGAGGGGCCATTCAGACAGGTGCATGCTAAGTCCGCGGTGTGCACCATTCATCACAGCCTGATGTGAGTCCCCAGTGCTGGCGGATGCCAGCCCAGTCTGTGCCTTTGGAGTCTGCAGAACATTTATCATCAGGGTAAGCTTCCTGTGCCTGATGTCAAGAGGCTCTGTCTTCTGTTTGATGTCTCTTCTCATTCCCTCATCTGGCCAGTTCTTTGTCCTTTTCTGGGTGTTTCTTCCCCCACTTCTCCTGCATGCGTCTCCTTTTTGTCCTGCCATTTTATGCCTATAACTTCCCGATAAGTTATTTTTGTTGTTGTTCTATGCTTTGGCTTTCTCTTGCAGCGTCTGAAATGTTTCTGCTTTAATTTCATTATTTTCCACATTCTCTCTTCCCTCCTTGCAATTGTTTGTTGTCTTCCCCTCTGACATTTGAGCCTCTTGGGTTTGCCTGGCTGATGTTCACAAGGCTGTGTGTTAGAGTCTTTTGTTTCCCCTTTTGTGACCATCGAACAGATTCATTTCCCAAGGGAACTTTTGCCTGAGCCTGGGCCAGGTGTCCCATTTTACTGAGGTTTTAGCTGCTATGGAAACAGAAGATGGAGCAAGGAAAGAGGAGCAGGACAATCAGAATGTACCTGTGGATTAATTTACATGAACAGTGTTTTCCAGATCTCAGGTCCAGTTTAGTTATCCCGGATTCAAAATGATGAGACATGCCAAGCAATAACTAATCACCTCAGAACTCACCAGAGTGCCATTTCCCAGTGACTGATTATTTGGAGATCAGAGATGTCACTTGGCTGCTGCCCAATATGAACTGAAGCTGGAGACCCTCAACAGTCAGGCCTTCATCTTTCCCCAGTAGTATTTCCTAAAGGAGGCTTATTCTAAATAAACCAGGATGGGCTTGGTGTTCCTTGGAGAAGAAGATCTGCACCTTAGCGGAGGCTCCAAAGAAAGAGCGCTGTTGTCATCTTTTGTGTCATTCTTCGAGGGTAGATCACAGTTCCATCAAGATCTTTCTTACATGCGAACCTGCCAAATCCCTGGATGAACAGCTGATCAGGGCTAAGCTCTTTCAGCAACCCTGATGACTTCATTGCATTTTTTCTCTCCAGACTGATCTGTTTGTTCTGTACATTTCTTAAAAGTCCTTGTTTCCTTCATTATCACTTATGTGGTGCTGCTTGCGATAAACTTATATAAACCTCTTTAAATTGTGCATTTCTAGTCTTGACTACCTTGTGTGGAAAGGAGTACAGAAATGTTAAGGACTATTTTAGACGTGGCTCATACACTTTGATATAGGGGCAGCTTAGGAGTGACCATCAGGTGGAAACGGAGATGGAGGGCCCTGTGTAGCACTTTATATCAGATAGAGAAAATGTCAGTTGTGCATGTCCAGTACAGAGAGGGAGGTAGGACCTCCAAGGCCACCTCTTGGCACTTCCATTGATTGTTTGAATAATTTCCGTATATTATTATGGGCATTATGCCTTTGTAGTTCCCTTCAGGAATTTATCAGAATTCAAAGAGAAAGTGAGCTAGCTTTTTAAAGATTCCTGCCCTGACTCTGCACAACTGGTTTGAGATGGGCCGATGTTGTTTGCATCTGCAGAGACCTTGGTCTTTTCAGGAGGAAGAGCCCCCATCTCACTCCTCTCACTAGCAGGAGCCATCTCCATCCACATGAAGGCTTATTGACCCCAAGCCGGAGTCCTTCTAAGTGCTAGCATAGGGTACTAGGTGCACAGGCACCGTTGGTGGAACCCTAACCTTCTGTAGGTAGAAAAAAGGAACAGGGCAGCCAACTGCCCACTGTGCCTGGTGTCATGACTCTGTGCTTTGCCCTTTGTCTACATCTAGACCTTCAAGAATGTGTTTTTTAGCACATCCCTTAAACTCTCAGCTTTCTGTCTCCAATAGAAAAACGTTCATGCTGTCTGGTTCTCCTGAGTCTTCACTATGTAAATAGAAGCATGATCTCTTTCAATATACTCCAAAAGATGCTGTGTTGGACCTCACTCTTCATAGAAAAGCATTCTGAAAGCCTTATTGTTATGTTACCAGTTTCAGTTGGATTGTAAGAGCTTTAAAGACAAGTCTAGGATTCCTACATTGCCACATTCCTGAGAGCCCAAAATGAAACTCAGGTGAGGGAGTGAGTCTCATCACTTATCTGTGGGTGTCACTATCCATTTGCAGCCAGGGATCACTGAGTGTCCTAATGGAGCTCCCATCTTGGGTGCACTTACCTTCACCTTTCTGTCATCAAACAAGACACTGACAATAAAAACCTCATCTAGGCTACCTAGATAACACGTTGTACTGAGATATTGGTAGGGATATTCAGCAAAGCCCTGCAAGGTGTTCACAGAAATGTCCTCCTTTCCAGTTTATTTTCAATGTCCCTGTCCCATGAGTTCTTTGAGATCAGAGTTTGCATCTCACTTCTCTTTGATTCTCTCCTTCTAGCACAATGCCTAGCACCTAGGAAGTGTTTAATAAATATTGGTCAGTTCAGTGAACAAGCACTGATATTTGCCAATGCCCCAAAGAGGCATGCCTGTTCTCCCAGTTCAAAGACTATCTTGATCCTTCAGAAGTTGTCCTTCACTTTGATGTTGGCATGGAGACCTGGAGTGTTTCTGGCTGGCGAGTCTCCAGGACATTTTCTCTGGTCTTCACAAGATCTCCAAGCCTTTCCTGAAGTCCCCTTGAGGGGACCTTGCTGTGGCAGGACTCAACTTGTCCTTGAAGAAGAAACTCCTTTTCAAGTTTCCTTTTGCAAGAAGAGAGGAGGCTCACAGGTGACTTGGACAGTGGGTCATCCATGAGCTTCCTTCTGCTGTCATGGCTGCCTCATTGCAACTGCTCTTCATCTGGCCATTCTAGTGGGCATCTGGCCCTTTTGGTGCCTTGCTGTACCAAGTACTCCTGTGTCTAAACCCCGGATGACTCCCAACCACTATTTCCTAAGGCAATCCCGATATCACCTGGGGGATTATTTCAACTGTATATGAAAATTTGCCATTCCTTATAGGTTAACTAAAGAAAAAGGAAAAGAAAGAAATCAATCGGTAGAAAAAAGAAAAGTACTTTAAATTCAGTTCCACTCTTGTGCCTCTTTCTCTCTCTCTCTCTCTTTCTGTGTGTGTGTGTGTGTGTGTGTGTGTGTGTGTATGTGTATGTGTATGTGTGGGGTGTGTGTGTGTGTTTCTCAGGTTCTCTCTTTCTCTCTTTTTCCTTCTTTCTCTCTGCCTCCTGATATATGAATTGAGGTGGGTTAGAGATCAAAAGAGATCTTCCCTAGGGTGATATAAAGACCCTGGGGGCAGAATTAGAGCAGAGCCTTCTGTCTGTTGGATTCCAAGCCAAGCCCTTGTTCTGCAAGCCTTTCTCTTTACCTAACGTGAAGTGGGTACATCTGCGTGGCCTACTCTCCATACCAACAGGGCTCAGTAACCTTCCTCAGCTGCCAGATCTCTTCCTTCCCACCTCAGTTCTCCTTTTCTACTTGAAGAGGTCCAGTGGACATTTGACTGCCCTGTTTCTTTTTTCTGGAGTTTTAAAAGGCACCAAATTGATGGAGGCAAAGTGACACCCGGATAAGAGTTCTCCTGGCCAATGCCCTGAGCCCTGTGCTCCCCCTCCCCTTCCCCAATATCCTCACCCCACCATACATCCACCTATTTTCCTATTTGTAAGCACTGACAAGGCCTTCTCCTAGCCAAGCAGGACACTAAAGCACTAATTGGCACTAGAGGTATCACAGCTTGAGTTCAACCAGAGCTGGCAGGTTCCATGACTCCAGTGACAGCTCTGTGAAAAAGTGTCAGGAGCAGAGCTCTGGCGTGCCATCGGCTGACTGCAGCACCCTGGAACTAATGAGCAGCCTGTCAGCACCAGCATCCGGGGCCCCGTGTGGCGCTGAGATCATTAGAATGGCAGAGGAGAAAGACTTCCTCAGCAAAGAGGAGCTGGGGAGGGGAGAAGAGGGCAAAATGGAACTAAAGATATCACCTTACCCACAGAGGGCAACCACCCAACACCAAAGGACTGAGAAGAAAAAGGGAGAAAGAGAGAAAGCAAAAGTTTTTCTAAATCCATCTATGCCAATTCTAGACAACTCTTGGAATCTCCTTTTGGTTGGGTTGCCCTGTCAGTAATCAATATGGGCTGTAAATCCTTGCAATAATCCAAGAAGGGGCCTCAGTGATTAAATTAACTCTTTAGTCTTGGCTGTGCTCTGAAACCTGGAAGTCGCCCAAGTCTCTAGGAAAGAGGGACCTAGGGCGTAAGGCAAGACTTGAGATCTTAGTCTTTTTGCTATTTGTCAGGGCAGGCTCTCTACCTAGGGTATCTCCTGCACTGCCAGCTGCCTGCCTATCTTCTGCTAGAGTATCAGAATCCAGGAGAGACAATTAATAGAAGGAGTTTTCGCTCTGTTATTCCTTCCCAGAGGGAGGTAGGGGGACTAGTCAGTGTGTCCACTCTGTATCTGCTTCCTGAGGCCAAGTATGAATTATCCATCTTGTTCGTTCTTCTGCTTCAGGACCAGAACTGGGCCTTCAGGTCTGAGCATTAAGCAATGCCTGGCTCTTCTCTGAGGCTTCTGCTACTAACAATGACTGCATTTCCATGAGCAAAGGCAGCAATGTGTCTGAAAGAGATAGGCTTTGAAGGCAGGTCCAAGGGGATTTGTATTCCCTTGCACTACTCACTGGCTGGGTCATGCTGGAGTAGTGATAAACCTCTCTGAAGATGTGCTTCTTTATTAATTTCATTCTTGCTTCTTGGCGTGAACCCTGGCGTTTTCATGATTTGGTTCTAGACCCCATTTTCTCCACACACCACAGTCACACTAACAACTTGGCATTCTCCACACACTAGATGTCTTTGACTTTGCACACCCCATCTGTTCTCCTTCCATCCCCCCTACTTCTTTTGGTTTGAGTTCTGCCCTTGTTTCAAGACCATACTCAAGTGCTACCAGTTTGAAAGCCTCTGGTGACTTTCTTCAGGCAGAGTGATTCACCCATTTCTTTGAGATCCCACAGCACTTTGCGTGCATTTCCAACTATGGCACCTCTTACAGGTACTCAAGGGCCTCTGACTACTCCTGTCATGCCAGGGATCATGGCAGCCAGGAACCACCCTAATGCTGTTTTGTCTTTAGTGTCTGATAAAGCACCAGATGTTTTGGGGTCTTGTAAATGATTGTTGAATGAGGAAGTATCTGATACTGTAGATGTAGTTTTCAGTCCCTTTCTAAAATTAAGTCTCTCTTAATTTAATATGTATAATATTATATTATTAAAGGTAATATAATATAATAATGTATCTCTTTGCATCAGTTTGGACTGTGGATCATCTCATATTTCCCAAACCAATCAAAGGAATTCATAAGAAAAGGCCCTCCCCCCCCACTGTCTTCCTCATGTGTACTCAAGTCTGAGCTTTAGACTCTGTGAAATAGAGATAATAATACCTTCCCACATGGATATGACAAGGATTAAACACGTGCACCAATGGAAAGCTCCTGGCCCCATAACAACACATAGTATGTGTCCAATAATGTTAGCTTGCAGACCTTCAGCCAGCCCCCTCCTCTTCACTCCCACCCGTGAGAAAAGAACGGAAGGGAAGGAAACTCAAGTTATTTTTTTTCTGAAAAGATTGAATCTTTATAAAAGCTCAACTCAGTCCATTGCCAAAATGGATAGATATTCAAAGGTGCTTAATCAGCACCACTATCATCTCCACCATTTTCTAATTAACATAGGTGCTTGATTAAAATTCCCAGTACCCCAAGAAGCTATCCCAGGAGGGCCAAGTAATTGCCATTGCAAAAGATATTACAGTAGTCATTGATGGTGGGAGAACAAAAAAATAATTGCATCATAATGGAAAGTGGCCAGCTTCCTGTTCAGAGTACCTGTGAAACATAGAGCATTAGGTTCAATATATACAGAAAAAAAGGGATTAATTGTGACAAAGATAAACCAGTGGTACAACCTCAAATTGGGGAAAAGTGTCCAGGAACTCCTTACATAAGTGGCTTAAACACAGACAGGCAGACCAAGGTGGGAGAGAAAAAAGCAGAGGAAGACATTTATAGATCACTCTTTAACTCTGTCATTCTCTTTAACTGTAAAATTACTGCTAGATAGATGCAGTTAGGGTAAAATTTGCCAGTGTCAATAGGGGTTTTTGTAAATTTAATATTTATGATCTGGTTTAAAGCATTATTATAGCTGTGTAACTTCCTACTTCAAAGAAGAGAGAAATAATAAAAAGACTAGTGGGGAAATTAATGAGTTCAATGTGCTGAATTGAGAACATATGAAATCAAGCCTCATTCTAGAAACCAAGGGCAGGAGTGCATACCACAGACACTGTTTGTGGTTTTACCCAATTATTTTAAAACCCTTGGAAAATATTGTAGAATCAGATGTCTGCTGAATTCAGACATTGCTAACAGCATCCTCCCCCACACTCTCCAGAGTCTTAAGCTATTTATGCCTGTACTTGGTGACCGTTACCATGCAGAACTGTCTTGATGGAACAAATAAAGGAAACATAATAGCAAGAAGATTGTATCATCCTCCCCACAGAAGCCAACCAGCCATAGCTCAGTAAGATGCAAAGTCTCATTAAAATGGTAGCCCCTACAGGGCAGGAGACCCCATCTCTCAACCAGCACCCATAAGAGTCAGCACCGCCTGGGAGTATGAGAAGGTCCTTAGTGGGATGTCCCACCGCCCATCACAACCAGGGTACCTCCTCGAGTCACACCGCTGTAGACCAGCTAAAGGCTTGGGGAGTTTCTTGTGTAGGACCCTCCGAGCACTGCCAACCAAGCTGGGAGAAACTTTCGGATGAAAACGTCCATATCACTAGGTCCTCAGGTGTATTTTTCTGACTTTGTGCCTACTTTCAGATCCTGAGTCTTGTTTTGACCCATGACGACTGCCTTTCTCCTGGAGTCTAAATAACACCAGAGGCAGTATCATTCAATCATAACAATAGCTAACAGTTGGTGGATGTGCAAGAATGTCGGGGGCTCTCTTCTAAAAACATTTATGCATAGTAATATCTATTCTTCACAACTAGGCGAGACAGGTCTTCTTATTAGCCCACCTTATCAATGAGAAAACTTAATATGTTTTTCCATTTGAATGAGGCTTAGGGAGATCAGGCTAATGGGCCCAGGCTAATGGGCTAATGTGGCACAGTGCCACATTGCAGACGTGGGTTCCAAGCCAGGTAGTCGGTCTGTCCCCAGAGTGCAGGGGCTTCATTGCTGTGCTGGGTAGTGTAGTTCTCAAAGGGCAGTCTCTGGACCATTGCATCAACCAGCATCACCTAGTTCATGCCCCAGCCTTACTGAACGACAGCTGTAAGGGTGGGGTCCAGCAGCCTGATTTTGACATTTCCTCCAGGTGATTGTGATGCAAGCTCAAGTTTGAGAACTGCTGCTGTGTAAATGTGCTCTGTGCCCAGCAATCTTCTTCATCAGCATTATGTTACTTAATTCTCATGGAGGTCCTAATAAGTAGGCATTATTTTTATTTTAGAGACGAAGGCATGAAAATCAGGGGGCAGGAGAAGGAATTTGCCCACAAATACTAAACGGCAAAGGTGAAATTCAAATCCAAGACTTTTTGACTCCAAAATCCATATTGTTAATGCATATTGATTTCCTGCTTGATGTCTAGCCCACTGCTTCATCTTGCTCTCTGGGACATGTCTATTCTCTGGTTTCATCCCACCTACCAGCTTGGGGCACCCGGTCTTTGGGTTATGCACATTCTCACAGCATTCTTACAAATTTACCCGCACCTGTGTCATCGCGCTGGACTCCAGGCTCTGCTGTGTGCCAGGTCTCTGCATTCCACCCTCCCCAGCAACCTCAGGCTTCTTCCAGTAGGTCTGGAGATGAGCACCTCAGTGGCAAAGGACAGAGCCCTTGTGTGGAGGTTGGACTTCTTCCTCACTGGCAGCTGAGCTCTTCCAACTGAGTCAACCTTTCTCTTTCCTCTCTTCCACCTGGATGGCCGTGGCGCACAGGACGGACACAGCCTCCCTCTGACCTGACTTTTGTTTTCCTCATGTTAAATGCTATCACTCACTCAAATAATGCTGTGTCTTGTGCATTGATTATTATTAGAAGATTGTTTTATACCTTAACAGCTTTAGACATGAAAAGAAATTGCCAGACTCCAGGGTATGTGTGTCCTTTCTTATCTGAGTCTGTTCAGTTTCCCCACCTGTCTTTGTGGGAGTTGGCATTCTTCATCTTCCTAGCTGTGTAAAATGCTTTTCTCTCCAGAACCAGGACAGTTGAAAGGGATTGAGCAGAGCATCATTTCAGTTCCTCAAGGCCCCAGTCTGCCACCTGGCTCTCCAAATACCATGGCACAGCCGCAGCCTGCCTTTTGCACTAGAACCCGGAGTCCTGAAGATGTGGCCCCTTCCCTGGGAGGCTCATCTTGCCCCTTATTCTACCCAACAGTGGTGGGTTCTTCTCTGCTTACTGCCCTCACCCCCCACGCACCCCACCCTGAAAAACAAACCTCTTTTCCTCCTCCTAATCCAGAGTTAAACAAAATGACTTTGGACTTTACAGTTCTTCCATAATAGATTCAGGACTCCCCCTGTTTAACTGATTTGCAGCCCGGGAGGCGTTTCCTCCCCTAATTCCTTTCATCACTGCCTTGCCCTTTATGGAGTGCTTTGCTGAGTTGACTGTGGTTGAAGATATCTGGCCAGTTATCTGCAAGATAGAAAAAGACAAATGGCTTTCTCCCTCATTGATTTATTTATTTCGACACACACCAGTCCAGAAAAGGATTTAAGCAGAGAAAATGGTATGGATTTTGTCCCCAGGAAAACCTTTTGGTAAAGCAATTTTGATTAACTTATTTGTTCAGTAATTGTTTATTGAGCACCTACTGTGTGTGGGGCAACTCTCTGAGGTACTAGAGACCTATGAGTGAACAAAGCAGACCAAAGCCCTGGCCTCTCAGAACTTGTATGCTAGTGGGAGGGAGAGAAAATCAACACATGGCTGAGGAAGCCCTGTAATATGTTATATGGTAATTGCTTTAGGGTAAGAGGCAAAGAGATGATCAGGTGTGTGTTTGAGGGATTGTAGACTTAAATAGAGTGGTAGAATGGATTCATTAAGAAGATACCTCATAAAAGGCGGACTGACATTTGCATAGCTCGGCAGGAGTACTCCTGGCAGGGTTCACAGTGACTGCAAAGGCATGATATCAGGACCCAGCCGGCACGCTCACAGAACATCAACATAGCCACATGGTGACAGAACCTATTTAAAACCTTCCCTGTCTGCACTAGACTCTAAGCTTCATGAGGGCAGGAAGCATGCCTATCCTTGCTCACTGCTATGTGCACCAATGTTTAGCACCAATTTGCCTCTCAAATCATACACATTCAATACATATTTGTTTAAAAAATAAGTGAATAAAATAAACATGAGTTTATAGTTTGAGTACTTGAGCAAGCATGCTGGAAAGACATGAGTTTCGAGTCAGAAATGGCAGTCCCTTAATTAGTGATTTCAAAGAATGACAAGTTCAGGCCAATGGCGGGGGTAGCTTATGGCTAAGACAGAGGGGAAGGCCCATGAGAAGATGAGGCCAGGTAGGTGACAGCGCAGGTGTCTGAGGACTCATCACAAGGAGCGTTGCAGTCACCCCAGATAATGGCTGAGGCTAGTGACAAGTTGGGCTGTGAGCCAAGTGTCAAAGCCCTCGATGAATCTTGAGGGACTCAGGATATCAGTCATTGGCAGAAAAGAAGAGAGGGCGGAGCAACATTGCCAGGTGGCAGGAGCTTCAGACCAGCAGGAGCAGGGCTATTCAATAAAAGTGTGAAAGAGAAAAGGTCTCCACTTGAGGAGGATCCTCCACTACGAGGAGGATCATAGACCCAACCTCTGCATGCCAAAACAGACAACTCAACATTTTCTTGAGAAAGCTACCGAGGAGGCACTCCCCTCAGGAAACAGCTGGGTTTCAATAAATGAAGGCAGTTCAGGGAGCACTCTGCCTGAAGGCTGATGGTCTCGGGGAGCATCTTGCCTATGTTGTGGGTGTTCCAGAGAGCCCAGTGGATGGGTGTGGAAGGTGGGGGAGAGTGAAAGATTGGCCAGAAGGGGGAAATTCTTTTCTCTAGGGGAATGAATGGGCTGGAGAGCCTGATGATGTTAGGGGAGCAGGAGCAGATGCACATGCCTGTATGCACCCTGGCAATAAGAGATGAGGTGTGTTGGTGTTAATCCCACATGTTCCCAGTGGAAGGTGGTGAAACCTCACCTCACAGATTTCAGCTTCAACCTGTGTCTGTGGCAGGGCAGAAACCCCTTTTCTTCCTGCCCCTGAAGGTACAGCAGTGGCAGTAAGTGGGTAGCTCTCCATAGGCCAAGTCTTCCTGTGGTCCAGAGTAAGAAGACCAATCTTCAGGAAGGCAGTAAAAGGTCAAGGGCAGAGGTCATGAGATAGTGGGAGTGGAGAAGAGAGGGTAGGGCTTAGAGATATGTTGGGGGCCAAACTGCCAGAACCTGATGCTTGGTCCAATGTAGGATGGGAGTGAGGGTGGAGGACAGGCTGGGAAAGACGACCAGGTTTCTGGTTTGGCCTCCCTTATTGCCTATTCGGGAGAACTAGGGGTTCTCTGTCCAGCTTTTCTCCTGTGTGGCAATAGGTAGGGTATTATGGACTTGCTGATGTCTGATTTATTTCTGCCTGCTGATCCATGTGGGTTAGCTCTCTTTTCTACAAAAATGATCATAACAACTCCAGACTCATTTTTTAAGAGAAGAGGGATTTATCAGATTGAACAGAAATGATAGAATACAGCAGATATATGATAAATAGGCAGAATGAATCATCTTTTATTCAATAGATATTTATTGAGTAGCTAAAGCACAACAGTGTATACTTAGGTGCTGCAGATTGCATGGTGAATTCAGCCTTTGCCTCATCGGGCTGCAGTATGGGAGTGTAGGCAATATTCAATAAATAAATATGCAACCCAATGCCAGGGAGAGGTAGTGCCATGGAGAAAAATTAAAAAAAAAAAGACATGGGTGAAGAAAGCCAGGAGGAGCTGCTTTTGTTAGAGAGTGACTTTAGTGCTGCAAGAAAGCCAGCTCAGCACAGAGCCTAGAGACCCAAGCGAGATGAGACAGCAAGGGCTTGTATGAAGAGAGGGTGTTCCAGGCAGAGGTAACTGCAAATCCAAGGCCATGAGTGGGGAATGCATTTGGTGCGTATGAAGAACAGCAAGAATTCTGGTGCTCAGGGAAGTGATGTAGGATGCTGTGATGAGAGCCCCTATAGTCAGTTCATGCATGAACCTGAAAACCATGTGCAAAACTGTGGGACTTGTTCTAATAAAAATACACCAGCACATTTTAAGCAGGAGAGCAAAATAATTTAATAAATGTTTCCTTTTTTACCTTTTTTATTTAAATTTATTTTTTATTGTACTTTAAGTTCTGGGATACGTGTGCAGAAAGTGCAGGTTTGTTACATAGGTATACATGTGCCATGGTGGTTTGCTGAACCCATCAACCCATCATGTACATTAGGTATTTCTTATAATGGTATCCCTCCTCTAGCCCCCCAACCCCCTGACAGGCCCTGGTGTGTGATGTTCCCCTCCCTATGTCCATGTGTTCTCATTGTTCAGCTCCCACTTATGAGTGAGAACATGTGGCGTTTGGTTTTCTGTTCTTGTGTTTGTTTGCTGAGAATGATGGTTTCCAGCTTCATCCATGTCCCTACAAAGGACATGAACTCATCCTTTTTATGGCTGCATAGTATTCCATGGTATATATGTACCACATTTTCTTTATCCAGTCTATCATTGATGGACATTTGGGTTGGTTCCAAGTCTTTGCTATTGTGAACAGTTCCGTAATAAACATACAAGTGCATGTGTCTTTATAGTAGAATGATTTATAATCCTTTGAGCATATACCCAGTAATGGGATTGCTGGGTCAAATGGTATTTCTGGTTCTAGATCCTTTAGGAATTGCCACACTGTCTTGCACAATGGTTGAACTAATTTACACTCCCACCAACAGTGTAAATGTTCCTATTTCTCCACATCCTCTCTAGCATCTGTTGTTTCCTGACTTTTTAATGATTGCCATTCTGACTGGTGTGAGGTGGTATCTCATTGTGGTTTTGATTTGCATTTCTGTAATGACCAGTGATGATGAGGTTTTTTTCATATGTTTATTGGCTGTATAAATGTCTTCTTTTGAGAAGTGTCTGTTCATATCCTTCGCCCACTTTTTGATGGGGTTGTTTTTTTCTTGTAAATTGGTTTAAGTTCTTTGTAGATTCTGGATATTAGTCCTTAAAGAATTACTTTAACCATGAAGAGAAAGATGGAGGGGAGGGGGCGTAAAGATAGCCAGTAAAGGCATAAAGGTATGCCAGTTAGAATACTGTTGATTTCGTCCATCAAGAATTGATGACGTCATGGACTGCAGTGGTAGGATTTGCAATCTAAGAGTATGTTAATCTGGAATATATTCTGAAACTAAGCTAGAAAGTTCATTGATTGATTAGATGAAGTTTGTGAGAAAGAGCTCAGTATTAAGACTGACTATAAGATTTGTGGCCTGGGCTGCTGGTGTATACCATGCTGGTAATATACTATTCTTGTCCATCAAAAACTCCAAGAAAAGCATGCTTGTGGTAGGAAAGACTTTGGTCCTTTAGATATACAAATGAAAATGTTGAGTAGATAGTTGACTATGCCAGGGAGCTAGAAAAATGCATATGGGAATCCTAACCATACAGGTGGTGTTTAGAGCCAGAGGCTGGCTATCCCACATGCAGCGTGAAGGCAGACAACAGCTTTGTAGGCCAGGAACAGTGGCACTCCAATAGTCCAGTGTCAGGAAAAGGATGATCCAGCAAAGACAATTGGGAGATGAGAAGGAAATCTCAAAACCAGTTCAAGGAGAATGTTTCATAAAGAGCAGGTGTGATTACAGCACAAGTGTTGCTTAGAAGTCCAGGGAGATGAGGATTAAGATTTGGCAAAATGCACTTATACACATGAGACATTGGAAAGAAGGGTTCTGATGAAGACGGTAGATAAAAGATTAATTAGAAAGAGGGAGAATGGGTTAAAGAAGTTGAGATAGTAATTAATTTTGCTGAGAAGTTTCACTACAAAGGGAAGCAGAATATGGAGGGTCAGTGGTTGGAGGAGAGTGTGAGTTCAGGATTTTTTCCTCTAAAGTCCAATCTGCAGCCTAATATCCCTTGGTCCTTTACTGGCTATTATTGCGGTGTAATTACTTGTCTCGGTGTTCTCTGTTGTTCCTCCTCCTCAAATAAAATAGGGGAAAGAGTTAGCCAAGATTGGCCTCTGCTTTTTGAGCAATCTATACATTTTGATCTTCAGCCAAATGACCTCAAAATTTTTATGTGTGGCTTTTGGGTGCTCTGGGAATTTGGAACAAAAGTCACTATGTTGCTAAAGCAATTGACTGTGGCTGACACTAGGTGCTTTGTCTGGAAGTGAGACTATCTGCTGCCAGCCCTAATGAGGATTCCACTGGGGATTGATAGTTGTGGCACTTACGGGAAAAATTGCTTGGAGTGGGAACCAGCTTATAAGAAGGGGCAGGGGACACAGAACGATTTCTGCTCATCCCCAGTCCCTCCCCAAGGACCAAGGCAGAAGTTCTCAAAGTCCTCAATATTTAACCCTGCATGACCAGATGCTCACCTGAAGCAGGGGCGTATGAATGTATCTTTTTTCAAAAAAGATGCCACAGCAGGAATCAAGTTAGGCTTTTGAAGCCACCCCTCTGGCCCACACACAAGAAGTCCCCTCCTTGTCCAGGAGAAGCTCTGAAGGGAGTGGAAGTGCAGGGGCAACCCAACGCCACAGAAATGTGGACAAACACTGCCCAAGTCGTATCCTCAGGGGAGTAGGGCTCTGGGGAAAATACCTCTGCTCTACGTAGGTCCATGCCCTGGGAATTCTGTGAACATCCCTGCTGCCTCAGTGCTGTGAATTCTACATCAAGGGGGCAGAGGAAGCAGGCAGCCTCAGTGTTTAGGTTTCAATAATGTTAGGGATGAGGGAGAGCTCACCAACCTGGAAAACGTACCTGCCGCCATACCTTGCCCATCTAATCTTGGCTTCCAGGTGACTTCCTGGGTATTCATCCAAAATGCTCCTCTTCAGAGTCCTAACAAACCTATTCTCATTGCCACCATTGCCCTAGAGGCACTCCTTTCTTGGAGAGGGAAAGCCAGTTGATTGATAGAACATTGTATAAGATGGGGAATAGGAGAGAATAGCTTCCATCCCTCTCTGTACCCACCTTCTCCCCAGAACTCATGGCTCTTGAGAAATTAGAGCAAATTAGTGAGTGACCACAGTGTTTTCCTCCACATCATTCTGCTGTCTTTAGTTTTGCTTCCAGCTGCCCACACTGACCAGCCCCTGTGCTGCTTCTGAGCGGTCACGTTCCTCCGTGTGCTGACATGTCTTCTCTCTGCATCACCAGTTTCCTAGACCTCTTGGTTTGGGTCACTCAGGTGTTGTCATGGCAATGACATCCTCAGTAGAGTAGCACTGCTCATGTTGTCATGGTTATCAGGACCTCTTGATGGGAGCCCCACTGCACTGTTGTCATGCGGAGAGCAGGAAGGAACCCTAGGACCTTCTGGTAAGCCTGGATTCTTAGGCTAGGCATGAGTCATCTGTGCCTGAAAATGAAGGTGGTTATGATTAGGGAAATAGCAGCTGCCTAAAATGGTGAGATTCTAACTACTTGAGAAACGAATAACTGAAAGAGGGATCATCATCCTCATCACCGTGATCACCTCCTTCCCACCTCCTCTTCATCCTCTGCATAGTGTCTGATATTTTTACGGTAGCTTGGCTATGTTCCAGGCACTCTTCTAAGTGTTTTCCATTTGAGAACTCCTCATTTTTCTTGACGGCCTTATGATGTAGGTGTTCTTGCTGTTCTTTTGCAGATGAGGGAACTGAGGCGCAGAGCACGCACTTAGACCGCTTGCTCACAGGTGCTCCCTAACGTGCAATATGGCCAAGACTTAACCAGGCAACCTGGTTCCAGAGGTTTCACTCCGAACTCATTACCTATTCTGTTTCAATACTAACAAGAAAATTCAAGATGAATCAATCTAGTTACTGAAGGCGTTACTAAATTATATCACCTTCTTTTTGGCTAGAATCCATATAGTTTATATTTTTTACTACTTTTAAGTTTTAAAATATTTTCATATGTTCATTTGATTCCAACAACTGTCTGCAGTTAGTATGTCTATTAACGGTATTTTACAGAAAAGAAGATCAAAGTTTTGAGAGTTCATAATTCCCCAAGGAAAGTTGACGTCTAAACTGTGTTGGACGAGGTCTGAATTCATGACAATCTGTAGATTCAGAAGCTAGTGTTTTGTCTTGTTCTACTGCATATCATGTCATGTTATATGGCCCAGAGCCTGGCTCTGGGGAGGAAAGTGGTTCAACCATCTAAGATAAATGGGTAGCAGCAGTCACCTCTATGGATAGAAGGACCACATGGCAAGTCTTGGCATGTTCACTCAAGGAGCCATTCACCCTCTTTTGCCCTCATTATTCTATGCCTAAAAATTCCACTGTACAGTAGCTACTTTATCTATTGCCATATAGGCAAGAGAGCAGCAACCTTCCTTCCATGGCAACTGCCGTCATAGAATCTGGGCTGCCTTGAGCAAGTCATTTAACCTGTACATGAGAATCCCAACAGAAGGTTAATTGGCTCTGTCTCTAATATAAATGACAATTAAACACAAATAAGTTACTTAGTAGCTGGCCTGTGAGAAAGTACAGCTTTTAAGAGAGAGGAAGCTGAGCCCTGAGAGTCGATGTATCTTCTCATTTGAGTACAAAGGGATTGATTGGAGGGGGACATGCTGAGTGGGGAACAGCAAAGCTAATAAAGACGATTATAAACAGTAGCAGCAAAGACTTCTCATTTTTTAAAGTATCTGACAGAACTTTACCTATATCAGCATGTTTATCTTTAGAGCAGCACTGTGAAGTAGGTAATAATGTCATATTATTATCTATATTCAAAAAATAGGGAAAGTGAGGTGCAGAAATGTTAGTTAACTTGCTGGAGGTCAAGTCAGAGGTGGAGATGGGACCTGCACCCAGCCTCCTGGATGTGTCTGGCGGCATCAGCAGCTGTCTTTTCTGCATTTGAACTGGGTTTCAGGACCTGGGCCTGGAGCTTAATCAGGGGCATAACGATGAACCTCAACGCTCCCTTTCTGCTCACCACTCTCCAAGCAGCCGCGCCTTGCGCACTTTGCCCACCCTCTCTGAGCCTTCGCCATCTCCTCTGTCAAGTTAAGACCGTGATAGGATGTATATTCCTAGCTTGTTGTAAGGATTATATGAGGTAACTCATGTAAATGCATGCCGGGGCCTGATATAAAACAAATGCTCAGGATTGGTGTGGTGGCGCACACCTGTAATCCCAGCACAATAGGAGACTGAGGGAGGAGGCTCACAAGCCCAGGAGTTCGAGACCAGCCTAGGCAACATAATGAGACCCCCATCTCTACAAAAAAATTTTTTAATCAGCTGGGTGTGGTGATGCGCACCTGCAGTCGCAGCTGAGGCAGAAGGATCACTTGAGGCCAGGGGGTCGAGGCTGCAGTGAGCTATGAACACACTACTGCACTCCAGCCTGTGTGATAGAGTGACACCTTGTCTCTCATAATAATTGTAATAATAATGCTCAATAAGTGTCAGAGTGGTGACATCACAGGTGGTACACAGAGTGAGCATTAGAATTGGTAGTTATTCCTGTCCTCAGCAAATGTGTCTTCTTAATCTTAAAGATGAACATACTGTTTATAGCACAGAGTAAAGTGCCGGATGTGGCAAGCTAAGATGCAAATGTCCATCTTCAAGACCTTTTCACAATACTCCATTTTCTCTAATGCAGAGTTTGGCCTATACTATTCTCAGATGACCTGTTGGTACAAGGGCTACCATTTTCTTTTGGCAGTGTTTCCAAGTCTCCATGTCCCCTCAAGTGAAATCCATAATGTCTTCTAAGTTTCCAGTGGATTTCAAAGCCTCATAATTAACGTCCATTTAATAGCGATAGCGAATGACTGCTTGTTGCTTTCTTAACATCCTTTCTTTTACAGGTAAAAGGGTAAATTTACAATTAGCAGCCTCCAATTTGCATAGACACAGAAGTTTTATTAAGGGAGCAAAAAGTGATTGAAATTTAACTGAAAGTAATACTATGATCTAGGTTTTAATAAACCAAAACAAATGGATACATTCTTATTTCTATTCTAAAAGGGCATTTTATTCAAAATGTGATGGTCCAGTCTTGAACTGTGATATGTTTTTCGTCATTGCTGGGTAAGCAACTTCCTAGCCACATTACACAAAGTGAATTTAGCTATGAGCTGTGAGCTATGAGCTGGATACCAGTCTGCCCAGTGACGAGCCTCCTTCATTCCTACTTCCATAAGAAAGTAACTTGGGAATAGTCAGTGCTGTCCACAGGCCTTGATAATATCAAGATGCTGCTGGCCTCATTTGATATTAAACATCAGCTCTGACGCTGTTTTCATGCACTTTTCAAATGAAAGTTCTCCCCCTGCCTAGCTAATGGATAGGGCAGTGCAGTGGGAGGAGACCCGTCTGCTGTCCTCCCTAGGCGATGTAGCTGCCAAGTGGGTGGAAGGCAGAGCAAGAGAGCCAGGAGGTTCACAGCAGTGTCTCTTTCCAGATCCAAGGGAGACACAAAAGGGAATTAAAAACTTCACGTTGCGTTGTTGTCACTCTACCTGCGTCTCGCCTGGGAGAGCTCTGCAGCTGGAGAGTGCTGAGAAGTCAGCCCTTCAGAGCAATTACAATTCATATTGACTATAAACTTCCCACTGTGCGAGGAAAGGAAAGGAGGTGCTTGCCAAGCGCTCAGAGGGGCGAGTGTAAATTATTTCACCATCTGATGATATATACCACGTTGGCAAACATTAGGGGAAAAGAGGAGGAGAGAAAGCAAAGAGTGTGGGGAAGCTGACAACTGATCTCCCGCATTCATGAAAGGAACTGGGACCCGGGCACACTGCTGGGACAGGACGAGTCGCCCACCTGTCGCTGCTGCAGCTGGCTTGTCTATGGTCTACACTTGGGTGAGGAAAGCTTTTAACCTGATGTCCCAGCTCACACATAACTAGAGGAGAGGGCAGGGAATACGGGGAAGTGAAGAGCACTTTGGTCAGAACACTTGGTTTGCCTCTTTGCTCTGCCAGTTACTAAGTGGGTGACTCTTAACAAACCAATTAACTTCTCTGAACCTTTGTTACCTCATCTGTAAAATAGGATCAGAATATGAAGATTAGCAACAGTACATTGGAGGTGCTTTGTAAACATGAACACATTACGCACATTATCCTTTATTAAAAGTTTTGTATTAATTATGCATATTCTTTTGGGCAGTGCCAAGAAAATAAAAAAGGCAGACAGGAGAGGTGTAAACCCACCACAGAGCAATCTTCTAAGATAAAGGTGTTTTTACATTTTTGCAACACAAACTCAAAAAGCAAAAAACGTAAGCGGCGTTTATGACCGTTGTTATAACAACAGCAATTATCATTTGTTCTCATTATCGTTTGCTAACTCCTGCATTTATTTACACAGCACAATTAATCTGAAAGTTCACCTAACCATTTCACAAATGCTGTGGTGGAAGGGAGTCTAAGGAAATGAAGAGAGTTGAACGTTAGGACACAGCTGGGCAGTGCAGGAATCAAAAGGTAAATCACTGGGCAAAAGGAACAACGGGATTGATACCAGTTTTAGAATGGGGCCAGACAGGCACGGGGACTCACGCCTGTAATCCCAGCACTTTGGGAGGCCAAGGCAGGCAGATCACTTGAGGTCAGGAGTTCAAGACCACCTGGCCAACATGGTGAAACCCTGTCTCTACTAAAAATGCAAAATAAAATTAGCCAGGTATGGTGGTACACACCTGTAATTCTAGCTACTTGGGAGGCTGAGGGAGGAGAATCAGTTGAACCTGGGAGGCAGAGGTTGTGGTGAGCCAAGACCGCGCCACTGCACTACAGCCAGGATGAAAAATATCTCAAAGCCAGTGTTGACTCTTATTGTCTCATTTCATGTCACTAGGGATCAGCAGATTAAGGCAGGTAGGTTTACGAATAGCTTGTGGGCTCACAATGAATTTCATATTTTTAAGTGGTTGAAAAAATTAAAGAAGAATCATATTTCATGACTTGTGCAAATTATTTGAAATTAAAGTGTCATTGTCTCTAAATAAAGTTTTATCAGAACACAGCCATGCCCATTTGTTTATGCCTGCTTTTGTCTTACGATGTCAGAGTGGAGTAGTTGCAACTAGATTGTAGGTATAGGTTGGCAAAGCCTGAGATATTTATTATCTGGTCCTTTAGAGAAGTCTGCCAATCCCTGCACTGCATGAACATGGACTCCTGAAGGTTCTGAACACTGTTATTAAAATTCTTATTTTTCTCCATACTCCCTTTTTGTTGCCTTTCCTCAGCACTCTGTGAAGTTGCAATGAGGATAGTTCTCACATCCATTCCAAATGATGCCCACTTCTCTGTCTTCCAAGAGTGGCCCCTGCCACCCTCCAGGGGTCCTCCCTGGCTTGTAGATGTTGTGCTCCAGTCGACAGCTATGGCTCACCTTATTTTCAACCTCAGCTACAACAAGACACTTTCTTGCCTCGTCCCTGACTAGTCATCTCTGCCTCCATCTTCATTATGCAAACAATTCTATATCCTGCCCACTTTGGCTTTTTTGGAGTCATTCTTAACTGGGGTTAACAAAAATCTGATTCTTGCCCTGGATCTTTGGTTATGCTCACTGGTCTGCAGTTGGTTCTGGTTCTATCTATGGGGAAGTTTGTTTTTGGATAGTGGCACTGGTTGCTTTGTTTCTGTAGCATACAGCATTCTGTGGCAGCATCTGAGTCGGTCTTCGCTAGTACTGCCTTAGAGAGGGCCATCATCTTCCCAGGAGGAGCACATTTGCCTCAATCAGCACCTTCAACCAAAACATATCATTGCATACTCCTTATCTCTGCTGGTTTCAAACCCATATTTTACCATCACCAACTCTTCTTCCTGCCTCTTCACCCTCTCTCCCTGTTTTCTGTCTGGAATCTCTCTGTAGCAAAAGTTTATTTGTGAAGCAGAGGTGGCATGCCTTAAGTTGACCAGAAGACCATGGTCAAATGAGCCCTACTCAATTTACTACATTTCTTTTGAATTCCTTAGGTATCTCCTCAGGACCTCTCAGAATCCCGTAATTACGATTTCATAATTTCAAAAACACTTTACACGTTATAATAATAATGATTTCAACAAGAAGAGAAAGGGACCACTTTGTCATAGAGATTTCTTTTCTATTGAGATGGACTTTGAAATCTTGTCACTTTCAAAAGTGAATCTCAATTTTTACATCAAAAAATTACTAGTTATTGTTAACTGTTTGAAGTATGTGTCATTTATATTCTTCTACATAACTTTGTTACTTTTGAAAATGTGTAATATGTGTTTGTGTCAATCTTGTAGTCATAAACTGAGCCTTTAGAAATAGATTTTCAACGTTAGATTCCAGTAAGATATGTTTAGCTGAAACAGATATTGAATTAAATCAGGACGGGCCTTTGGTGAACCAGCAGGCAACATGCCTGCCTGTATTAATGTGGTTCTCCCCTTTGCTGTGATGCAGAGCGCTCCATATGATCTGAAGACTCTGTTGTAGCAGCAGTCTGACTCATGACATTCCCTAGTTGTCAATGGGATGAATTCTGGAATGAAGCCCAGATTCTAAAGTCAACCCACATGGGTTTTCTAATGCAGGGGGAGTCATCTCTGCTTCCATCTTCATTAAATACCATTAGAATCATCTTCCGACCCCTCAAGGAGATGAGAAATGTTGGAGCCTCCAATGATGCATCAATAGGAAGCAAGGTGGGTTATCAAACCCCCATCAGGCTTTAAGTGTTCACTGTGTGTGGGTGTGGGTGTGTGTGCATGTGTGTGAGCGTGTATGCATGTGTGTGTCCAGTCATCACGCATCTCCAGCCTCCAGAACGTTCTTCCTCTTGTGTTGTAAACTGGATTGAAAGGTGGTCACATTTCAGAATTAGCAGATGCCTAGAATGTAGTACTTTTGGTAGCACTGAAATAGGAGAAACAAAACTATAAAAAGGAAGTTCTATTTCTTTCCTACTTTTCTTTTTCTTCCTCTCCCTATGTAGCACTAACTCATTTGCCCTGCAAAAGTCCCTTGGGCTTTTTATCAATTAGCTGAGGTAATGCAGGCTGAGCCACATGGGGCTCAGAGACCACCCTGCCATAAGCATCGACATCTGACAGGGTGGATTTTCCAAGATAATTCCACACAATTCTATATGGGCCTGTTTATTATCCCATTATTAGTGTTTTTAAAAGTGAACCCCCTGGGAAAATTTTCAACTGATTAATATTCACCTCTGGCATATGCAGTCTATTTGAACAATGTGGTGTTTTTGACAATTATCAGAACTACTTAGTATACCCCCAGGAAGTAGTCAGTGATCTGCCATTGCTGTGACCCTTTTTGGAATACATGTCATCAAAATGCCTTCGATTTGGTTTAAAAAGTCAGCCCTCAATTTTTTGACAGGCACACACACAGACACACACACACACACACACACACACACAACAAAATTGTATAACTCGCTTAATTCATGATAGTTTGAGCCAAATGGCTGTTTGCAAAATAAAGCCTATGCTTGAAAATGATTTCGTTGTCATTGAAGGCATGACAAAGTATCATTAGCCAACTTTTCTGGAGCATTTATTCTTTACCAAGCCTGAGTGAAGTGCTCTACATCTGTGATCACATTTAATCTTCATAATGAGGTAAGTACCATTGTAATCTTCATTTTACAGATAAGAACATTGAAGCTCAGAGAGGTTTGGTGATTTTTCCAAAGTTATATAGTAATAACTTTTGTGGCAATTTTTTAGTAGCTCATATCGTATCTATAGAAACTAATTTTACTTAGAAGGAAAACAGCACTGGGGAAAGATAATAGACTTGGAATCAAACAGACCTGTGTTTCCATCTGCTTCACATTTGTCAGCCGCTTCTCCAATTGTAACTTGGGAGGAATATACACCTCTAAAAGTGGGACGGCATAACTATTCCACATCCACTGTAGGCATAATGGAGCACTCATCCACAGCAGCCATGATTACTAGTGTTATTAGGATGAGAAGATGGGGAGAGCCTTACCTATACTTGAATCGACAGGGATGGACAGAGCAATGAAAAGGTTTTGAATCAAAATCAGAGGCAGGGAAACCATAGCACTGCTGTAGAAAGGCAGAGCAAGCCAGACTGAAGCAGTGGGCTGTGCTAGTGCTCAGAAGTGTCCGAGAATTCTTTGCGCCACTCTCACCCGTGGCAGTCTAATCTCCCGGCATGGAGAATGGCTGGCCTTACTGACTCCCTCCGAAAGAATGGAGTGAGGTGGAAGGAAGGCTGTGTGATGTCGAAGGCCAGGTTACCGAAGGCCACACAGCTTCTGCTGGTTTTTCCTGGGGACACCACATGGCGAGACCTTCAAGAGAGGGGAGACCAGGGGCCCAGATCCCCGGGCCCAGCTGTCAGAGTCTGGAAGTGCAGCAGCCCTAGAGAGGACCCCAGTCCTCCACGATCTGGCCAGAAACCTCATGGAAGACCCTGATGAGATCTGCTGGTTGAGCTCATTCCACCCCGGATTCATGAGCAGAAAACTAAGATGGCCATTGCTGGTGTAAGCCCCTGTTTTGGAGCCATTTGCTCCTCAGCAGTAAACGTCCGGAACATGGGTCCATCATCCTGAAGAAATGCCAGATGCTAACTTAGATGTCCTGTTGTCCTTTGCTCCTCACGTCACCTTCTCTGTCCCTCTGCACTTGCTTCCTTTGGTCAAGACAAGGTGGACTTACGCTCTCGGCTCCACGAGGGCCTTTCCAGTGCCCTCAGTTTGCGATCTGACCTCAGGGTTTTTCTTTGGGATCTCGGTACGTCACAGTGATCCCAGAGTTTCTGTCAGATTCAGGTAGCTCTAGAATCACAGAGTCCTGAAATTTTGTCTTGATAATTAGCTCTTTACTCTCTCAGCCTTTGGGCCACTGACCCCATCCAAATGGCGGAAAGTGAAAGAAGCCGGTCCCGTGAAGAGGTCTACGTTTTCAGCCCGTTTGTGGACATTCTCACTGCCTGACAAAGCCGCACTCAGTCTCAGCATCTCAGGCTGAGGGCTACACTGTGGAGACGGAGGTGGGGTGCGTCCCAATGCTAGTCCCTCTCTCTGGAACCCACAGGCAGAGGCCTCAAGCCAACTGTCCTCCCCTGTAAATCAGAAGCAGGGCAAGTAAAAGCTTGGATGTCTTCGTCTCTCCGTAGCCAGAGGAAATCTGGGCGCGCAGAGAGATTTGGAGTTTCATCCTCCCCGCTCAGCCAGTCCCAGGCCTCGGCTCCGAGGAAATTCGCTGAACCCTTTCAATAGGCTTGAATTCTGTCGGCAGCCCAACCATCCCCTTGTTTACTGTTGAAATAATTACTACTTTGCCATAATATTAGCTCTGAGCCGTGACTCCATTACCATTATCACCGGAATATTACCCATTTATTATCTCCCAGCAACCCTGGAAGATGAATACTGGGCTTCAGAGACCAATTGTTTTACAGCAGACAGGATCTTGGTGTGCATTGTTTAATGAGGTAAACTACATTACAGCCAGCATTAATTTGGCTGCAGTGCACTCCACTAAATCACTCTTAACCTGGAAATCTGCCACTCTTTTTGATATACCCTTAATCGGCGAGGATGGGAGACATCCTTTGAGAAGAGGCTGGAGCTGAGGGGAGAGGAGAGGAAAGGTTACAGGTGAGCGAGCCCCGCCCAGAGATGTGTGCATAAGATGGGGGAGGATTGTGGAGTGAGGGACCAAGGGAGGCAGGAGAAGGAAGCAGGCAGAGGGCACGCATCCTCTGTTCTGCTGGTCCCAAACGCCTGGGAAGAGGCAAAGGTGATATGATGGCTGAAAATAATCCACATGCCTCCCCTCTCTAAGCTCAGGAGTTATGAATCCACAGAATCCATTTTCTGACCACATTTGGCTTTTCTCTTCTGTTTGGCATCTTCAGAATCACCACAGCAACCCACAATAGACAGAAGACAGAACTAGACAATGAGATTGTCTTTTGGCATGAGGTTGTCTTTCGGTATGAGAGGCAGGGCAGCCTCCCAGAGCTCTGGCCATTTGCTGAGCTCATAGCAGCCTGCGTGTGGACTCGCGGAGCTCATTGCCTTAGGTGAAACGCAGCTGGAGACACACCAAGAAACAGAGGAGCAGATGAAAGAAGTTTCTGCATAAAGCCTCCCTTGTCACTTACATTCTTGCTGTAAGCTGCATAAAGTCACCTGAGGACTTTGTTAAAGTGCAGATTCTAATTCAGCAGGTCTGGGGTAGGGCTGAAAAGTCTTCATCTCTAAGTGGCTCCCAGGGGATGCTGATGTTGCAGGTCCACAGCAAAAGGAGCCTTGT
Source organism: Homo sapiens (assembly GCF_000001405.40). Lineage (NCBI taxonomy): Eukaryota > Metazoa > Chordata > Mammalia > Primates > Hominidae > Homo > Homo sapiens. Next base: position 132,238,903 of record NC_000011.10, read on the forward strand.
TTCTCTAAGAAATGTCTGCACTGCCTTGTTCAAGATCATGCTCCATGCAGTCTAATAAAACAGCAGCATAGCTACCATTTTTGAGGTGGGCAAACAGAAATGAATTCCTTTTGCTCCATCAAATGCTGACAACATCTATACAGGTCCTGGGGTGAATGAAGCACAAAAACTTCTCAGAAAGAATATCCCAGATACAATAGACACCAGAGACACTGCCGTAAGTCGGTGACTTCAGATTTTTAGGGCAGAGAACATTGTAGTCCTAAAATGTCGTAAGAAATTACTTTTATATTACCAATTGAGAAAGAATCGAAAGGGCTTGAACTTCGGACTCTTGGAATCCAATCTAATGTTTTTCTGTAAAGAGAAATAAATACATTTTCTGCTATGCCACTGGTGAGTTTCCCAAAATTATCTGTTTTCCTGATGTTGAAAACCTTTTCTCTGCACAGCCTAAATGAATTTAAAACTTAAGCAATCATCCCATAAACCTAGCCCAGGTAATAGTGGTTGAAATTTTAAAAATGGTTTATTAGAAAATTCCAGGGTTTCTTCTTTAAAAACTAAGGTGGGGCTGTTATGTTTCTCAAAGCCTCTCTCAGTTTACCATGTTCATCTGCCCAAGCACCACCATCATTGCATTTTACTGAGAGAGACAGAAAAAAAGTCTTTGTGATTTAATATGTAATCTCAAGAATAGCAGAACTTGGCCAACGGTATAAATTGGGAATGTCTTTTACTGTACATCTTCCCTCCCAAACCTTTTTATTGTACCCATCTTGAAAACTTATAATGAATAGTTTTTATCTCCGGCCATACATATGAAGTGTGAGGGGTGTGTGTGCATGTCTGTATGTGTGATGTGTTTCATCCTCTATAAGAGTAGCATAACAATAATAATTCTTCTTTTCAAATTTTATCACAATTAAAGGAAAAGGACATCACTAATTTATTTTCATATTGTCTACCAAACTGTTCCACTAGTGTTTGGATTACATTTATCTGGTTTGGGAGCATTATGCCTCTCCTAGTTCATTTATCCATCCATTCATCCATCCAACCACCCATCCATCCATCCATCCATCATCCATCCATCCATTCATCCATCCAACCACCCATCCATCCATTCATCCATCATCCGTCCATCCCTCCATCCCTCCATCCGTCCATCCATCCATCCATCCATCCATCCACAAACATTTGCTTAGCATCTGCTAGGTTCTGGTAAAGCTGGAAAAACAAGTAAAAATTAGAAAAGTAAAAACAAATGAGACATGATTTCTGTCTTTGGGGATTTCATAATTTATCATGAGAGACAAATATAAATAACTTTTTGTGATACCATTTGGTGGTGCATTTTAGTCCTTCTCTTTTTTCCTCAACTCTGTAAGCAGTTTTCTTTGTAGAGATAATGTCTAATTCTTTTTATTGAACCATAGATAAAAGACAGAGTGGAATCTAGCAGAAAGCTCAGAGTATAAACTGGGTCTAATTTTGAAATGGTGATTCTAACAGTCTTCTTGGGTGAGTCTCCAATACAACTACAACTCCAGTTCTTTCTTGTAGCGTCTCCAATTTTAAAACTGGGCATTACTAACTTGACTCTTCCATCTCAAGAATGTTTTTACATATTCCAATGAGGGATTGTCCTGTTCCAAACATGGGTGGAACCCTCAGCTTAGCTCTAGAGAGCAGCTGTTCGCTGGAGACTACGCATTTGCCAGAAAAATGCCATCCTGTTGAAGATACTTTGCCACTGGCTTTTTCAAGCACCCAAAAATGGAAGACTGCACTGAAGGAAATTTGTTCGAAAGAACTTGAGAGATTAGGGGGTGAAATTAGATAGAGAAAAAAATTCTAAACACGTTGAGATATGTCGTCAGTAAAATGCGCTTTGGCATAACAAAGTTGTGAATTGAAACAGTTACAGAAATATTGTGGCTGGGGAAATCCCAAGTGTTTCTACAGTTGAACATCCCTGATTAGAAAATCCAAAATCAGAAATGTTCCAAAATCCAAAACTTTTTAAGCACTGACATGATATCACAAATGGAAAATTCCACACCTGACTTCATGTGAGAGGTCACAGTCAAAACGCAGCCAAAACTTTGTTTCACACAAAAAATATTTAAAATACTGTCTAAAATTACCTTTAGGCTATGTGTATAAAGTATATATGAAACATAAGTGAATTTTATGTTTAGACTTGGGACCCGTCCCCAAGATATCCCATTATGTATACACAGATATTCCAGTATTTCAAAAAATCCAAAATCTGAAACACTTCTGGTCCAAAGCATTTCACATAAGGGATACTCAACCTGTATTAGAAAAATTAAGAAATTTGCCTTCTGTAAACTTTAATATATGTATTTCATATATAACAAATTTATATATAATGTTTTTTCCTTTTGGCATATAAAGCCTATTTTATTTGGTTGATAATCATGTGATTGGTGCTCTGAGGCCAATTTAACCGTTTTTACTGAATAGTTACCATGTGTTGGATGAAATGCTATACAATTAACTGTAATATTATTTAGTCCTCATCCCCCCCAGCAATACAATTCAGTGACGTCTAGTTACATGAGCCAAATCAACTAATGGGATATTTTCACTGTTGAGCAGGGACATACAATCAGAGTAATTCAAAGTCGTAAACACAAACAGCACCCTTTTGGTAACTGGCTCTGTCCAGGCATGCTCACCTCTTGCCATGACCTCTTGCATGTGTCTCTGTAAAATGAAGCTGATAATGAATTGTTCCGTACTCCTAATACTAAAAATATCTGTGATATAGATGTAAAACTTCTGGGGTCTTTCTTAAAAGCTATCGTGAAAGTGCACAATTATTTTGCATGTTTGTATACAAGCCTCATATCCACAAGTGCACTTGGATGCACCCTCCAGTCCTGCTCCCTGATTTATAGTACATTCATCAAGCCCAATTGCCCATACACAGTACAATTCTCTGTTAAGAAGCAGCATTTGGGAGGAAAATGTAAACTAGCCTTTGTTGTGATGGTCGCAGTATGTGTGTGCTGTGTTTTCTCTCCCTCTGAGGCAAATTACTGTGAGTAAAACCTATATTATGCTATCAGATGCAATCCCAGCCTTTGCTCAATTGTACTTTGCAATGGCACAATAGATTGTGGTTGTTTGATGCCATCTCATTCGGTTATTTTTCTCACGTTTGTTTGTCTCTCAGCTAATCGGAAGAATTCAAGAGCCTTCAGTAGGCCTCTCAGTCCTTAGCCTCAGATCAACTAGTGGAGCCTTCCCCATCCTGGGTAACCCTCTGGAAGTCAAGCTGTCTTGATTTGCATTATCATCTTTCTTTATCCGCTCTCCAGAGAGTCCCCATCTTAACAATTAAAGTACACACAAGAAAATGACTGAGGATTTCCTTTTGGCTTTCCTGGAAATGGAGGATCAAGCTGAGTAAATTCTCCAAGCTTCTCAATTTGTGAAGAAAAAATGTTACATTTAGGGGAAAAAAGGGGGGCTCCTGCTTAGTTAAAAAAATGGTGGGTGGGGACAGAGTGCAAGAGGGAGAAAGAAAGAATAGCAAAGAAAGAAGAGGTGTCATTTGGGCGTCTCGCTAGTTTTTCTTCTATCCTGGTTATCAAAAGAGCAAAGAAATTCTACTTCCCTTTCCCCTCCCTCAGGTGCCCTTAGGCCTGCGCAGCCTGGGCTGGGTTTGCACCGCTTTCACACGGCCCGAGTAGCCACCCTGTTTGAAAGTAAAGCAAGAGCAGCCACAAAGTGTCTGAGATTCATGAGATCACTCCACAAATTAAAACCTTTTATCAGCCTCTAAGAGCTGTGCAAACTAATTAGACTTTGGCCGAACTTTGCCAATGACTCCCTCGAGGTATTATTATAAAATTTTGAGCTTGGAAACGCGTCCCCATTCTGTCAACATCAGGTTGTTTCAGCTACAGAAATCGAGCTCCAGCTCATTTTAGCTTCCATGATGTGCTTTGCATAATCTGTGGCATTTTGCACTGGTGTGGCAGGGAGGAGAGTAGCACAGCTGTATTTGAAAACACATAAGGATGTTTCCCAGCAATAAGACTTCAGACACAGGGACTGAATTTCAAGAAAAACCCATTTTTGCCCCTCAATTTTAAGAAGACGCTGCAGAGTTCTTAGCTTAAGCTATAAAGGTGAGTACTCAACATCCAGGTCTAACAGCTTCTAATTTAGGGAGGACATATCACTTCCCTTCTCAATGTTTTTGGCTCTTCATATGCAAATGAAGAGCTCTTACTAACAAATTACTGCTCAAATCTTTGATCATGTTTTGAAGCAAAGTCTGAGAGAGGAGGCTTTCTGGAAGAGCTTGGTAAGAAGTCAGTAAACTTTGATTTGTCTCAGAGAATTTAGGTTCATAAATAGCAAGGGTGCAAACTCCATGTGACTCAACAAATATTTGAATTTGTCATTCAAAAAATATCAAACATATATAGGCTATTTCGCATTATTGGGGGTACGTCGAGGCATTGACAGTGCCATGTATGCCAGTGGAGCCGTTCCTACTCTTGCTCTGAATAATTCTCTGTGGGGCTGGCCTGGGAGTGCAGAATCCCTCTGCAGCAGATGTGGCCTTCTGCACGCTCAGAGCCCCAGGACACAGTGGACATTGAAGGGGAACAGAGAAGTAGAGGGTTTCCCTCATCCTTAGCCCATGCCTGGAGCAGGGGGCCAGGAAATGAGAGGTGGTATTTGTTTCCTTTGCTGAAAATGGAGTGAGGTGACCTTCCGATGTACCCAAGCACCTTATGACAGTGTGTTTTTACCACTTCCCAGAACTGACCATCTGCCCAACTTTTGGACCAATCCTGGGCCACTGGTGGAGCCAGGAAGCCTGGAGGGTCATGGAAGGGGAGACTCTTGCCCAGTAGTCCACAAGAGGGCTATGCAGCTGGCATATTGGCCCACAGAACCCCCAGCCCTGCAGCATGGCCCTGAGCCCTCACAGGCCCAGAGCAGAGGCAGGAGTGGAGGCTGCCAGGGTTTAGACCCTCCTTCACTAAAGGGTCCCCAGGTTCATTTTTGTCTCCGCCGTCTGCCATCCCGTCTCATGGGCTCTCATGATGGGCTCATCAGGTTCTTGAATTCTTTCCAGTTGTCACTAATTACACTGCAGATCCGTAAATCATTCCAGGCTGGGGCTGACAGGGAGAGACGGGCCCTCTGCCATCCTGAGCTCGGGGCTTCCTGCCACACCTGCAGCCAGTGACCCTAAGGCAGCCGCTGATCAGTGCTCAGTGTAGAAGGGAGGGATGGCCAGTCCCTCAGTCACCCATCCCCAGGCTCTAGCCCTGGCTGTGGCCACATATGTGTGCTCATCCTGGAACTAGGTCTCAGGTAATGCAACCCCTGGAAGAATGCAGCTACTGTCTCTGCCTATGGGTTTTTATTGCTGTTTGAATATTAAAGACAGCTGCGAGGAAAGGTGAGCTTATTTCATCTGGAGTTTGATAAAGTTGAGACAGCACTCCTCAAACTTAGTTTAATAACGCAACAGACTGATTCATCAATTCTGGGATTGGGTCTACCAATCTTCATTTTAAATGTGTACCCCAGGTGATTCTTGGGTGGTGATTCAGTACCCCACTTTAAGAACTACTGTACACTAACTTACACTTTATCTCTCTCTGGCTCTAGGCTATCATTGACCCTCTTGTTTCTGGATCAGGTGAGAACCTTCTCTTTTCAACCTTGCTATTCTAATAGGGACACACATGTCTTCTGATCAAAACCACACTAGCTTCTCTGTACATAGGAGCTATTCACAACGCAGGTGCACAGGCCCCTATGCCTGTCACTGAGAGAAAGCCTGTGACCTCTGGGTGTTCTGCAGCCAGTGTGGTGGGCCGAGAGGGAGCCCCCAGTTCCCCCAGCCCACCGGCTCACTGCACAGATTGCTGGCTAATGGGGCGGAGCTAGCTGAAGTGCCTTCTATTAATGGAGCAGAATATAAACAGAATAAAGCCTTCATTTCCCAGGCTGTGGTTTCATTATTAATATACTTCACAGGTTGTACGTTTGCGCCCGTGTTTTCTCAGCTGGTGTAATCTGCGGCTCTGAGTGAGAACAGTCATAAAATTTTCATTTCCAGTTGAATGTGCGTCCAATTCGCCGTGAAATGTTCTATCTGTCGTGAATATTAAGTGCACTGAAGCAATGGCTGCTGGATTAGGCAGAGAGGTTCCCCGGCCCCTGCCAGGCCTGGCAGAGGACAGAGGTTTGCCGGGGCATGGGTGGAACTTTAACAGGGAAGCTGCACCGTGTGAAGTCTGTTTTCTTGTGGCCGCCTCCTGGAGCTTTGGTGGAAGAGAAGGAACCTACTGTCCAGGCGGGGGAGAGGTCAGAAATAATGGAGACTGTGCACCTCAGGGCCAATAAAAAGCATTCAGACGGGAGGTGAAAGGGCACAGGAAGTTCAAGTGCAGAGTAGAGAAGTGGAGGGCCAGGTAATGCCAGGACAGAGGTGAGGAGGGAGGGGATTGCAGAGGAGAGAGCAGGCCTGAGGGGAGCGTGCACCGGGGAGGCTGGTTGTCAGGCATAATATTAGAAAGAGCAAGCGGAGCATTTTATGCACGGTGCCTTTTTAGATACATCAATTAAGCGCTGAGGAGAGAGCACGATGGAGGAGGTGCAGGGAAAGGCTGGGAGTGACAGCAATTAGGAGAGCCTTTCTGTACGACGGCCTGCAGTCCTGGTGCGGGGCAGAGCGTCACGGGGACTCTGTCCTAAGAACAAATGTTTCCCACTGCCAGCTGGCCTGCAGTGGATGTTATTTGCCTCCCAGCACTGACTTAGTATCCCTTCCCCTCATGCCACTACTCGGCTCAGCCATGCCAGCTGGCTCTTCCCTCCAAACCCTTCCTCTCCTCTTTCTTAGGAGTTGCAGCATTGTGCCAGTTTCAGGGTTGAAACTCCTCGGTTGCTCCCACAGTGTGCAGAGAGACTCGGGGAGCCAAGGCCAGTAGGAGTAGAAAGCCCGCAGGATTTGATCTTCTCTACTCATCCCAGCTGCCGCGTCAGGATCTTTTCTCCCCGGGCGGCCACGTGCCCCTGTCCTATAGGGGTTTGATGAGAGAGCTGCCCCGGGCTAGAGGAGAATGAGAGGCAAATAGGAAGACTGAGTAGAGAAAGTGGAGTCTCCTTGCCTTGGGCCCACAGCCTCCTTAGCAGCACTGAGCGGAACTGGCTGTGCCCTGCAGGAGAATCCCAGGAAGACACCCGCTTTGTTTTCCCAGAACTAAAGTGCTGATTCAGGCAAAGGGGCCTTTGCCGCACCTCCCGCACAGGTGGGACTCCTCCAAGCCTGCCCGGTGGCCCACGGAGGGTGTGAATGCCTGTGCGCGTGCGTGTGTGTCTCCACCGACACAATCGCACAGTGAAAGTCAAACAGTTCGTTCTATATCTCTTGGCTTTTTACAGTTAAAGCTCCCAACAGCCCAGTGAAACAGCAATGGTGATTTTCCTCCTTTACAGGTAAGGAGCACCGCACGGCCACAGATTAAGTGATTCTGCCGAGGTCACAGAGCTGAACTCCCAGTGGAGGCAGAACAAAACCCTTTTATTCCAATCTGGAGCCATGTGCACTCTCCCCCTCCTCCAATTATTGATAGTTGACTCCCTCTCTGGTTTCCAATTGTTTTGCTTTGGATAATATTCAAATAATTTTGTGTTTCTGAAACGCACACCTGCGGTGAGGAGTGAGTTGAGAGGAAGAAGCTGAAAAATGAGCTGAGCTGAGATATTAAAGTGGTAGAAGAAGAATAACTTACCAAGTGACATCCTAAACACATGTAGTTATAGCTCGGGAAGGCATCGTCTGTTTCGTATGTCGGCCGTCCTTTCACACGCCAGTCACATACCGACTCACCTTCATTGTGAGCAGAAGCCTTGAGAACAAAGCTCAGCATCCAGCATGATGCCTACAGCAGGCAAGAGCCCGGCCACCCTCTCTAGCCCCAGGCTCATTCCCTGCCCTTGCTCCCCACTGTCCTGCGTCTTCCCAGGGTGGACTCCAGACATTTAAGCTTTGCAGATACTGTTCCCTCTGCTGAGAAAACCACTCCATCCTCCTCCCCTCCCCAAACCTGGTGCCCACCCTCACATCCTTCCAGAGGCAGCAGACAGGCTGCCTCTTTGGGAAACCTTCCTGGGCACCAGTTTTCACCCCCAAGTGTGGCCCCTCCTCCTGGGCTCCCCATGAACTTGACATGCACACATCTCAGGCTCATCATTGATCGCCCTGTGGTTTGCCATCTGCGTGTATGTCCAGCTCACAGAAGAGACAGGGAGGTTGTCAGAGACCCTAGAACATCCATCCTTGGACACATACTCAGGGCCTGGGCATTGGAATTATACAAATTTGGGTTTTAAGCCCAATGTTGCCGCTTAGTTGCTATGAGGCTCCTGATGAATCACAAAACCGGCTTAGGCCTCTGTTTTTACATCGCAAAAATGGGGATCATAACTTCCTCAGAGGCAGGTTGTAAGCAAGCAATCAGTGAGGAAATATATACGTGCTATAGAAAACTTAGATACTTTTGCTTCCCTTCTCTTTAATAGATGTCTCTTCTTTCCAATAAATGTTTACTGGGTGAATAAATGAATAAGAAAAAAACATATAATGAAGTGCAAAATTGTTTGGTTCAGACTCAAACTATACTGGAGATTCAGAAGGAAAATATCATCAAAAGGAAGTATGGCCAGGGTCTTCAAGCAGGAGGTGGGCCATGGAGGGATCCTGGATTCGGGGATAAGAACCCTTTAAAGTTGGATCTAGGAGACCACCCTCTGCACATTCTCATACCTTCCTCCTTTCCTTTCCTTTTGGATTTCCCTTCTTTTCTCTGTCTCTTTCTCTATCCCTGTCTCTTTTCTACTCTCTGATTTCTTTCACTTGTTGGACCTGAACACTTAGTAGACACTTGCTACCTCATTTTACCCCCTGTGTATCTCTAATCTTAAATCTGAACTAGTTAACCCCTGAGAAAGGTCATTTCCAGCTCTTAAATCCTTGGATTTTCCAAGAGCCTCACCTTCTCTCCACAGGCCCTAGAGAGAGCACCTGAAATGCCATTAAATGGTCACAGCCCACAGCATCCAAACATGGGAGAAAATGGAGAAATTAGGAGAAAGTGCTCCCAAAATGTTCTTGTCTGATGAATCTTTAATTCTACCCCTTGTGACTCAGAACTCCTGCCCTTAAACTGCATTCAGAATGCATTTCGCCAGTGTCCCATTCTCAGGGAGGGAGAGACAGGGGAAAAAACTGCTCATCCTTCTCCTGGCTTGTCACTGTAGAGTTGAGATAATAATAGTCTTTTTCTGATCCCCTGAACTTTCCCATCTGCTTCATAAAACAATGGCAATTTTTTTCCCTTGCTCTGTCTTCCTCTCTCTCTTTTATTTTTATCCTCCTACACTATAATTTAAAACTGTGGCAGTGCTATAGCCCTTGAGGTTTTTTTTTTCTCTTTCTTCTCCCCTTGCTTTAATACATGACTGTTATTTAAAATGGCCTTTCATCTGAGCACCAGGAGGCTGCCTGAGCAAGCTGCCTCCTGCTTTTAGAGAGGGAGGGTAGGGCCAGTGTGGTCCCTGGTCTCACCTAGCACCTAGTTCTCTTCAGTACTGCCATGCAAATCAGAAGTGTTGTTTGTTCTTTCTGAAAGAAGACATCGGAAGCCAAGGTCTGGAAGTGCCCCTCCCTCAGAAATGGACGTCATATCAAGCTGGTGGCTGTCAGTGGTCCACCACGCATCAGGTCTAAATAAAGCAATTTCAGCTGAAGGCAGTAAATTCAGTGTGCCCATTGATGCCAGGAGGGAAACATGTATCAGCCACTCAGCATGGAGACTCAGCCGTTGCTATGCAGGCTTTTGCTCAGCTGCACTGCCAATCACCATTCAGATGCATCTCTCCTCAGCTGGATGGGCACTGCATAGGAAAGGGTGGTGGTCAGGGACTTCTTTCCCGGGGGAAATGTCATCTGTTTTGGGGATCAGAAAGGAAGGTGTCGGACACTGGTGTTTCCCATACCAACTCTGCAGCCTTCCCTGCCATGGATGCTCGTTCAGCTGCTGCTTTGGAGCACTGGCTGGAACATGCTCCACACACTTCCTGTCTCTGTGACAGTTCAGTTCCATGACTGCACCTGTACCTCTGAAAGTGATTTTGGCCTTGTCTTTTCTCTCCAAGCTCTCTCCAGAGCCCCCTCTGAACTGGCATCAGCAAAGCAATCATATTCTAAATGAGCTTCATGAAGAATATGCCATTGCAGTAAAACACCAGAGACAGGATAAGGCTGAAGGCTAGAAAATAAATCGTGTGTGTGTGATGAGAGGGTGTGTGTGTATGTGTGTGTGAGGGTAAGGTGTGTTCCAGCCCTCATGAACGTGGTGATCACTTCCTTCTTGAATTAAGCAGCCCTCCTGTCAGCTGGAGAAAGAACTCCCTGGAGAAGGCAGGGACCGCCTATCCCCAGCTGATCTGCTGAGGAGGCCACCCACCTGCAGGAGATGGACAACATTTTAATCCTGGCTACGTGGGTTGTTTCCTTGTGTGATGCCCAGAAGGACTGGCGGCAGGAGGAAATTCCTGGAGAAATTGTCTCTTGAGTCAGGTTGTTGGATTTCAAATCCTAGGTGTCATTGCTTCAGTCCCTCCTTCTCCTTAGAATCCTCCTTTCCTTTAAACACTGGAAATGATTCTTAAAACCATGTACAACTATTAAGGTGAGAAAGGCTGAGAAGTCAGGATCCAGGATTTTCTCCTGAATGTGATCTCTCACCCTGATGTGGTGAAGGTCATGGCCTCCAGCCAGGCACTTTCTCTCGGTTTTCTCTTCAACTCATTAAAGGACCATTTTAATCAATGTTTTTACCTTCCCCCCGATAATCCAAGGATGTCCAAATAATTTTAATTTTCTCTCTCTTGGCCCAACTTCATTGCCATTGCTGGTATATAGCTTAATTAACAATCTATTTTAAGATATTGTTTTAAATGATTTTCACTTATCACCAATTTATCACCTTCTTTCTGTTTATTTCTTCCTGCATCTTAGACCTTACATCTGGGATTATTTTCCTTCTGCCTTAATCCTCTTTCGAATTTCCTCTGGGAGAGCTCTGCTGCTAGTGGCATATTTTCTCAGTTTTTGTTTAGTGAAAATGTCTTATTTTGTCCTGATTCCTGAACGGTACTTATTCTGATACAGAATGTTAAGTTGGAAGTCATTTTCTTTCAGTTTCCTAAGGAACATTTGGCTCTCAGTTCTGCTGTTGAGAAGTCAGCTGTCAATCTTATTTTTATTTCCATGAACGTTTTCTGCCTTTCTGCCCAACCTCCAACAACCCCTGTTGCTTTTAAGATTTTTTCTTTGGATTTGGCTTTTTGCAAGTTCACGATGCTGTGTTAGCTATAGATTTCTTTCTTTAACTTTTCTTCAGATTTGTTAGTATTCTGGAATCTATGGATTAATTTTTTTATTACTTCTGGAAAATTCTCAGCCATTGTCTCTTCAAATATTGCCTCTTGTCCCCTTTTCCCTTTCTTCTCTCCTTTTGGGACTCCTCACTAAATGTAGACAAGACCCCTCCCTCTGTCAATGCCCTTATGCATTGTTTGGCATTCTTCATCTCTTTGTCTCTTCACACTATTCACTTTTTTTTTTTTCGTTACTTAACTTACAGTTAATTGATTCTCTCTTTAGCTGTGTCTCATATTCTTTTACACCTTTACACCAGTATTTTTAATTTTTCTTTTCTAGAAGTCCTATTTTTACTTTTTTTCCTCAAATATGCTAGTTACCTTTAATAGGTTTATTTTCCAATATTATTAGTCAAGTTTGTCATGCATTTCTTTATATAAAGATATTTGTTTTACAGTCAATGTTTCATGATTCCATTATCTGATATATTTGTATATGTTTCTGTTTTCTATTTTATGCTGTTCTCACTCTTAGTATCATGTTTTCTTGTGTGCCTGGTTACTTTTGGCTCTGTGAGGCTCATTGTATTTTTTTACAAAAAGCTGAAAAATTTTGAGCCCTAAAATGAAAGCACCTTCCCTAAAGAATGATTTATATTTACTTCTGCAAGATGACCGAGGTCTATGTAAACTCCATTAAGGGTGTCTAATTTCTGAGCTAGCCCAGGTAATTCAAACCGTAACACAATTTCTTGGAGAGAATGTTTGTCTTTTGGTTCACTCCCACCTTGGGGATGCAGCTTTTTGCAGTCTCCACTTATTGTACAGAGCTTTTCCTGTTAGACTCCATCACTTCAAAAGGGTGTTGGGCTTTGATTCCTGTTCCCCTGTCCTTTCAGATTGTCAAACAAAGGCTTCAATTTACCTGACTCAGCAAATGCCCTCAGGTCAGGAACCAGCTGTCTCTTGGTTCATGTTTTATCTTTAATTTAGGGTCTGGTAATTCTGTACCAGGAAGGAAGCTTTTGATACTTTTAAGAAAGATGTAAACTGTCTCATCCAGTTCCTTTGGTAGTTTTCAAAGGGAGGGTAGCCTGAATAACCTAATCTGCAGTACCTGTTTAAACCACATCGCACATCTGCTCTCCATCCACAGCTTGAAACTTCCTTATGCGATGATGAGCCTACCTATGAGGAAAGGGCAAGGCATGTGGAAGCCACTCCACTGCTCACCAGCTGTTTCACTTTGTACAAAGATCAAAGTTTATATCTTTCTGTGTCTCAATATCCTTGGATGCGAAATGGCGGGACCAATAGCCTGAAGTGCCTGTGCCTACCCCACAGGGTTATTCCAAAGCTCAAAATGATCCTCGGTGTGTATTTTGCTGGACTCAGTGGTACGTATGAATGTGCCGTTTGGAATTTCAAGCCTACTACTTATGTGTGGGACTTGGAATTTTCTGGCTTGTCAAAGAGGGGAGGGCCAAAGGGCAAATGTAGGGCCAGGAAGAGGCGCAGGCTTCCACCCATGAGAAGAAAATCTTTAGGCTAACAGTGACAAAGCACAGCAGCAGTAAAGCACAGGTGCTCCAAACCTGAGGCTTGCCTCACCCTGCCTTTCCGCCCAGACAGAGAGTGATGACTGGGAGGCAAGGCCGTGGCCTTCTGTTTGGAATGTCTTGAAAGCAGGTTTGTCCTTGGAGCACTCCCTGCCATAAGCCCCTCAGCCTCCCTCCTACCTCTCCTTTTCCCTCCCCTCTTAGCCAGGGCTGGCCGCTCAGCGTCAGTTCTACTTGGCAGGCCTTCTTTTCCTCATCTTTATCTTAGCATTTGTTTCCCATCTTATGAAAAATTGCTTATCTACCTACAATCAACCTTTCAGCTCAGCTCCCTATCAGCTCCTTTATCAGCTCTACCATCCTAACTTCTCATTTGTTTCTGACAGGCATCCTGTAACAAATTCTTAATTTGATGAGCTTGATATAGCCCACTGGCTAAACAGTGAGCTGAAGCCAGGGCTGGCTGCAGGAATATCCCATACTGTTCAGCCACCCATTTTCTTGAGAGCAGAGAGTCCCCAAAAAAGGGTGGAAATGGGAGAGGAGCAATTCTGTGGGGCATATGGCAGCAGGAAAAGAAAGCCTGGAACAACAGTTTTCCATGGGGAAGCCTGGAAGACAGTGTTGGACAGAGGCACCTGAGGCCAGAGATGTAGATGGGTAGATGAATAAGAAGTTGGTTAATAAAAGAGAGAGAAAAACAACTTGCAGCTTTGAGATACTTCTTGGTAATTATAGATGGGAAACACAGGCTCGGATACATGAATACCTGGGTCTTTTTGTCCTGATATATGGCTGGGTAATCAGAGCAGCCGTCCATGTGCACCATGATTTCTGAAACCATTGTTCAGAGTGACATTGACTGTCTCTGAAAGGTTAATGGGTATTTACGTAGGGAGGAAAAATGTACCTTGGTTAAATAAGTTTAAGCAACTGTGTGTGCTCCATTTCCCATTTGGAGATCCATAGGATATAAGAACTTAAAGATTCTAAAAATCCTGCCCTTGATCTAACGAACCCAGTTTCCCCAGACTTGTGTGACAAAGATGTCCTCTTTGCAGAATACTAATTACAGTACCGTCTTGCAGGATACTTAGAAGAAAATGTTGATTCTAAAGCCATAGTAGGCTCTGTTTTACCTCTGCTGCTATTAAGGGATTCTCTGTCCAACAACAATGTTTCTAGAATGGTAACTGTGAGCAAAATGTCCTTTCTGGAACACATGCCATGTCCTGGAGCTTAGGATCTGGTAATCTTCTATCTCACTATCTGATGATGATAATGACCCCCCATTTATTGAGGGCCTGTTAATCTCCTAGGTGCTTTTTCTATGCATGACTTCTAATCCTCACTATGATCCCACAGGAGAGATAGCATTACCCCATTTCTTCTATGAGAAAATTGAGAGTCGGGCTTATTAAATAATGTGCCCAAGGTAAGCGGCTAAGCCAGGATTTCATCCAAGGTCTGGCTAACTCTAACATAATGTTTGTTTTCATCACACTATACCCATTATGAAAATGGGGCAGATTTCAAAAAACAGAGAAGAATGATTTAAAAAGCAAATAAATTTAGCAGCCTGTCTAGTTACATACAAGGACCACTTATTGATTGAATGCTAGCTCTAGGAAAACAAAAATCTGAAAATTATCTAGTCCTATTGTTTATTTTTCCCCTTGTAAATAAAGAAACTGAGATCTGTAGAAAGTAAAATGACTTGCTCAGGCTCACGTGGCCAGCTGGTTTCAGAGTCAACATGATCACTACCAATTACCCTGACTTCCAGTCCAGAGTTACTTATACCCATAGTGACTTTTTCCCCCTCCTCTCAGAGACTGTTTTTCAGGCTAAGACTTGCCAAAATGCTCAATTTGCAGTGTGAAGATGATAAAGACCTCCTCAGGCCTGCCCTCAGCTCGGCCCCTCTATGAGGAGGCATCAGGAACAAAGGCTGTCCTTTCCATCTGCATATACTGAGGACCTCGTGCAGAGGACATAGGAGCTCAGCTTGCCATCGTGCTGCACTCTCCTGAGTTCTCCCTGGATATGGAGTCTGGAGAAATGAGGCAGTCTCTGCAGGTTTAGCTGGGAACTCAAGCCAAGCAGGGGCTGGAAGGCAGCTCTCTGGACTCTGCCAAAGCCTCCTCTCACCTGGTGTTGTTTGCTATCCAGACTCTTCCTGTCCACCAACTCTTCTAGATTTGAGCTGCCAAGTAAAGCCGGCAGCCAGGCACTTAGCCCTTAGACGCACTGACAGGGCCTGTGTGTTCTACTGAGCACCCGGCTAGAGACAGACCTTATCTCCTGCCTGCCCCTCCCTGGGGA
The DNA here is from genome assembly GCF_000001405.40 of Homo sapiens. NCBI lineage: Eukaryota > Metazoa > Chordata > Mammalia > Primates > Hominidae > Homo > Homo sapiens. The sequence goes on from NC_000011.10 coordinate 132,254,247, forward strand.
GTGTCTCCCCGCAACCCGTCTTCATCCCCAGCATTCTTCAATCTCCTTCTCGCCCACTTGTCTCCTGGTTGCTTCTCCTATTATTTCTGTGATTCCTCTCTTCCTTTTGTCTTTATCTAGAACTGTTGCTTTGTTTCCCCCTCACCTTTTCCCATGTTTCACAGAAGGCCAGTCTCCTTTTCCCCACGTCTCTGTACACACCCACTGTGAATGCACTTTGTTTTCACCTCTCCTCAGCTGCTCAGTCCTCCTAAGTGTCTCTCTGTGCTCCGCCGTGGCATTGTTCTCAAGTCCCATCTACCGCTGGCCTTCCTTTGGCCACTCTTCCCTCATTCCTTTAATTTTCTTTGACCTCTTTGTATATTTTTCTTCTCCAATGTGATCCCTTCTCTCTCTCCCACTTCTATAAAAGACTCGGTTTCTGCATCACTGGAAGACCGCACCACCATTCTGTGGTGATGGTGATGGCTGCTGGGTTAAAGGAAATCAGTGTCTCCTCTTCTGGATGGGTTTGGATGGTTTCCAGTGAGGTCAGAATCCTGTTGCCCCTGCTGGGATTCTCCAGCCTGGGGTTCTCATTCTTGGCGCCATTGATATTTAGGCTGGCGAATTTCTTCTTGTGGGGGCTGTTCTGTGTATGATGGGATACCGGGCAACACCCCTTATCTCTACCCACTAGATAGCAGTAACAAGCACATCCCAATTGTGATAAACAAAAATGTCCCCAGACATTTCCAGATTTCCCCTGGGAGGCAACATCTTCCCCATTTGGGAAGCACAGCCCTAGCCCACAGCCTGCAGCCTTGCTTCTAGAACCACATGCGGAGTTGAGGTTTCTATGCCTGTTGGATAAGCAGAAAAAGATGTGGAAGTGGTGGATGCTGTCAGTGGAGACACAAGAAGTGTGTTTGCCAAGATAAATTTGAGCCTGAACATTTTTTTTATCTCTTTGGTTTGAGTCTGATCTCTTTCTACTCCTTTCTTTTAGCTCTTTAGCTCTCTTTTGGCTCTCTTTTAGCTGTCTTTTAGCTCTTTCTTTTAGTCTTCTTTCACTGTAATCCAAACTTCTTTCTCTCCTGACAATATGACGTTCTTGAGTTGCAGACTGCTAAAAACGGCTCTGATTAAGCCCTTTAAGTGATTCCTGCAGAAGTGGCTCTGACGGTGTTCCATCTGTACCCTCAGAAAGGTCAAGGTGTCACTCGGCTGCTCGAGGGAACTCTGCTTCTGGGCTCCCAGGTGGTTAATGCCTGTTTGATTAGCTGTAAAACAAAATCCAGAAAATGCCAAGAGGCAAATCTCAATTCACCTTTCAGAATGAAGCTCACTGCCCAGTCAGAGAAGGGGGTGCGGAGTGGGTGGTGAGATCCACAGCTGTTAAATTCGCAACAGGTAAGCCAGCAAATAGACTCAGTCCTAATGCGGCTGCCCTCATCTGCTGAACCACCTGAGTCACCTTCACCTTTCTGCTGCTGACTCTTGGCTGGAATGTGGTTCAGTCCTATTTGCTCTGCTTTCCATGCAGCTCTGCCTTCCACTTGGGTGCCCACTTCCATTCCAGTCAGCCTCCCCCTTCCCTGCTCCACTGCCGTCCTGTTGCTTTCCTTCCAAGCTCACCTCTACACCCAGGAAGCTGGTCTCGGTTGCACATCTTCACCTCGCTCCTCTCACAAATGCATCTCACTCCCAAATCTGCTGCAAAACATCAGAACCAAAGAATAATAATAATAATAAAAATAGACATACCCAGTGAACGTCCTCCTCCATTGAGCTCCTCCCACCTTCTCTTCTCTATCCCTGCACCACATCTGTGCATACTCCTTCCTAGAAGGCAAATGTGGAATATTCTGTCTAGGCTATGCAGAGGGTGGGCTCCTAGGAAGCATCTCCTCATTCACTTCTCTCTTGCACATACCACACACAATGGTTCTAACACCATGGTTGTCTTGCTTTCCAACATCCTTTTCATATTATTTTCCAAATCCCAGTGTGGTCCTCCCACGTGCAGCCCTTCATTGAGGAAGACAGCATTACTGACCAGACCACAGTCATGACCATAGCATCTGAAATGAGCAACGCCCATCACCCAGTGCTTCCCTCACCCCTCCAGTGTCCATCACTGGGGCAGCATGCCAGGAATGTTGACCAGGATTTAGAGTGCGGGCCAACCTAATCACTTGCACTGTTCGGCCTCTGCAATGGATACACTTTCCTCTCTCACAGAGCCAATCAGCCACCTTCCACCTTTGAGTTCCATCACTTTGCCGGCTTTTTCTCATTCTCTGTGCTCTTCCTCTCATTCCTGGCTCTCCAGGTCCTTTTTCCACCATGACATTCCTAAAGAGAGGTGCTTGCTGGATGCGAGCTGGCTCTCGCTCTGTTGGTTGATTTTTTTTTTTTTTTTCCCCTGGGCTTGTGTGGACTGGCAGGGCCTGTTCTCAGATGGAAGGTGTGAAAGTGGCATAAACGGCACATGAGTGCATCTGTTTGTTCCCAGTGACTTCAGGAGAGGCAGAGGTGGGCCAATCAGCCCCACTCTCACATATGGCCCCAGCGATTCCAGCCGCAGGAGAGTGGGCCTGCCGCCCACGGACCCGTGTTATCGTCGGGACCCCTAGCTCCCACAGACAGGATGTGTGTGTTTGTCTGGCTGCATTTCTGCAGGAGCATCTGTCACTCTCCAATATTTCCTTTATCATTGCAGCAAATTATTTAAACACTACCCACTGAACCCCATCTGTCACCGCGCCCCATCACTGTCAGGGCCCTGCCTCCCCAGGTCTGCAAAGCAACTCGCTGGCAAAGGCTCTGTGCCAAACAACAGGGCAAATTAAATCAAAGCGCGCTCTGGCACCCAGGGGGAAAATGCACATCAGTTTTGACTTATTGCATGAAGCACGCTTACAAGAGAGAAAGCAGCGGCTTTTGTCACTGCAAGGGGCCATGAGAAATGAATTAGGGCCTCTGCTGAGAGGGCATGGAGGAGAATCTTTCATTCTGAGATGTTGTCCTTTCTCACCTTGCAAGAAGGAAATAATAAAAGGAGAACTTGTGGTGGGTCTAAGTGTCTCCAAGCTTTGACACTATCCTGAAGCACTTCTGGGTGTAGAAAGGAAGTGACCAGTTGGAGACAAAAGGACTTTGAGAGGCTTGGAAATAGCCTGAGTTACATGGTGCCACCAGAGGGTGAGAACTTGAGCAGGTGCAGGTAAGAGCTAACGGCATCTGTCCATCCCGGGAAGCTGGAGCGGGGAGGGACAGAGGGAAATGCAGGCCTCATCCTCACTCTGCCCTGCAGTGTGGCCTGGGAACTCCTGAAGAAGCCAGCATGACAAGGGAGCAAAACCAATGTCACCAAACCCTCACTACACACCACTTGCTGGGATAACTCTTCTTCACACTTGATCTCTTTCAATCCCCAGATTCTCATGAGATAGGAATTATTTTTGCCCATCTTACAGATGAGAAACCTCAAAAAGTTTAAAGCGATTGCTTGCGATCATCCAATTTATGTGTGGCAGGGCCAGGATTCAAAACTACATCCATCTGATTTCGAAGCCCATTGCCTCTCTTTATAAAAGAATTTCTCCTCTGTCTCCCTGCTCCCCGTGAGACACAGCTCATTTGTTTTCCTATAATGAGGGAGGGGCCTTCGATTTCCTAATAGATTGCTCACCTGCCGTCCTAGTGGAGCTGGCATTTACTGTGGCATTTACTGTGTAGCTGCAGAGCCTTCCCCACCAGACACATTTGTACTTTGTGACAGCAAGAACACATGGACAGCTGCTGGGGCATTTCTAACACAGCCCTTCTCAGGCAGAGATCTTGGCTGGGGACAGCATGACTCCATCCTCCAGGAGAGGACAAGCCATGCGGCATCTCTAATTAGAACCCAGGCTGGAACATTCAGCTTAATGAGCTGGGAGTTGGAAACGCTCAGCTGGAAACGAGTTGGTCTGGCAGAAAGGACATAGGACTGAGGGACACATTTTCTAAACTCTGTCCTCATCTCAGTTGTTAATCATCTTCTGCTTCTGTCTATCCATCAGTTGGTTATTAGACTGTGTTATTGTGCATTTGCCTCAAGTTCAGAGTGAACATGCGTTAAATATATTGGACGATGGCTTAAATGGATGATTTTTCCTATAGTCTTCTAGGAGGTCGCTCGATGTTGCCAAATACTTGGGCAGTTCTTGGACTGCTGACATATTTTAAATAGGATGTGCCACCCTAAGTAGTGTCTTTGCTTTTTGCACTCTCTCAAAACTAGGGAAGTCCAGGTCAATTACCATAGTGTTGTGCTTTGCCATAGTGATTTTCTCACCTAGGCTTCTCTCTATGTATTTCTTGAGAGTTTGGACCCATATAACTTTAGCCGTCTTTTGAAGATTGTTGGCCACAAAAGAGAAAGCGGACAACTCTAGACCTAGGGCCACAGTGTCAAGGGACCACTGATCTAAAATGAGCCTTTTGTGTGGCCCACTATTTCCGTTCAACACAAGTAAGCAGGGACACCACGTGGAAAAGAGAATGATGCTTATGACTTTGTCAAAAATTCATAAGCACATTATTGTAGTGATTGAGTATTCACCTGTAAGATAGTGACAGACATCCTTCGTGTGTGTGACAGTCAAACTGAATGTTCAGTTCAATTCAGTCAAAATAGTCCAATTCAGCAAACACCCAATAGTTCTGTTTGGAAGCATCTTCTGTGTTTAATTCCATAAGTTTCCTATTTGTGTCCTGCCCCTGATTTAACTGCTAGAAATATTACTCATCTCTTTGTGATTTTAAAGGAAGCATTGACCACCTCCCCTGCCTTGGTTTCTCTGTGAGTCACTGCTAGATACGGCTGTGGGAGCAGGCTGATGATAGGTAAGAATCATGTATCTAGAATCTCTCTCCCCACAAATATATGACTTTCTAGTAAAATCATGCTTTCAAAATAGTTGCCATTTTAAATATGAATGTAAGTTTTGATATGATTAATATTGGAAAGAGCCTTAAATTCCAATGCATAAATTTAAAAGAAAAAAAAAGACCTTGAGGCAGGGTGAGGAACCTCTGAAGAAGCTCAAATGAAAAAAAGAAATGTAGAAACTGCACATTGCAGACTGATGGCACTGCAGGGTCAGCTGTAAAATAGTTTTTTAGGCCAGGCTTGGTGGCTCGTGCCTGTAATCCCAGCACTTCGGGAGGCCAAGGAGGGTGGATCACAAGGTCAGGAGTTTGAGACCAGCCCGACCAACATGGTGAAACACCATCTCTACTAAAAATACAAAAATTAGCCTGGCGTGGTGGTGCACACCTGTAATCCCAGCTACTCGGGAGGCTGAGGCAGGAGAATCGTTTGAACCCGGGAGGCAGAGGTTTCAGTGAGCTGAGATTGCGCCACTGCACTCCAGCCTGGGCGACAGAGTGAGACTCCATCTCAAAAAACAAGAAGTTTTTTAGTTGATCACCAATAAATCAACTAGGACAGTTTTTTGTTTTTGTTTGTTTGTTTGTTTGTTTGTTTGTTGAGACGGAGTCTCTCTCTGTCGCCCAGGCTGTAGTGCAATGGTGTGAGCTTGGCTCACTGCAAACTCCGCCTCCCAGATCAAGCAATTCTCCTGCCTCAGCCTGCCAAGAAGCTGGGATTACAGGAGTGCACCACCATGCCTAGCTAATTTTTGTATTTTTTGTAGAGACGGGGTTTCACCATGTTGATCAGGCTGGTCTCGAACACCTGCAACTAGGACAGTTTTGAGTAGAATCAGTTGATGAAGGCATTTGCCTGGGTGGCGGGAGCAGGAGAGATGTACCTTAGGAAAACATGGAAACTTTTGTGAATGGGAAACAAGGGAGGAGGAGGACTAGCATTTAAGTTATTTTGTGACTTTCTAATTAGCAAAGAACTCAGCCTGGCACCAAACTCAAAGCTAAAACCTGGCTGAAACAGGCAGTCTTTCTTTAGTTACCACGGAAGCCCATGGATGAATCAATGTTAAATCTAAAAAATCACCCAGCCTTTTTTTTTTTAAAGATAAGAGAACATAAGTTCAGAGAAATTAAGTGAATTTCTCAAAGTCACACAGCTAATTAGTAGCAAAAGTAAGGTTTCCAGACAGTGTAACTATTTTTGTAACAGTCTTTCCACAGCATCATGCTGTCTCTGAATTACCATGGGAATGTTTATTTTTGCTTTTGCTTGTTCTATTTGTTTTTAAGAAAGTTCTAAACTTTGCTTTGGACAGAGGTGCTTCAAAATGTGGATGATGTAATTAGAAGTAAGAGAAACCAAAAAATGAATTAAAAAGTCCACAAAAAAATTATTAATATGGCACTCAGTGTTAAGCTGAAATTCTGGTACAAGCTTGTGTCCTCGGGTTTTGACTTGTCTGTGGTTTGTACAACTAGACTATAAAATATTTCAAAAAATGATTTTATTCACAATCTGGCCAAACTGGCTTGTTCTGGCTGAAGAGCTACATCAAAAGAGGGTCACCAGATGGGAAAGCCTTCGTCTCCGGGGCATGGCCTAAAACACAGCTGAATTATCCGGTGTTGGCAGTAGAACACCACGGAACCTTCTGTTCAAATGTGCCCTGAACCCATTAAGTCATGAGCCTCAGGCTGGTTTAGAGAGTGGCTTCTAGGCATCTCGCCTTGTTTTCTCCTGAGCACCACTTGTAGACCTACTTTCTTTAGGAAAGGGAGACAGAGCCGTTGGCAGCTCAGATGTGAAATGGGGTCATGGAAAGAGAGCATGCTTAGGAGTCGAAGGATTTGGGCACTGTTGCTGGTTCTCGTTTTAGCTGCACGGTCATGCACATGTCTGTTAGCCTGATGTGAAGGTGACGCAGGTCACTCATTCCATTTAGGGGTGGCTGGGTGCACTAACCCAGTGTCTTCTTCCTTATCTGTAGAAAAGGTGGGCTTTTTATGGAGATAAGAACTCTTTGGCCAAGAGAGTAGAGGTGGCTCCACCTCCCTGCCAGAACTTCCAAACAAGCTCTCAAGGGCCTTAACATGTCACCTCATTTCTCTGAGCCTCCATTTCCTCATGCTTAAAATCAGGTTGTCTTGAAGCCCACCCCACGGTGGATGGAAAGTACTGCATGGGAATCGCTGGGGCATGTATTGGAATGCCAGTTATGAGTGCACCTGGGGGGCACAGACGCACGGCTCACAGCACTGCAGCTTCCTCCTCCCTTTTGCCGTGGTTATAATACTTTGAAGAGCAGGGCATACCAGTAGGGCATGCACTGGGAAGAGGAAAGATCCTGGTCTTCTTCTTTGTTTAGTCAGAATTGGTTAAATGCAGAACTGGTAGTTCAGACTGCCCATGTTCCAGACCTAGTTAGATGGAGGCATTTCTGACATGCCTTTTAAGATTGAAGGCAGAAGCACAGAAGGCCGTGCCAGCACAATGGAAGATAGAATGCTTGTATCTCATTGTCTGGAGAATAGATAGGTTGCAGGTTTCAGTAGAATAGGAGCTGCCAGTCAAACCTTTTTAATAGAATGGGAGCAGATAGATTTCAATAAAAGAAATGAGTATAAATATTGTGAGTGGAGGAAGGGAGAAAGCAGACAGATCATGTTTGACTAGTCACAGTGGGGAAACTTTGCACGAAGTTTAAACTGAAAACCCATAAAGCCAAGGTGGGTGACTGGGTTGAATCCATCGACAGCTGCAGATCCAGGGCTTGCCCCATGGGCATCCATTAAGGAGGCTCCAGCTGGATAAAGAGCACTCCAAGTCTGTGGTCTTTCCTCAACTCTAAGCCCATCCCAGCCAAGTGCAATGAGCATTCAGCTATCTGTTTTACTGGCATCCTCCACCCCCACCCTATACAGAATCCACGGAACCCTGCTGGCATTGTGCCTGTAGCTGGTGCCTTATTAGCCAGGGGGACTCTGAAATAATTCCCCCAGGAGTCTCTCCAGGGCAGTAGCCCCTTCCACCATAGTCCCAGAGAATTATTTGTTAGCAGCTGCCTGATTTGTCCCCAAATTAGCAAACCAACCACCTACCAAGGCCTTTTGGCTCCTTCTCCCCACTGCCTCAGGTTCCCAGGATTTCTGTGTATTTTACCCAAGGGTGGGACTTTTGGCCATTTTGTTTGCCACTGGCCACGGTTGACTAAGGCTGCTATAACAAAATACCATAGATGGAGTGGCTTAAACAACAGACATTTACTTCTCACAGTTTTGCAGGTTGGAAGTTCCAGTCAAGGCACTGACAGATTCAGTGTCTGGTGGGGGCTCTCTTCTTGACTTGTAAGTTGTTGCCTTCTTGCTGCTTCCTCACATGGCAGGGGGAGAGAGAGAAGGATCATCTCTTTTTTTATCTATTCTTACGAGGACTTTAATTCCATTCACGAGGACTCCACCCTCGTAAGCTAATCACCTCCCAAATGCCTCATCTCCTAATACCATCACAATGAGGATTAGGTCTTCAACATAGGAATTTTGGAGGAACACAAACATCTACTCCATAGCATTCTGACCCTGTCATTCCTCCCAAATGTATGTCCTTCTTACATGTGCAACACACTTATTCCATCCCAACAGCCTCAAAAGTCTTAACTCGCTCCAGAATGAACTCTAAAGTCCAAAGTCTCATTTAAATATCATCTTAATCAGGTGTGAGACAAAATTTCTTTGCAGCTGTGAACATGGGAAAACAAGTTATGTATTTCCAAAATACAATAGTGGGACAGGAATGGGGTAGGCATTCCCATTCCAAGGGGGAGAAATTGAAAAGAAAGAAGGGGCAACGGTTCCCAGGCAAGACTAGACTACAAGGCAAACTCCATGAGATCTTAAGGCTCAAGAATAGTCCTCTTTTGCTACAGGAATATATCTTCTTTTGTTTGATGCTCTGCCTTCCAGACCCAGTGGGGTGGCAGTCCTGCGCCCACAGTTCTGCAGGGCAGGGTTGCAGCTCCATGGCCTTGGGCAGCTCCAACCCCAAGGCTGTTCAAGGGGGCCATCTGGCCTGTTGAAACTGAGGTGGTGCTCCCCTGACCTCATATGAAACTTAGGAGGCTGCCCTGGTGATCTCTGAATCACTTTTTTGGGTCGTTCTTCCCTTGTCTTGAAGAATTGCACACATTCATAGCTGAGTAGTTCTAGGTAAAATCCAAGAAATCAGACAACCTTCCTTCCTTCTGTTTCCTTCAGTTTAAACCAGAAGTTCTCCTGCTAGGTCAGCTGATTAGCTTGTGGTTCACATCCACGCTGACTTCCTTATCAAGCAATGAGTCTGCCACGCCCTTAGTGTTCTTTCTTTTCCAAACATGCTTTTACATTTTGTATAATTCGGACCAGCTGAGAATTTTCCAGATCTTTACGTTCTGGTTCCTTTTTTTTTCCTGAACAATTCCATCTTCAATTCATTTCCCTTTCTCACATGTTATTATTAGCAGTCAAGAGGAATCAAACTGCTCCCTCAAACACATTGCTTAGAAAGTTCCTAAGCTAAATATCCAGTTTCATCCCTCACAAGCTCTACCTTCCACACAAAACACTGGAACGTGAACAATATTCAGCAAAGCTCTTTGCAATTTTACAACAAGGATTACCTTTCCTCCAGTTTCTAATAACATGTCCTTTATTTCTGTCTGAAATCTCGTCAGAACGGCTTTTACCATTCATATTTCTACCAATATTATGTACACGATTATTTTGGCATTCTCTAAGAAGATGGAAGCTTTCTCTCCAGTTTTCCTGTTTTCTGTTGGAATCTTCACCAGAATTGCCTTTAGTAGTAGACAGGATTCCTACAACGGAATGGCTTGGTCATAGGGCATGTTTATTTTAAATGTTTATATTGCCACCCAGCTTGCCCTCCATAAAGGCTATGTCAATTAGCAATCTCACCAACAAACAGAAATGTCTATTTTCCCACCCTTTGGCCCATAACAGATACTTTCAATAGTTTACGTTTCTGCCAGTGTGATAGGCAGGAAATTGCACCTATTTCAATTTTCATATTCCAGTTACTAGGGAAGCTATTGTGCATATTTTTTCATATTTCATATATTTATTGGATATTTGTATTTCTTCTGTGAATTGCTTGTCCATATTCTTCATCCATTTTTCTATTGGGTTGTTTATCATTTTGAAAATTGATCTGAAAAAGCAGTGTATACATTATGGACGTTAACCCTTTTTTATAAAGGTTATAAAGGGTGCAGATATCCCTCCCAGTTATTTTCTTGTCTTTTACTTTATTTTATAGTATCATTTGTCATACAACAGTTTTAGATTTGCATGTAATAAAATCTGTCAATCTATTCCTTTATGGCTTTATCATCTCGTGTTTTGCTTAGGCAGGCTTGCATTTATACATACACTGTATTGTATATTTGCATAAACCATCTTAAATCTCTTAAAAATAAAGGCAAGATATAAAGAGATGAATGAATTAAAATAAGAAGAGTTCCTCCCAGGCATATCACATGTGAAGACAGTGGTATCTTATATTTACATACCACTTTTACTTCCCAAGTATTTTCAACTTTATTATCTCATTACCCAGGCCTTGCAATGTTTCCGACAGACATAACTGCCAAAGGCAACCTCAAGCAGCTGCTCATGTATTTACCTCTGTTGCCCTCTCATGGAAAGGGCAAGAGCATGGATGACAGCTCAAGTCTCCCTTCTCTTCTTATAAAGCTGTGCCTGTCCCACCAGCAGGCCCCACCATAATGACCTTATCTAATCCTAATTGCTTCCCAAAAGCTCCACCTCCAATCAACATATGAATTTGGGGATGAAGGTTCCACCACATGGAATTTGAAGGACACATTCAAACCATAGTAGTAGCTAAGGTGAGAGGATTAGCTGCATGTGTACCAGCTATGGAGACTTGGAGCAAATAATTTTCACTTTTCTCGTAGTATTGTCTTTTAAATACTGTGGCATTAGAATCTACTCTTAATTTGTATGGTGGTTCTGTGAATGAAATGGGATTACCCATCTCAAGCATTTTAAACATAAAAATGCTCAAAGAGCCAGATATATTTTTATTAAAAAATAAAAACTGGAACAGCTTCTGGCATGGTTGAAAGGAGATGGTTTTGTACGCAAACGTAGGCTTTACTTCTTGTTCTGCCATTTTCCAGCCATGAGATTTTGGGCAAATTACTTAAATTTTCTAATACGCTAAAGTTCATTTCTGGTCCAGAGGAGACATCAAATCTTTTCTGAATTCGTTCACCAGAAACAACCCAAACTCTCCCTTGCCTTCTGAACCTCAAACTGGTAGCAATGTTGTACCAGTTTGGATTCTTCCCTTGCATAAAAACCAGCACTGATGTTAATGTAATCTAAGGGGAATACATTGCCGGGAATCTAGGGGCTTATGGAATTTATGAAAAGCTGGGTCAAATGCAGGAAACATGACAGTGAAGGTGGATGGGAAGTAGGGAGCACTGGCATGATCATTGTGATGGTGATGATGACACCAACCCGTGGCATGCAGTCGTTGTGCATCAGGCACTATTTCAAGCATTTTTTTTATGTATTAACTCATTCATTTCTAATAACAACCTGAATGAAGTATGTGCTATTCTTCTCCACGTTTTATAGATGAGAAAACTGAAGCACAGGCAGAGAGGAGTTAAGTAGAAAGCCCAGGGAAACACATCCGCAGGTGGCAGAGATGGGATACACTGTTGGGATTTCCCACCTGTCCAGGTTCAGGGTTCCTAGAAGACAGACACTTAAGCCAAAATCATGTCTGCTACTTCCTTAACACAGGGTGCTGTTCTAGGAGGAAGAATGAGGAAAAACATGAAGCAGGACAGAGCAGGAGGGAGAGCAAGTACAGGGGTGACCTTTCTGGAGCTGGTTACAGGTTCACAGTAATACACCTGCCTGCCTGGTCTATGGGATGGCTCAGGAGAGTCACAAGAAACAACTGCACTTCAGGACAGTCTTTTGTGGGAAGGAGGGACAGGGATTGATCACTCCTGGTTGAAGCCTACAGCAAGGGGCATTAACTCTCCGCAAGTCCAGCTGTGTCGCCCAGTCTCCCAGGCAGCTAGAGCCTCCCTGAGGTGAGTCCAGCTAAGGCACAGGCATAGCCATCTCTCTTGTTGCCAGTGTGGAGTGGGGAGCCCTGGATCTGTCCTAGTAGTGGCATCTGAGGCCGCCTCATTACAACCTCAGAGCAGTGTGAGCCCTGCTAAGATTGCTGCAGGGAGGGATGAAGCAGAAACTGAGACCCAACCTCTATCTAAATATGATTTTACATGAATATAACTCTAGGTAGAGCCAAATAGAAGCCACATGTAATGAGGAGAGGCTTTTAATCTCTTCCTCTGAGACAGTAGCATGATCTAAGTTTTAAAGACAGAGAACTCAAGAGCTAGAAGGATTATGTGATTTGAATGAGGTTTTATTGCTGTTTAGACATGGTGGTGAGAAAGAGAATCCAAGTGCCCTAGATCTTTCTGAAGTTTTGATTTTTGTTGATAGCATAGATTTAATATGCTCATAACAGTTTTGGGTCTGGTGGAAGGAGTTTCAGAGAGGAAAAGCTGTGAATGTGTGTGTAGATGGAATTTGCCTAATTGTTTTAGAACAAGCACATATTGTTGAATAACTTAGTTGACATTTGAACCAGAGAAGGCCATTAATAGATTTTGAATGTAAATGTTTTATTTGAAACCAAATGATCTTTATAGAGACTACAAGCATTAGAGGTTGTTAGTCCTCATCAGGGAAAGTTGGCGTATCAAATCATGACGGAAATAACCAACACTGCAGTTCAAATAGCAGAGGAAAGACGGGAGGGGCCACCCACCATTTATCAACATTTTCATGTGCTAGCACCTTGTAATAAGGACAAGCAGTATCTTATACATGTCTGCTGTACTCCCTTTCCCTGGAGTAGCTAGATCAAAGGATTTTTCCTCTGAAAAGCTCATTTAGTCTCATAGCAAAGATTCAGTAGATGAAAGACTAGAAGTGCAGTCCAGGAGCATAAAATCAATTAACTTAAAAAATACAGTGTAATATATTATAGCTGGTTACTTAGAGATGCTGCTACTAAAACATTGCAAACATCATCGGAAGACATGCTATCATTTAAATATATACATTCCTCACTCTTTAGTTACATGACTCTCTTTAAATCTACTGAAATTTACGTATCTCCCTCCCTCACACTTTCCTTACCCATAGTTGATGGGTTTCAAATCCACACGCAAGCCCTTATCTTGGGTTCTTGGATGATTTTTTTTTTTTTTTAATTTTCATTCAGATACCTTTAAAAAAAAAAACTCATGGGAGCTGGGTGCATGGCTCACACCTGTAATCCCAACACTTTGGGAGGCCGAGGTGGGTGGATCACCTGAGGTCAGGAGTTCAAGACCAGCCTGGCTGAAATGGCAAAACCCTGTCTCTACTAAAAATAGAAAAATTATCCGGGCATGGTGGCAGGTGCCTCTAATCCCAGCTGAGGTGGGAGAATTGCTTGAACTGGGGAGGCAGAGGTTGATGCAGGAGAATCACTTGAACTGGGGAGGCAGATGTTGCAGCGAGCCGAGATCGCTCCATTGCACTCCAGTCTGGGTGACAGAGCAAGACTCCATCTCAAAAAAAAAAAAACAAAAAAAACCCAGAAACCTCATTGAAAAATCATATCATATCCATGAAACTTTCTTAATGGAGTGCATATGGGTGTTTTTTTTGCATTCAGGAAATAAACTAATAGAAAGAAATGATAGTCAAACACAACCACAAGAACACTGCCTTTCATGTTCCTGTTAGGGACAGGCTCTTAGGAGTCAAGAACTAGATTGTAGAATCCAAGCCCCTGGGTTCATACCTATAATATTACCAAATAATGACTTTAACAAATTTTTACTGAATGCTTAAATGTGTAAAGATTTTGCCACTATGGAGCAAGAGTTATGTAAAACTTTCTCCTTACAACATAGTAGTTAGACCTTAGTTCCAATAAGACTTATATTAAAGGTAGACTTCTAGAATCCCATATTTTTCTTAATAACTACAATTTTTAAGTCATGATGCCTCAGCCTCACATCTGTGTTGCACTCTGCTAGCTACGTATACACTATTATTTTATTTCAATCTCTATCACAACCATGCAAAGTAGACATCACCCTCCTTTTTCAAATGAGGAATTCAGACTCCATGAATAGTTCAGTCAAAATTTCACAACACACATAAAATCATCAAACACCTTCTGCATCTTGTTTTATTTTTGTTTTAGAAGTTTGGCATACAATCGTGTTTGGTGAGGGAAGAAGCTGCCCATATGTTTAGGTTTGGCTAATGGTTGTGATTACTAATTCAAGTGTGTGTGTCTGTGTGTGGTGTGGATGTGTGGAGTGTGGTCTCCTCTGTGTGTGTGTGTGTGTGTATGTGTGTGTTTGTGGTGTGGGGTCCTCTCTCTCTCTCTGTGTGTGTGTGTGTGTGTGTGTGTGTGTTTTAGATAGTGCGTTAAATTTAGGATAATTTTGCATTATTTTTAAAGATAGGTCTGAGCTAATGCTAATATTTTAGTTCCATAGAAGGAAAAAGTCCAGTTTGCTATGAGAATAGTAACATTGTCTACGCTCTCTCTAGCAGAAAGGAAAGGATGGTGAGTCTCAGTGGGCAGCCTGGGGAAGGTCAGAGAATGCCAGCTTGTTCCTGAGTGGCCTCAGTGATGACCCAGACATGGTCAGTCATGATTCCTCAGACTTGGGCATAATCGAAGGATCATCTGGATCTCTGCTTCTCCTAATGCCTTTATCCCCTGCATTCCAAAGCAAGAGGGGAGAAAAGCAAAATTGAATCTGAAGGCAGACTCCATGTGACCACTTTAATTAAATGTAAGAGTGGCTGCTGTGTGAGGCAAAAGGAAAAAACTCAGGAGAAAGGGCATGATATTGTTTTGAAGCAGGGAAGCCGAGGACATACAATAGAACAAGAAAATAAAGTATGGAAGTTGTTCAACTACCGTCTGCTTCGTATGCATTCTATTGCAGGTGTAGAGATCTGGAGAGAAGGACAGAGAGGGCAATACTAGTGATTTTGTTTTTAAATAAGTTACCAAAGGTAATTAAGTCTTCCTTTTGTGCTTCAATGGAAACAGAATGACTCAAGCTCCAACCAGCAGGATGTCATGCTTCCTGGGCTAGACTGCACCGTCTATCCCACTAAAATGGGCAAATATTTCACTACCGTTTGGTACTTCTCTATGTTGCCTTCTGTTAATAAAATACTCATCAATAACAATCCCATCTAATATGGCAGATTATTATATAGGTCTTATAATGTAGTTCAATTTATGTAAACAAGCCTGAAGAATAGATATTTTACAGGCCAGGATTTATATACAAATTGCATCACCCATAAATGCTACAGCCAGGATTGGAATCAAGGTTTCTGACTTCAATTCAGTGTTCTCTTCATGACATGATACTGACTGAGAGTGACCACTGCACTGTGGCTGTTGAGGGTGAGAAAGCACAGTCATTGTTGACTGGGGGCTCCTGGCAAGCCAACAATGTAAAAATGTTCCAGAAAAATCCCATCACTCAGGAGTCAACTCTGAACATACACCTGAGAGATGTGTCATTTACTTCATCAAGTGATTTGTGTGTGGTTTTAAAACTCAACTTTACTGGGCTATAATTTACATACAAAGACTTTCAAACATTTTAAGGTTGATGACTTTTGACAAATTGTATACAGTCAGGTAACCAACTTAATCAAAATATAAAACCTCTCCATCGAGCGAGAACATTCCTTCATGTCTCTTTACATTTCTTTAGTCATTCTCTCTCCTCAGCGTCCTACTCCAGGCAACCACTCGTGTGGCCTCTATAACTACGGATAGCGTTTTATTCATATGAGATCATACGTATATATTCTTTAGAGTAAGGCTTCTTCACTTGACATAGTCTCTGTGAGATTTGTCTTTATTTTTGCATATAGTTTACATTTTATTAAGAGACCATATATTTTATTTTTTATTATTATTTTCTTTTTTGAGACAGAATCTCTCTCGTTTGCCCAGGTTGGAGTGCAATAGCACGATATCGGCTCACTGCAACCTTTGCCTCCTGGGTTCAAGCGATTCTCTCACCTCAGCTTCCGGAGTAGCTGGGATTACAGGTGCCACCAATGCCCAGCTAATTTTTGTATTTTTAGTAGAGACGGGGTTTCACCATGTTAGCCAGGCTGGTCTTGAACTCCTGACCTCAAGTGATCAGCCGATCTTGGCCTCCCAAATTGCTAAGATTACAAGCATGAGTCACTGTGCCTGGTCAGAGAACCATATTTTTAAAAATCAGTTTATTTGTCCAAAGAAATTTAGGTTATTTTTAGTTTAAGGTTATTATGACTAAAACTGTTATGAACATTTTTGTATATGTCTTTATAAATTTATTTTTATTTTTTTTTTTACTTTTTTGGGGGGTAATAGCAAGGATTAGAATGGCTGTGTCACAAGTGTATGTTAAGATATAAAAAACAATTTTGAAAAATGGTTGAGCCGCTTTACACCAAAAATATATAAGCCTTCCACTTGTTCCACATCCTTGCTCTTTGGAATTGTGCTTTGTGTATGTGTGTATTACAATTAACTAATTAAAAGGTAATACATGAAAATGAATAAATGCAGTTGTTAGCATTGTTGAGATATGATTAACATAGCTTACACCTTATTCATTTACAAATGTATAATTTTGTGAGTTTTGGTATATTTAAAAGTTATACAACTACCCGTTTATTGTTGTGCAATACAATCAATTTAGAAAAATGTTATCATCCCCAACAGAAACCCATACCTTTTGTAAGTGACCTTCATCTCACCCCCCAGCACATTACCTTCCCTAAGGCCAGGCAACCACTAGTGTACTTTCTTTTTCTATAAAATTGCCTGTTCGGTTTATATCTTTTGTCTTTTGCCACTGCTTTGTTGACTTAGCATAATGTTCTTAAGGTCCATCCATATTGTAGAGTCTATCAGTAGTTCATTTGTTTTTATGACTAATATTACACTGTATGGATCCACATTTTGTTTATCCATTCATCAGTGGATGGACATTTGGGTTGCTTCCACCTTGGGACTATTGTGAGTAATACTGTTATGAACATTCATGTACAAGTTTTTGTGTAGACATATATTTTCTTTTCTCTTGGTTTTATACCTAGGAGTGGAATAGCTGGGTGGTAGGTTAACTACATTTCACCCTTTGAGGAACTGCCAGACTATTTTGCAAAGTTGCTGTACCATTGTACATTCTCACTTTAGCATATGACTCTTCCAATATTTCAACATCTACACCAACACTTGTTATTATCCATCTTTTTTATTATAGCCATCCTAGTGGGGTGGAAGTGTGATCTCATTGTGGTTATGATTTGCATTTTCCTGAGGGCTAATGATAGGAACTGTTTTTGATGTTCTTATTGGCCATTCATACATCTTTGGAGACATGTCTGTTTAGAACTTTAGCCCATTTTTAATTGGGTTGTCTTTTTTTTTTTTTTAGTGAGCTGTAAGAGTTCTTTATATTTTCTATATATGAATTCCTAATCAGATATATGATTGGCAGATATTGTCTCTCATTCTTTGTCATTTCACTTTCTTGGTATTCTTTGAAGCACTAAACTTAAATTTTTTTGATGTTCAACTTATACATTTTTTGTTGCTTGTGCTTTTGATTGTCATATAAGAAACAAATCATTTCCATAGGAAACCATTCCAAGGTCATCAAGATTTATCCCTGTGTTTTCTTCTAAGAGTTATAGAACTTATATTATGTATCTTGAGTTAAATTTTGTATTTAGTATGTAGTAAGATACAACTTTATTCTTTTGCATGTGGATATCTAGTTTTCCCCAGCATCATTTGTTGAAAAGACTACTCCTTCCCCTAGGAACTGTTTTGATACCCTTGCCAAAAATCATTTGATCATAACTGTGGGGTGGGAGTGTTGCTCCTAAACTGTCAATTTTATCCCATTGTTCTATGTATTTCTCCTTATGCCAGTATCACAGTCTGGATTACTGTAGCTTTATAGTGATATTTGGAATCTGGAAATGTGGGTTCTTTAAATTTGTTCTTTGTTTTCAATATTGTTTTAGTTCTTCTAGGACCCTTGAATTGCCATACAAATTTTATCATCAGCTTGTCAATCTCAGCAAAGAAGCCAGCTGTTATTTTGATAGCAATTATATTAAATCTGTAAAATAATTTAGGGAATATTGCCATTTTAACATTAAGCCTTCCAATTCATGAACATGGGAAGTTTTCCCAATTATTTAGATCTTCTTTAATGACATTCAATAATATTTTGTAGTTTGCATAGTAAAGTTTGTCACTATTTTATTAAATTTATTGCTAAGCATTTTATTCTTTTTGATACTACGGTAAAAAGAGTTGCTTTTGTAAATTCATTTTTAGATTGTTTATTGAAAATATATAGAAATACAATTGATTTTTGCATATTGCTCTTGTATCCTGCAATATTTCTGAGCTCATTTATTAGTTTGAATTTTTTTTAGTGGATTTCTTAGTTTTCACTGTATATAAGATCCTGTCATTTGTGAATAGATTTACTTCCTTCCTCCAGTTTGCTTTTTATTACATTTTCTTGCCTAGTAGTCCTGGATACAACATAGAGTACAATGTTGACTAGAACTGGTTGAGAGGAGATAGCCTTCTCTTGTTTCTGATCTTAAGGGAAAGCATTTTGATTTTTACCACTAAGTATAATGTTAGCTTTATGATTTTTGTTTTGTTTTTGTTTTTGTTTTTTGTAGATCCACTTCTACAAAAATGTTCTGGTTCGGATTGAGGAAGTTTCCTGCTATTCCTAGTTTGTTGTGTGTTTTTTTTATCATGAAGGAGTGTTGGATTTTATCAAATGCTTTTACTGCATCTCTTGAGATTATTGTGTGGTTTTGTACCTTATTCTGTTGAAATGGTATATTATATTAATCAATTTCTGGATGTTGAACCAATTTTGCATTCCTGGTAGAAATTCCATTGATTCATAGTGCGTAATCATTTTTATTTGTTGCCAGGTTTTGTTGACTAGTGTTTTTTTTTTTTTTTTTTTTTTTTTTCCTGAGGAATTCCACATATGTATTCATAAAAGATATTGGTCTGTAGTTTTCCTTCCTTGTGATATCTGCCTGGTCTTGGAATTAGGGTAATACTAGCTGCATACAATGGGTTGAGACGTATCCTCTACTATTTTTAAAAATAATTTCTAGATAATAGGTATCAGTTCTTCAAATATTTTGTGACTTTACCAGTGATCCATCTATGCCTAAGCTTTCTTTGTGAGTAACTTTTGATTACTAATTTAATATGTTTGTTAAAGTCCTATTTTGATTTTTAAAATATCTCCTTGGCTGGGCGTGGTGGCTCATGCCTGTAATTCTAGCACTTTGGGAGGCCGAGGTGGGCATATCACATGAGGTCAGGAGTTCAAAACCAGCCTGGCCAACATGGTGAAACCCCGTCTCTACTAAAAATACAAAAAATTAGCCAGCGTGGTGGTGCATGCCTGTAATCCCAGCTACTTGGGAGGCTGAGGTAGGAGAATTGCTTGCACCTGAGAGACAGAGGTTGCAGTAAGCTGAGATCATGCCATTGCACTCCAGCCTGGGCAATAAGAGTGAAACTCCATCTCAAAACAAAACAAAACAACAACAACAAAAAACACAACTTCTTGAGCCTATTTCAGTAGTTTGTATCTATATGAATTTGTCCATTTAATCTAAGTGATCTAGCTTATTAGTATACAATTATTCATAACATTGCTTTATGATCCTTTTTGTTCTGTAAGTTTGGCAGTAATGTTTCCTCCTTAATTTTTTATTTTAGTAATTTTACTTCTATTTCTTTTGTTTTTTTCTTTGTTCAGCCTTAGTAAAGCCTTGTCAAATAACCAACAATTGATTTTCTTGACTTTTTAAATTTATTTTTTATTTCATTAATGTCTTCTTTTAAAATAATTTTCTTCTTTCTGCCTGGTTTAGGCTTAGTTTATGCCTTTTTGTCCAGTGTATTAAACTGAAAGTTTAGGTTATTGATTTAAGGTCACTCTCTTTTTTTTAATATTATAGACATTTATGGATATAAATGTTCCTCTAAGTATTGCTTTGCTGCATCCCAAAAGTTTTTGGTTTTTGTTATTTTTTAAAGTTTCAATATATTATGTCTTCATTTCCATTTATCTCAAAGTATAATTTGAAATAAATTCCAGATGACCTGCTCTTATATGTAATAAATTCCAAGTTTCCTTTGGCTCATTGGTTATTTAGAAGTGTATTGTTAGGTTCATGTATTTCTGAATTTCTCGATTATTTTTCTGTTACAGATTTCTAATTTCAATCCATTGTGGTCAGAGAACATACTTTCTATGATTTCAGTCTTTCAAAATTTATTGGAACTTGCTTTATAGCCCAGTATATGGTTTATCTTGGAGGATAAACCATAGCATTTAATGTGTTCCAAGTGCACTTGAGAAGGATGTTTATTGTGCTATTCAATGGAGTATACTATATGCCAGTCTCTTTAAATTTTAGCCAGTCCAGTGAGTGTTCAGCGCTGTTTCATTGTAGGGTGAATTCATGTTTTTCTGCTTAGTAATGATGTTGAATATCTTTTCATTTTTACATGGGCCACTTGGATAGTTCTTTGCCCATTTTCAAATAAAATGCATTATGTTATTTTTGAGTTATATGAGTATCATATATTTGGGATACAAGCACCTTGCCAGATATATTTGGATTGCAAACATTTCATTTCATTTTTTGGGTTACATTTTCATTTTCTTAAGTTATCTTTTGATAAACTTATATATAGTTTTATGGCAAGTCTAAAGATCTTTGGCTACCCTAAGGTCATGAAGATGTTCTACGTTCTCTTCAAGATGTTTTATAGTTTTAGCCTTTATGTTTAGATGTACAATCCATTTCAGTTATTTTTTATATGATGTAAGGAAGGCATTGAGATATTTTTTCATTTTTCTGATTCAGATATCCAGTCATCCTAGAACGTGTATTGAAGGGACTATCTTTTTAACACTGAATTATATTGGTGACTTTTCAAAAATCAATTGACTTTATATGTATGGGTATTTGGGAACTAACTATTCTCTTCCATCAATGTATATATCAATCCTTGTGCCAATGCCACAGTGTGTTGATTATTGTAACTTTCTAGTAAGGACTTAATGAGATAGTATGAATTCTCCAATTTGATTTCTCTTTTTTTTCATTTTTTGAAATGAATTTTTTTTCATTTTTTGCTCATTCTGCATACTTCGCTTTTCCACATATATTGCAGAGCAAGTTAGTCAATTCTTTTTAAAGTACTGTGTTTTTTACTGGTGTTTGTTTCTTTAATTTTTTATTGATTTAACTGATACATTACAATTGTGCATATTTATGAAGTACAACTTGATGTTTTATATATATATGTATATATATATGTATATATATACGTATATATACGTATATATATATGTGTATATATATATATATGTTATATAATGATCCCATCAGGGTAGTTAGTATAGCCATCGCCTCATGTATTTTTCATTTCTTTGTGGTGAGAACATTCAAAAGCCTCTCTTCTAGCTGTTTTGTAATATATAATATTTTACTGTTAACCATAGTCACCCTGCAATGCACTAAAACACCAGAATGTATTTTTCTTGTCTAATTGTGACTTTATACCTATTGATCAACTTCTCCCCATCCTCGCCTCCTGCTTCTCCTTGCTAGTCTCTGATAACGACTGTTCTACTGTTTCTGTGATATTGACTTTTAATTTTTTTTTTAGATTCTACATATATGTGAGATCATGCAGTATTTGTCATTCTGTGTCTGGCTTATTTCACTTAACCTGCTGCCCTCCAGGTTCATTCATGTAATGCAGTGAAGTGACAGATTTTATTTTTGTGTGGCTGAATAGTATTCCATTGTGTATAGATAACCACATTTTCTTTATTCATCCATCGTTAGTCACTTAGGTTGGTTTCATATCTTGTCTATTGTGAATAATGCTGTAATAAATATGAGAGTGCAGATATCTCTTTGACATGCTGATTTCATTTCCTTTAGATATAGTCAATAACGGGATTCTTGGATCATAAAAGTTAGTATAGCAGACCTGAGACTACTGTCATTTATAGAGGATTGCTTGCAAGCTTGGCTTTTGGGGGGTGTCTCAGACTCAACTGGTAAACAGTTTCCTAAATTTATAAAAAATACTCCTTAACTGAGGAGAGTGGCTTACTGTGCATAGAATGATCACACAAAAATTGTGGTTCATGCTGACACCTGCTTTCCTTCTAGAAATCTGGAATTTTGGTGCACCTTAGGCAGGAGGTAGCTATGTGACCACTTCCAATTAAAACATTGTCTGCTAAGTCTCAAATGGGATTCCTTAGACAGCAACATCATCCACATGGTGCTGCATTTTTGTTGTGGGGGAAGAGTGTGCTCTGTGTGACCCTTCTTGGGAGGGAAAGAGCATAGAGAAGCCTGTATATGGGTTCCTGCAGCCTCTACCTGTGCCTTTATCCCTTACGATTCAGCAGTAAGTCTTACTCTACCATTGTTAAAAGTCTTGGCCAAGAGTACAACTTTATGCTGAGTCCTATGACTATCCGAGGTGTAGGGGTGGTCTTAGGGACTCCTGACAGATAGTTGGCTTATTCTATTCCACTATGTTGTTGCTAGTATATAGAAATACAACTGATTTTTTTATGTTGATTTTGCATTTTGTGACTTCACAACATCCACTTCTATTTCTAGCAGTGCTTTGTAAATTCCTTATGTTTCTACATGGGCAATCATGTGATTGGTGAATAAAGATAATTTTACTTCTTCCTTTCTAATCTGTAATCCCTTTTATTACTGTTTCCTGTCTTATTGCCCTAGTAAGACTTCTGTTGGCTGAAAGTGGCAAGAGTGTACATTTTTGCCTTGTTTCTTATATAAGGTGGAAAACATTCATCTTCTCATTATTAATTTATAATTGATTTTATCGACTTACTTACAAGTTAATGACTTTGCCTTGACTGGATGTTTTTCTAAGAAAAGGTTGCTTCAAAACAGGAGATAATAGCAAGGCATATATTGTGCTGGTACCAGGTGACCAAGGATTGTAGGAGAAGGCTCTATTGATGAGGATAAAAAGAGATGAAAGGTGGCATTGCAATGTCTAAAAACCTACTTGATACCTTTGCAGATTTTCCTCTAATTTGCTTTTCTTCTTTTCCCTTATATATCTCTCAGTTCCTAGCCCAATGTCTCACAGAGTTGGTTCTCAAAAAATAAGAATTTGGGCGTACTTGAATTGAAACCAATCAGTATAAGGGATTATTTTTAATTTTGTTGGATGCCATAATTATATTTGATAACGTAATATCAAAAGCATTACTTTTAGAGGTATTTTTGAAATATGTCTAGGGAAAATAGTATATTATTTGGGATTTGTTTTCAAATATTCCAACAAATAACAATAGTAACCAAAATGAGATTGTTACAATATTGGTAATTGTAAAAGCTTGGTGCTATTTCTATCATGCTAAAATATATATATATATTTAAAAATCCATCCTCTGTGCTACTGTTTAATGAGAAATGGGTAAATTCTGGTTTGAGGACTCTTACTTTCTGAGTTCCAAGAAATTGAAAGCATATTTGCCAATTACTTTTATATAACAGTTTATTGAGAACTCGAAAAATAATTGGTATTAACGAATCATCAAACAGTCTTTGAAAGTCTGCTTTGGGCCACAGTCACCGCTTAATCACTGTGGTATTCACATCAACATCGGCCTTCTGGTTGCCAAGTCCAATGGACACTTCTTCCTTACCTTAGTTCAACACTCTGCATCCTTTACAGCCTACCCAATACTTATTGAGGATTTCTGTTCCTTTGCTTGGCCTCTGTTGTACTTAGCTAGTGCTGTGTAAGAAACCACCCCCAAGCTTTGCTGTGTAAACCAATCATTGTATTATGCTCTCAGATACTTTGGGTCAGGGATTTGTGTTGGACACAGAGGGATCAACCTATCTCTGTTCCATGATGTCTGTGGGCCTCAGTTGGAAAGACCTGAAGGCTAGGGATGAGTTGGCAGCAGGGGGGCTGGAGTCATCTAGAGGCATCTTCACCCATCTCTGCTAATCCGTCAGCCAGAACACCTACACGTGGCCTCTCCAAGTAGTCTTTGTGCATAGCCTTGCTTGGGCTTCCTCCTAGCAAGGTGGCTGGGTTTCTAGAACACAGGCAGAAACTACATTGCAGCCCCACCCAGACACAAGAGACACAAGTGGAATGCAAGGGTGCAGGGTCATATTCTCCACCTCTCAGTGGGAGGACTGTCAAAGTCAGTGTGGTATGGAGACACCATCCAGAGATCTTTGGAAAACACATTCTGTCTTAGCTTCGTAATGCTGCTTTACAGTTCTCCTCCTTTGGAATGTCTTTCTTAACCTTCATTTGGGCTTCTCTCTCTCTCTCTCTCTCTCTCTCTCTCTCTCTCTCTCTTTACTGCTTAAATGTCAGTAATCTCCAGGGTGGCTCTGATACAGATCCTTTCTTTGTTCACTCTACGCTCCTCTCCTTGTATTTCATTCAACCCCGCAGCTATAACTTACACCAATATGTAGCTGCAATAAACATGTAACAAGCAGATCTGTACAGCTCAGTCTTCACTCCTGAGAGCCAAATCCAAATATCCACAAGACGTCCCCTTTTGAATATCTTACAGTCACATTAAACTTAGATCATCCAAATGGAATGCAACATGGTGTTTCTTCTGTCTGCCCCTGATAGTCTTCCTGTTCTGCTTATCACAGAGAATACCACAGCTATCTGCTGGCCCCAAACAGAGACTTGTAAGTTATTTTAGATGCCTTCTTTTTATTCCAGCTATCTTTTCAATTAATATCCAAGTCCCATCAATTAATTCTTCTAAATTTCCTTTTAATATATTACATTCTGTCCATTTCCACAGCCACTGCCTACCTGAGGCACATATTATCTCTTACTGGAATCATTGTGCTATTTCTCTCATGAATCCATTTGTCTTTAGACTTGGCCTCTGCTTCCTCCTCCATTCTGCTGCTAGAGGGCACTGTTTATCACAGAGATCTGTTCATGTGACTCTCGCTCCAATCTTGCAGATGATCATCCAAGATTCTCAGGAGTATCCTACAGTCCTTTTGCTTGTCATGTTTAGATGCCAGCCCACATGTTCGCACTTAATGCTCACCAGAACTTCCACTACTGCACGTTAAATCCCAGGCTCAAACAATTATGTATAAATACTTAAAACCATATGTCTTCATGCCTCTGATTTTTTGCACAGGCTATTCCACCTGCCTGGAATCCTTTCCGCCATTGATCTTCCAGGCCTTTGTTTATATTTAGCCTTTAAAAATCTCAGCTTAAGTGCTACCTCTTCTATTAATATTTCCCTAATAACTCACCTTCTCCACCCACACACATGCCCATACCCACCAAAATTAACACACACAAGATCTCTGTAGATTTGTGGACTTAACACTCTGCATTTCCTTTGCATACCTTCCATATAAAGATTCACATCGTGTTATAATAATTGTATCACAGAACTCTCTGTGGGCTGTCCATCTCTTAATGGTGAGGACTGCCTCAGTAATCATCCATTTATTAATTCATTCAACAAATAATGACCAATAACTCCTACTATATGCCGGTTACTGTTGTTGAAACAGACCGCCATGGTAAACAGGACTTCATTGATAGTCTGTCTCCAGCTCATGGTACATGTTCAGAACATCAGCGTTGAATTTTTAAGTCATCTCTGGACTATCATTGGTGCTCAGTAATTGTTGTTAAACAGTTGATGAGAGAAAATTCCCCTTGATGGATCTCAACCGAGGTCATCAGAGAAATCCTTCTGTACATATAGGGCAGGGATTGTGATTTACTAGTTTGCCTAATGCCAGAAAATAAATTTGAGGTTTGCTAGCAAAGTTCCTTGGATTTATCTTGAAGGCTGTGTTGACATCAGTATCCCCCACCCGAAATAGTAATGTAACATGGTGAAAGTACAGGACACTCCAGCAGAAACATGCAGTTTGCTCGCCTAGGGTGCACCAGCTCTTTAGTTTTCGGGTGAACTTAGTCTCAGCACCCTCCGAGTCTACTGGAGACATCTCCTGGCCTCACCACACTGTCCTGATACTCTCTTCTTTTTTTTTTTTTTTTTTTTTTTTTTTTGAGATGGAGTCACGCCCTGGCACCCAGGCTGGAGTGCAGTGGCATGTTCTTGGCTCACTGCAACCTCCACCTCCCAGGTTCAAGCGATTCTCCTGTCTCAGCCTCCCAAGTAACTGGGATTACAGGTGCATGCCACCACACCCAGCTGATTTTTGTATTTTTAGTAGAGACAGGGTTTCACCATGTTGGCCAGGCTGGTCTGGAATGGCTGACCTCAGGTGATCTGCCCACCTCGGCCTCCCAAAGCGCTGGGATTACAGGCCTGAGTCACCACCCCTGGCCTCTGATAGTCTTCTTATTGTGAATTGTAGGGATAGCTTTCATTTGTTTGTGGTTCTGTAAACCCCACCCCAGATTTCAAAGCCACCTATAGCTAGCTGTTCCTCAGATTCAACAGTCATTGCCCACAGGGCAGTCATTGGCTAAGAAACCTCTGGAGGAAAATCACACTTGAGGCAAATAACATTCTCTCACTATTAGCAGCTTTGATCTTTTTTAAAACCTCATTTTCTTTTTCCAGCCCCCATTGCATTGTAGACATTTTTATAATGAGCATAAATGTTCATTTAATTTTATTTGGCATATGCTGCTTTGAAAGTGCCACATCAACATGGAGCATCACTCCTTCAGTAACTAAATTCTTCTAACAGCTTTAAAGGAATGACCTTGGGTGTGACCAGTGGGTCTTCAGAGCATGGCTGCGTTTTGATTAGCTAAATTTTCTGTTAGCCCAGTGAGTCCACACACCAATTAGTGGAGCATAATCACAAGCCTGAAGGTTTCAGGAGTTTTCTCACAGGGAAGTAACATTGATACTTTTCTTAATATATTATTATTTTTAAGTAAATATCTGACAGTGTCTAGGTAATCAATTCTGTGCCCACAAAAGCTCAGTGTGCCTCCGAAAGAGTTCAATATATACAAGTATATGCATATACGTATATGTTTTTCACAATTCAGATGCAAATACACAGAAACATTTGTTCATCTTCAAATCATTTTAATAGATGATTGGGTTCCTTGTCCACCCACTGCCCAATGACTGTGGGAGAACCTTCTTTCATTTACAGAACCCCAGTCTGTAAGAATAGATATCTAAAAATACAGAAGTCTGATGCCCAGAAATTGTCCTTGAAGCTTGATTCCAAAGCACAATATGTGCAGCCCAAAGCATGACCAGACAGTAAGCTTTCACATCATACATGGGTCAAGCACAGACATATTCTTCTTTTAGATTTGGAATAAGGGTTAATTGCATCATCTAGGAAGCGTTCAGGAATATAGCCTTGTGAATTCTCACAGTTATGAGTACTATCAAAAATTGACTTCACACATGATAAAAAGAACAAGAAATCTTGGAATGCTTTCAATCTCAAAAAAAGTATTGTGATATTAATAACATAGATAAAATTTATTTTTATTAATTTCTGCTTCCAAACTTTCAACCTGTGAGCTTTAAGCCCACATCTTATCATATTGTTATGTTTCATTGCCAAAAGCAACTACGTATTGATATTTCAGAAATGCTGCCAGGCCTTTATGTAACTAGTTGCTATTTTACCTCAAAAAATAAATAATGCTTCCTGTTTTTACTTTTACTTATCTGGAATAAGTAGCTATTGACATCTGCTGAAGTCAGTATAAAGATTTATTTACCTGAGTGTAGATATTGACCAATAGGGAGCCTGGCTCAATGTTTACATTGAAGGACAATAAATTGCCGTATTGACTGGGCTGAGACATCAATATTTGCATTGTTGTAAACATTTTTAAAAATCTTCATGAAATATTCCTCAGAAATTCTCTTGTCACCAGAGCAGCTGAGCTAGAGCTCTTTAGGGAATAGCTTGTGTCTGGAAGCCAGTGGGTAACTTGAAATAGCTATAAATTGTTCTGGTTTCCAAGTTTACACAAAGACACATTTTTTATTGTGATGTATAATGCTGATCATTAGGAGCTTTCAGATGACAGTCCCAGCCCCCTCCTCAAATAGCAGATTTTTGTCTACAACAACTCTGAACAGAAATACGCTCCCCGAGTAGCTTGTGTCTTGAAAAGCTCATGTTTTCCAAAAAATATCTCATTGCCCAAACAGTGAAACATCATTAATTCCAACCAGATTAATTAATTAAAAATGTGGGATGTTTCAACTCAGTTGGAATAAGTTTTTCCTTTGTGTCAAGAGTAGAAAGAGGAAGATGATTTAGAAAACATTAGGACAGGTAAAGTGATAAATTGAATATTTAGCCTGTTTAAGAGAGAAACATAATCTACACAAAATCTTCTTACAATCTATGAATGCCTATTAATAGGCATTAACTTAACTTCTTAACTCCAAGTGATATGTGTGTTTATATAATATATGCCATTTTAATTAAGCTTTGTAATAGATACAGGTTAAACAACTTTATCAACATGTGTTCATATAATTTAATGTACTTGGAAGAAATGAAACGGGAAATTCCTTTATTCCTTTTTTTTTTTTTTTTTTTTTTTTTATTTGAGACAGAGTCTCGCTCTGTCTCCATGCCAAAGTGCAGTGGCATGATTTTGGCTCACTGCAACCTTCGCCTCCTGGGTTCAAGCGATTCTCCTGCCTCAGCCTCCTGAGTAGCTGGGACTACAGGCACGTGCCACCATGCCCACCTAATTTTTGTATTTTTAGTAGAGATAGGGTTTCACCATGTTGGCCAGGATGGTCTCAATCTCTTAACATCGTGATCCACCTGCCTCAGCCTCCTAAAGTGCTGGGATTATAGGCATGAGCCACCGCTCCGGGTCAACAGGGGCAATTTCTGTCATATGGTGTAAAAGCTAAACATCTGGCAAATTCTTAATTTTTTCCAAGTTGGTAAAATCATAACCTACTTTAGCCAGCCCAATAGTTCTAAGGGAGTGGCTCAAGATAATTAGCACCACCTCTTGGAGAAGCACAGATTCATTGTTCTAGTGCAGGGTTTGGTGCCTCATCGTCTTTGTCAAGTAAGACAATTAGGACAGCGATCAGAGATCAAGGAGCTCGGGATGATGTGCAAAATGTGATGCCTATTTATGCTTGAATAACAATTTGGATGAAAAAATTGGCATCTTAAAAAAATATTTGCATCATGGTTATATTCCTAAATGATGAATGAAAGAAAAGAAGCATCCAGTTCTCTCTGCAGTTGCTTCCACCTCTAGGCGGTACTTCATAGCACCCTGTTCTAAGTTAGGCTCAGGGACTGAGAATGCTTTTAGCGAAGAGGGATAGGAGGGGAGGCTAAGATGGGCAAGTCTGAAATGTGCCCTCCTGTTCAATGGGGGGCTTTAGAGGGAAAGTGGAAATGTCCTACCAGTAACCGTGTCTGCAGAGGAGACACTAAGCTCTTGCCCAGGCCCCATGGGAGTGCCTGTGCTGTCATCACCCCAGGGGCTCTATCTCAGTGATTCCCTCCATCCCGCCCTTTTCCTGGCCTCCTCTCCTCCTCTTGGGCTTCTCCCTCTCCCTTCCTTCCTCCCTCTGAGGCAATGCCCAGTGCTTGTAGAAAGCCCCACCACTTCCAAAGGACTGTCCCAGCCCCTGGGGCCTCAGCCCCAGGATCCCTAGAGGATGATTTTGTGGGGATTAAAATGAAATGAGGTATGGGAAAGAGCTGGCGCACAGCAAACCCTCCAAGGTGAGCCCCCTCCCTATTCTGGGCTTTCCCCTGGACACCCACTCTACTGGTTGCTAGCGCTGAGGTAACAAAGTACCACAGCCTGGAGGGCTTCAACAACAGCAATGCATTGTCTTACAAATTTGGAGGCCAGAAGTCTGAGCTAAAACAGTCGGCCTGGTTGATTTCTGGGAGGGCCTCTCTCCTTGGCATGTAGAAGGTCGCCTTCTCCCTGTGTTTTCACATGTCTTCCCTCTGCATCTCTGTGTCCTGATCTCTTCTCCTAAGGACACCAGTCCCATTAGATTGGGTCTCCCCCAGTGACCTCAGTTTAACTGCATGACCTACTTAGGGACCCTGCTTCCAAATGCCCTCACACTGCGATACTGGGACCCTGCTTCCAAATGCCCCCACACTGTGATACTGGGACCCTGCTTCCAAATGCCCTCACACTGTGATACTGGGACCCTGCTTCCAAATGCCCTCACACTGTGATACTGGCGGTTGGGACTTCAACTTACGGATTTGGGGTGGGAGCATAAATCAGCCCATAACAACTGGTCAGTCCCTCTCCTCTGCCTCCTCCAACTGTCACATTGTAAACCCCACCTGACTCTTCCCCGACAGTGGCCTTGGGGAGAAGGCGGGGCCGGCCAGGGTTTCTACTCCTGCCTCATGGAGACCCGCCTCAGATGCCCAGCACTGCGACTGCTGCACAGCCACGAGGCTGAGCCGCTGCGGATGCATGCGTGACTTAGGAATGTGTGCTGGTGTGTTTGCCACAGCAACAGGATGAGGAAAGCACAGCTCCAAGAGAGGTGGGAGCTCATCCACCTGGGGAAGCATGAGCAGGAGCAGGAAGGGTCACTCTGGGACTGTGCTCATGGGACCCTGAGATGCAGCAGAAAGAGCAGTGTGAGGAGCAAAGTGACGCTGCCTGCAGGTGCTGTCCACTCAGACCTTCCCAGCCTAGGCTTCCCTGCTACCCACGTCTTCCCACCTGGACTCCCCCTCTCTCAAGGGGCATCCTCAGTAGTGCTCTCTCAGCCCATCTGCCCCTCAGAGGCCTGGACCCCTGCCTTGCCCTCTGTGGCTTCACATTAACATTGACTGGGAGCCATCCTACCTGGTTCTCATGCCCACCAGCCTTCCTCTCCACCCTGTGGTCACAGGACTATGGGCAGCCTCTGCTCTGAGCTCCCTTTGTACCTCTCTCTTCTCACCTTTTTGTTGTTGTTAATTGTCATGCACATCTTGAAGAAGGAGGAATGAAATGCTCCCAGCTCTGACCAACTCTGTTTTTCTAAGTGTCCTCCTTCGTGGACCTGACTGAGATGGCACTGCTACTCTCACTGTCACAGCCACCCCTCGACAGCCTGAGGCACACTCCCTGCTGTTCAGGAGCACCCAGATTGGGGCATCGGTGCACCTGGACTTGCTATGTCTCGGGCACCACCCATTACACTTATCACTTTTTCTCCATGAGTTATATTCACAGCGGTTCCCCAGGCATCAAATTGGCAATATGAGTTTAGCTCTTAGGACCAAAGGACACACAAGAGATCATTTATTCTTTGCATCACTCCCCTTTTCTCAGGTAGGACATCAATCTTCCCCGACTCTGCTCTGGCCATATTTACTGCCAGTCGCTGTCCCTTAGACTGTCTGCCTCTCCTAGCCTTGACAGATGAGTCTCACTCCACCAGGATCTTTACAATTCAAGGCACAGTCCAGCCTCTTGTAGATGGGAATCTTGCTAATGTAGCCACTCTAGCTTATCCTGGCTGCATCATGAGAAAAATGGAGTTCAGCTCAGGACTGGCTTCCTCGGTTTGCAGAGTCAGTGGGCACCTGCAAACTAAGAGCTTCCATCTGCAAGGAAGACCTATCACCCCAAGCACTTGGCTTGGCTGCTGGCTGACATTTGATCATCAGTACCTTTAGTTTGAGTCTCTGGTTTCTGTGAAATAATAACTTCTAATATCCACACAGTGGAGTACAATTTACAGAATGCATCCATATATTTAAAATATTTAAACTGATCTATAAACTTCACAGTCGATATTATATCCCCCTCATTTTATCAGGAACATAAAATAAGAGACTCATTCAAGCTAAAACATAAACGAGTCTGGCCTATGGCAGTGCAGGCTATTTCTGTCTGTTACAGCAGGCTGCCACTCTGCACTTCATCTCAGGAGAACAGTTTAAAAATAGTAGTTCTTTTCAAATGGGATTGTGTTTCTGGCCCTTTCTTGGAAGAGGACCTGAATGAAGGATTGAAAGATTCAAAGGAAGGAGATTTAGGAGTAACACAGAAGCACCATTTAGGTAAATGCTAGAGAAGAACACGATATTACACATACTTTGCCTGTCCGCCCCCCCCACCCAAACACACACAGCCTCAATGCGCAACTTTGGCCCACTTATTTTTGCCTCACCACTCTGTTGTTGCTACTAGAATTTTTGATACTTCTGATACTCAATGGTTTTCAACTGGGCACCATCTCTGGGGGATATTCGAATATGCATGAGCCCACCAGAATGACCGCATGGCTCTACTGGCCCCCTGTGGGGAGGGGCCAGGAATGCTGAACATCACTGTGGCTAGAGCAGGGCACAGTGTTGAATCCACCTGACCACCATGACAATGGTGTATCCAATGAGAAAACAAACTAGGGAGATGCATCAGACTTAGGAAGCTCCGCCATCTGTTCGCAGGATCCCTGAGAACCCTGGCTATTCTACCTTTCCTGCACTTCTGCCTATTGATCCTTCTTTGAAGATGCTTTTCTTCTTTGGTGCCTATGTCCTTCTCACTCTTGAAATGACTCAACTACAGAAAATCCTTTCCCTGGTACATGAACAAGGGCTTTCTCCTTTAAATTCCTCCTTAGTGTGTATTTATTCTTCAAAATATTTTCTAGACCATTTGAGACCCCTCAGGCTGTCGATGGCAGAGAATGTGCTGTCTGATGCTCATCCATCATCCTCCCTTGTCAGATCTGTCTAACCAGTCCTTAGGCCCTTTAGGCAAGGCCAGTTTCAGTCCTGGTGGGTGTAAAGCTGAGTAATTTTCTCAGGCACACATAATGGTGAAATAATGATGATCATAGTCAGAATTATGATTTTGGTAAGTGGAGTATGCTGTGTTTTCCAAACGCTTATTTTTCATTATGTATAGAATGAATAATGGAAGACACATTGAGCTCAGGACCCGGATGTTCTGTCTGCGTACGTTTCCTTCTAATAACTTGAGAGAAGCATTCTTTTATCCAGCTCATGTCATGCATGTCAGGCTGGGTGTGCATGTGACTGAGCAGAGGACCCTAGAGCTGCATATGTGTCATGCCACCTGAGGTTTAAGTTATATAAATTCTTGGGGGAAAAGATCTGGTTTATATTTAAAAAATGCTTAAAAGGCTGGAGAAAAGGATCAGAGAGACTGAACAGCCTCTAAAAAATACAATTTCAGGGAGTCAAGTACAAATGAATCAGGGACTTTTGACTCTGCATGTTTCCCAATATAAAACATCTGAAAAATGGATTTAAACTAGAAATAAATGACCAGATCTAAGGATTCTGATAGAGAAAGAAAAAATGTGCTAACATGCATGTGTGAGCATGCATGTGAATGTGTCTCTAATAAGCTTACATTGCATGAGCTTACAATTTTGGGTCGGTATGCATGTCCAAATGCAGGATATGGGTACACATGAAAAGCAGGAAAAACATAGTGTGCTGAGGATTTGTTTGGTGTATATGTGTCTATTTTGAAGAATATGGAAGAATAATTGAGGCTACTCATTTAATAAACATTTATGTGGTTCAAGGGTATGATATACATTGTCCCTAGAGACAAAAATTAGTAAAATTTCAGTTTCTTTATATGCTTTGTGAAAAATAATCTCCTTTTACAAAACTCTTTAGTATTGTGTGCAGCGCACAGAGCCTAGTGTCAGTGTTTCTCTGGGGATTGAAGCAGACAGTTCTGCCAACCAGCATGGATGGGGGAATAGCCTGGGCAGGATGCAAGCCACATCGTGCAGAATATGATTCTTAGTGGAATAGAAAGCCAAGTGCCATGGAAGCCAAGACACGTGCAGGCTTACCAAGATGCCCCAAGCCATTGGAGAGAATATGGAGTTTCTCAGTGCACAGAAGATTCAGAAGATTTACTTAAACTTAAAGGGCAAGTAGACCTTAAGAAGCTGTAAAACTTGAGGACATCCAAGATTCTGACATATGAAATATAATTTCTTTGGCACCTATGGTATACCATACACTCTTAGCTACTAAACTTAGCTACTTTTTGAATGCATGTTTCTGTGCCTGTATGTTTTAATGCATACATCAATTCATGTATAGAACACCACTTGAACTGAACGGAATACACAATAGTTTCACCCCAAAATATTTCTTTTGTTGCCTTCCCATCTTTTAACCTCTATTGTTTAGATTGGATACTTTTTTTCTTTCTTTCTTTTTCTTTTTTTTTGGGACAGAGTTTCGCTTTTGTTGCCCAGGCTGGAGTGCAATGGCACGATCTTGGCCCACTGCAACCTCCAGCTCCCGGGTTCAAGCGATTGTCCTGCCTCAGCCTCCTGAGTAGCTGGGATTACAGGCGCCCACCACCACGCCCAGCTAATTTTTTGTATTTTTAGTAGAGACGGGGTTTCACCATGTTGGCCAGGCTGGTCTTGAACTCCTGGCCTCAGGTGATCCACCCGCCTCAGCCTCCCAAAGTGCTGGGATTATAGGAGTGAGCCACCATGCCTGGTGCGATAATTTCTATTTATCTTTAAGTTTACTGACTTTTTACTCTATCATCTCTATTTTGCTATTAAACTGATCCAATTAGTACCTAAAACTCAGTCCTAGTTTTTCTTACTTGCTTCTTGTGTATGGCTTCTAGTTCTGTCTTGAGAATGTCCACCATCATATTTGTTTTAAAAGTGTTCACCTTTACTTTGCAGGGCATAGTTTTAGCAGCTGCTTTAAGATCTGGCAATTTGCAACAATTCTCAGGGATGGTGTTTGTTAATTGTCTTTTCCCTTGGGAATTATTTAGCTTCCCCTTGCTCTTTGTAGGATGAGTAATTTTTGATTATATAGTGCACATTTTTATCTTACTAGACTCTAGATTCTGTTAAGATCCTTTGAGAATATACAGGCAGAGTTCACCAACTAAGACTCTGGGTGGTGGTTTACACAAGAGTTCAGTTCTCAAAGCCTTTGGTGTACTGTCCTGGGTGAGTTCCACACAAGTTCAGAGTGAACCTGGGACTTTATACATTGCTATACCTGATTCCTTTCTTGAGCTCCTTCTCTCCGTGATTTCCCCCTGCTCTCCAGCTCCCATGAGCCCCCTTTCTTTGCCATCTGCCTAGAAAGCAGGAGTATTAGCACCATACTCCATCCCCTCACCCCCTGCCATAACCTTAATGTTACAAATTTCTTGTGACTGAGTCCAACTCCAGGGAAAAGTGGTGAGAAGAAAGAGAAGAAAAAATGTAATAGGTATTCCTCTACACTTTTCAGACCACAGAGGCTCCTGTACTCAGTTCCGCTGGTCATGAAGTATTTTTTTAGAGTTTTAGATGTCTTTGTGGCCACTGCTGCTACTATCACCACTGCTGCAAGACTGCAGCGTCAGCACTGAGGTTTACCTCAGGGCAGGGTCGAGGGAAGGAAAGAAAGTGGACTTCCCCGGACTCTCCGTCTTACAAGCCTTATCTTTCCACATCCTCAGACCAAAAAGAGTTTATCCAAGAGTTTTTGTTTGTTTTGTTCTGTTTTGTTGTTGTTGTTTCTGTTGGCATTTGCTATACAGTTTTAGGATTCTGGCTGTTCTAAGTTTAAGCCAGGAAAGGAAGGAGGAAAATAAACAACAGGACATTTGCCGCTATATTGTTCTTTCTTCAAGTTTTCATTTCCCTCCACAAGCTTCCTGCTATTGTTTAACCTTCAGAGCTCTCATATATTTCATTTATGTATTTTTGTCAGTTATAATGAATGGGAGAGAAAGGATAAGATGTAGTTACCCCATAATAACTTGGACTGCAAGTCTTATAGAGAATTAAAAATAATAGCAGTAAGACTGACTAAAAGATAGTCTGATTTTTTTTTTTTTATTATCACTGTACACATGTAATTTT
The DNA here is from genome assembly GCF_000001405.40 of Homo sapiens. Lineage (NCBI taxonomy): Eukaryota > Metazoa > Chordata > Mammalia > Primates > Hominidae > Homo > Homo sapiens. Next base: position 132,290,297 of record NC_000011.10, read on the forward strand.
AAACACCATCAGTGAGCAGACATCTCCCACTGCCCTGCCCTTGGTAAATCACTGATATGGGGAAATTGGGAGCCGGGAGTAATAGGAAATAGGGCTAAAGAGTCAGCTATGTTTGTCATGGGTTATTAAAGAACTTAATAAGGACGGTGTCCTTCATTCTGGAGTTCTAAATATGCATTGGATACTGAGCGTATTGTTTTAATAGACCCTGTGCATAAAAGCATAGATGAAGAATTAACATTGACCTAGTAAATTATAAATTTATTGAGAGTGAGGAACATATCAGCTTTATTTTTGTGCATTTATTCATTCAACAACTATATATTGTGTATAACTATATGCTACAGATACAGAAATACTATCTCTCTTTAATGGACCTTTACTCTGAAGGGAGAGAGAGATAAATAACCCATCCATTTTAATATAATGTAATAAGTGTTACCATTTTTAAAAAGCACCAAGTAGTTAAGATGTACAGTGAATTGGGGATGGGGGTGCTATCCCAGGGGATGTGCAGAGGTTACAGAAGGATTCTTATACGAGCTGAACTTAAGCTGTAACCTGAAAGAAAGAAGGCGACAACCTGAAAAATAGAGTGTTTCCAGGTGGTAGTATGACAAAAGATAAGATGACGTTCTTCTAGAATTATGAGTTGTTTCCGTTAGATCTGAACCACATGTGGGAAAATGTGAGGAAGAAATGATAAGGAAATAGAGGCATTAGATCACAATGGGCCGTATAGGAATTTATGCTGTGTTTGGGATGATGGTATCGTATGGCCTGGTATGTGAGTATGGATCAGATGTTGACGCCTACCTAATATTATTATTGAATAAAAATTAAAATAGATAATATTTGTAAATAAGTTTTATAAATGTGAAAGTCCAGCAGACCCCTCCAGTTGTCCCTAAAGTATCAGGTGATAGAAGTGTCAGTGAACAGAAGAGGATGGATTCAAGATATACTTTAGAGGTAGAATTAATAAGACTTGGTGATGGATTTGATATTGGATTCAGGAAGCGTTAAGTACTGAGTATGACTTCTACATTTTTTTTTGAGAAATGTGACTGGTAAAGGTGCCATTTATGAATAAGAGAAAAACTGAAGGAGAAGAAAATTTGAAGGAAGATAAATCTAGAAGAATTTCATGTCGGACATGTCAAATGTGGGATGCCTATGAGACTTCCATGTGACCATGGAATTGCCTATGGAAGTGTAGGGTTCATGGAAGAGAAATAGGGTGAAGATATAAATGTGTGAGTTATTGCCATAAACCTGAATGTTCAAAGCCACAGAATAAATGATATTGCCTGGGAAATCATTGTACAGTGAGACAAGAATACCTAGAACCTAGCCCTGAGGAGAAGCCAGGAAAGGAGATTTTGAAGGACTATCCAGAGAGGTGGTTGGGCAGTTAGGAGATTATGACATTATAGAAGCCAAGAAAAGCTCATTTAAAGGAGTGAGTTGTCAGCTATGTATATTGCTGCTGAGAAGTCTTTTAAGAAAATGCTAAGATGTGTGCCATGAATTTGGACACATGGAAGTCATTCAGTGACTTTGGAATGGGTAGGTTCGGTGGAGAGGTGTGAACAGAAGCTGGATTGGACTGGTTGAAGTGTGAATATGAGGGGAAGAATCTGAGACAGCACATTTGGACAACTGTTCTGAGAAGCTTGACTGTGAAAAGAGGCTGTGGAGCCTGGGGTCAGTGGAAAACAGTGGTGTTAAGGCAGACATTAGAAGGTGTGAAAACAACCATGAAAATGATCCAGTACAGCAAAAGCAGGTGAAGATTGAGGAGAAAGTCCAGGTAGCTGATGAAGGGAATTCCTTGAAAAAGTGAGAAAGAAACAAATGCATAGAACAAAAGGAGGAATTGGTTTTTTGATAGCGGGAAGGGAAGACATTTGTTAGACAGTTACTGTAAAGTATGAATAGAAGTGAAGGGGTTGAGGATATTTCCCCATGAGAGTTGCAGTGATGGGTCATGAAATCTAAGTTTTCTAAAATGTAGGAGATAATGAGATGGCAAGCACAAATGTTGGTCTGTACATTTGATCATGAGAAAATGAGTCTGTCTGACGGCTTCTCTATTCTCCCTCCTCCGGCCCCTCCCCCACCTCAGTGGAGCAGGAGACAGGATCCTCAGCAGAGGACAGCGTGGATGGAGGGAGAGGGTGGTGAGGCACTGAGAAGTTGGAAGAGCATGAAGAAGGGGAAAAATGAACCTTGAGAGTGCTCAAGTGTCCATGGCAGTTATGAGTGCCTGCTTGAGACAGGCACGTATGAGTGTACGGAGAAGCCAGTTTGTTTTTTTGATGTTCCTACAGCAGACACAGAGGAGACAGACATTTAGATTCATCTAGGATGGGGTTTTGCCAGGCTAGTGGAACAAGGGAGGGAGGCGAAGGAGTTGAGAGTATTTTCCAGGGAGAGAGAACAATGATGCGTTATAAAATATAAATTTTATCAAAAGGGATGTAAAAGTAAAAAAAAAAAAAAAAAAAAAAAAAACTAAAAAATGTTGGATCGGGGGATTTAAATCCCTAGTGAAGAAAAATAATTGTTCCCTCAAGCGACTGAACAAAGATTTTAAAAAGGTAGGAAGTTATGGACAGAGTGAGATGCTTAAATTAATGCCTTCAGAGGTGGTTCAGTTTCTGACAAGTTTTAGGTGTGAATGTGGAGTAGGTCACAGAAGACAGCAGAGCAAAAAGTCATGGAGGTAAGATCAAGAATATGAGGGGCCGGTTTTTGACGGATTGTACTTCTGGACGAGGAGGTCACAGAGAATAGTGGTAGGAGTGAGGATGCAGATGGAGACTCTAAGAAGCAAAGGTTTTTATTGAATAGAAAAAAATAATAACCAGGAAGTCAGTAGAGAACAGAAATGTGATGGAAGAGGAAGAGGCAGGGGTGTAATTATTTAGATAATATGAGCCTTAAAGATGTAAGGTTTGAAAAAGATGGAGCAAGCTCAGAAGTTTAACTGGAAAACAAAGACACCAACCAACAAAAAAATATGTGCGGTATTTAAAAATTGGGTAGCCCCCACTTGACAGGACACGTCTCCAGGAGAGCCCATGTCCCCGCCTGAGTATGAGAGTGAGGTGGAGGCATCTCTCCAAGAATTGGATGCTGTCAGGGAGCGTTGATGATGCAGGAGAGGTTCCTGAGTGCAGAATGGAAGGACTGCAAAAGGGTGGGGAGGATGTGGAGTGCAGTCCGATGAAGGGTTATATGAAACAGCGGGTGTGAGACTACAGGAAATCATAGATGACTGGAGATTTACGCGTCTACAGGAGAGGTCAGCAAACTACAGCCTATGGGCCAGATTCAGCCTGCAGCCTCTTTTCTGAATGGCCTGAAATGTAAGGTTTTTTTTTTTTCTTTTTACATTTTTAAATAATTGAGTATCAATCAAAAGGAGAATACTATGTTGTAACACATTAGGATTGTATGAAACCACAATTTCATTGTCCAAAAGTAAAGTTTTTTTGGAGTGAAGCCACACTCACTGATTTATGTATTGTCTATGACTGCTTTTGTGCTACAGTGGCAAGTTTAACAGTTGCTCTAGAGGCCGCTCAGCCTGCAAAGCCTAAAACATGTATTATACTAGTTGGTCT